>NC_000011.10:45514545-45817575 GCF_000001405.40 Homo sapiens | reverse complement strand
TGCTTCATTCACAATCATTTTATGTGGGAGGATGGGCAAGGATTATCCCCATATCTCAGGTAGGAAAAGTGAGGCCCAGAAAGGTTAGGGGACTTGCCTGAGACCATGTAGCTTCTAAGAAGTGGAAACTAGGTCTCCTGACCCCTGATCAGGTGCTCTTCAAAAGCAGAAGTGAAAGGGCAACGCAGGAGAGGCGTGTGGTAGGTCACTGTTCCTAAATTCTCCATGTCTTTCACTGTTTTTTGGTCTCTCTGTCACCCAGGCTGGAGTGCAGTGGTGTGATCTCGGCTCACTGCAACCTCGGCCTCCCGTGCTCAAGCGATTCTCGTGCCTCAGCCTCCCAAGTAGCTAGGATTACAGGTGGGAGCCACCACACCCAGCTAATTTTTTGTAGCGATGGGGGTCTCACTGTTGTTCAGGCTGGTCTCAAACTCCTAGCTCAAGGGATCTGCCTGCATCGGCCTCCCAAAGTGCTGGGATTATAGGCGTGAGCTACTGTACTTGGCCCACTATTTTTTTAAACTGGGCAGCTCAGTATCTACATCCCCGCCTTCTGAAAGGGACAAGAGAAAAGGGGAGACAGTCTGGGCTCAGGCCAGGGGTGGGTGGGGGAAGTATCACTCTTCTTTCTTGCCAGAGAAACATCATTCCTGGAGGTGGTCTTGGCCCCTTTAAATATCACAGAGATGAGCTGCGGGGCGGTGCTGACAGTGGAACCTGGCTGGGATGCTGGCCAGCTGGCTCAGGCTATCCCTGGGCTTCATTTGCATGAGAATTGGGGCCTGTGGCACTGTGTGGATCCAAACCCATCTACCTACACTGTGTGTCTTTGTATGTGTGTGTGTGGAGTCCTGCACAGTGGGTGAGGGCTGTTCAACTGTGTCCTAAGAGTTAGGCCCTCTCTCAACTACTTTAACTCATGAATTTGTTTATATTTGAGAAGCCCGAAGCCATGCATCCTTTTGTCTGCATTTAAGCATTTTTGGTAAAAAGTTGAAATTTAGATCTTTCTCTCTCTTTTTTTTATTTTTAATTTTTTTTAGAGACAGGGTCTGTTCTGTCACCCAGGCTGGGGTGTAGTGATGCAATCAACTGCAGCCTCCACCTCCTCGGCTCAAGTGATCCTCCTGTTTCAGCCTCCCTAGTAGCTGGGACTACAGGCAGACACCACCATGCCCAGCTAATTTTTAAATTTTTTGTAGCAGCAGAGTCCTGCTTTGTTGCCCAGACTGGTGTTGAACTCCTGGGCTCAAGCAATCCTTCTGCCTGGGCATCCCAAAGTGCTGGTATTACAGGCATGAGCCACCATGCCCAGCTTAGATTTCTCTCAAAAAAGTGCAAATAGCATTAAGAAAATAGTCCCAATTTTCTGAGTGTACAAAGGGTGCAGAAATGATCATGTCCATTCTGTTTTAGGGACCTGGCAATGGCATAGCCATCAATCCGATCATGTTGATTGACCACTGCATTCAAGGCCTTCACCCCACATCCCACCCTGCCTTTCTGGTTTCCTCTCCAGCTCCAAGCCCCAAACCTCTCACCACTCCCACTTGTGCTATTTCCTGAGCTTAACCTTCTCCCTGTTCTTCTCCAATTCTCCTCTTGGAGGCCTCTGCTCACTCAGTAAGCCTATTCAACTATCCTGGCCCTTGTGAGGACCTGGCTGACTCGCCACACTTGGTCTGTCCACCTTCTGCTTGCTCATGGCAATATGTTCAGATGTCCAGTGTGGCTTCTGTTATGGGGCTGTCATGCCTGTTTATGTGCAATCCCCTGGAAGCAGATCCGGGTCTTCATATTAATACAACTGCTATAGTGTGGATGTTTATTACCAAACCTCATGTTGAAATTTGATCTCAATGTTGGAGGTGGGGACCTAATGGGAGGGTCACAGGGGCAGATGCCGCATGAATAATCTATATTATTCATGAATTAGTAATATATCAATTCTATAATAATTGATACTGTATCAATTCTATAATAATTGATACTGTATCAATGCTATAATAATTGATACTGTATCAATGCTATAATAATTGATACTGTATCAATGCTATAATAATTGATACTGTATCAATGCTATAATAATTGATACTGTATCAATGCTATAATAATTGATACTGTATCAATGCTATAATAATTGATACTGTATCAATTCTATATTATCAATATATCAATAATAATATAATCATTAATATTATAGTATGAATACATTAACTATATGTATTAATATTATTAATATACTAGTACATATTACTAATATATTAACTATTATATATTATTACTACTATATTATCATACAATGTTAATATATTAATTATTAAATATTAATATAGATTAATAATTACTTGTTAATATTCTTTTTTTTTTTTTTGAGACGGAGTCTCGCTCTGTTACCCGGGCAGGAGTGCAGTGGCGCGATCTCGGCTCACCGCAAGCTCTGCCTCCCGGGTTCATGCCATTCTCCTGCCTCAGCTTCCTGAGCAGCTGGGACCACAGGCGCCCACCACCACACCCGGCTAATTTTTTGCATTTTTAGTAAAGACGAAGTTTCACCGTGGTAGCCAGGATGGTCTCGATCTCCTGACCGTGTGATCCGCCCGCCTCGGCCTCCCAAAGTGCTGGGATTACAGGCGTCAGCCACGCGCCCGGCCTGTTAATATTCTTAATATAAATTTATTAAGATTATAATATAGATTAATTCTTAATTATTAAGATTATAATATAGATTAATTCTTAATTATTGATTATAATATAGATTCTTAATTAATCTATAGTAATATCCTCCCTGAGTGGGTGGTGAGTTCTTGCTCTATTAGTCTCATGATAACTAGTTGTTAAAAAGAGCCTGGCAGCCAGTGTGGTAGCTCACGGCTGAAATCTCAGCACTTTGGGAGGCTGAGGTAGGAGGATCGCTGGAGACCAGGAGTTCAAAGCCAGCCTGGGCAACATAAAGAGACTCTGTCTTTACCAAAAATACAAATGAAAAAATCCACCAGGGCATAGTGTGCATGTCTGTAGTCCTGGCTACTTGGAGGCTGAAGTGGGAGGACTGCCGATTGTGCCACTGCACTCCAGCCTGGGTGACAGAGTGAGACCCTGCCTTAAAAAAAAAAAAGAGCTGGGGCATCTCCCCTTTCCTCTGTCTTGCTTCGCCCCCTCAACATATGATCCCTGCACAGCTGGCTCTCCCAGAGTGAAAGCAGCCTGAGGCCTTCACCAGATGCCCAACCTTGAACTTTTCCCGACATCAGAATCATCAGCCAAATAAGCCTTTTTTCTTTTTGAGGCTGAGTCTCACTTTGTCACCCAGGCTGGAGTGCAATGGTGTGATCTTGGCTCACTGCAACCTCCGCCTCCCAGGTTCAAGCGATTCTCCTGCCTCAGCCTCCTGAGTAGCTGGGACTACAGGTGCGTGCCACCATGCCTGGCTGATTTTTGTATTTTTCAGAGACAGGGTTTCACTATGTTGGCCAGGCTGGTCTCGAACTCCTAACCTCGTGATCCTTCTGCCTTGGCCTCCCAAAGTGCTGGGATTAGAGGCTAGAGCCACTGTGCCCGACCAATGAGTCTTTTTTAATTTATAAATTACCCAGCCACAGATATTCCCTTATAGCAACAATAAGTGGACTAAGACAACCTACCACAGTGCCTGGCATATAACAGGTGCTCAGAAAAGTGCTGGGTAGACTGGGTACGGTGACTCATTCCTGTAATCCCAGCACTTTGGGAGGCCGAGGTGGGTGGATCACCTGAGGTCAGGAGTTTGAGACCAGCCTGGTCCACGTGGCGAAACCCCGTCTCAACTAAAAATGTGAAAAATTAGCCTGGTGTGTTGGCAGGCACCTGTAATCCCAGCTAATTGGGAGAGTGAGACAGGAGAATCGCTTGAACCCGGGAGATGGAGGTTGCAGTGGGCCAAGACCGCGCCATTGCACTCCAGCCCTGAGTGACACAGCAAGACTCTGTTAAAAAAAAAAAACAAAAAACAGTGCTGGGTATTGGACTCAGAATGCTGGGGTAGAGTTAAGTACCAAGCTCTGAAGGCACAGAACTCTGAATCCTCCTCCTGCCTCTTCCTTCCTGGGGCCCTCTCTGAGCCTCAGTGTCCTCATGTGTAAAAAAAACAGATCAGTGACGGCTCCCACCTAAGGGGCCACGGGGAGTTGTGAAGATGAACTTCACAACTTCTCAACTTCACAAGGGTGGATGTACAACACTCAGCACAGCCTATGGCCCCCAACAAGCATCCAGTAAATGGCAATTACGACTAATAGGAAACTTCAAGTCTGGTCACCTACCTTCCAGGAAGGAGCCTGGTATCCTTAGAAAGAACCAGCTCCTAGAAAGGCTGCCTGCTGGTGGGTGGGCTTGGTGAAGGCAGGGATGAGCCCTCCTTCCTGACAGATCCCCAGCTCCCCTCCACCCCAGGGCCCTGTTCACAAACCTTCTTCAGCCCTGCTGCCTCTGACAGGTCCCAACCTCCCCTCCACCCCCAGGCCCTGTTCACAAATCCTCTCCAGCCCTGCTGCCTCTTCCCTCAGGCCACACACACAGGATCTTATGGATTCTTTATTGAATCACAAACAACTCAGGGCATCAGGCCCCAGCAGCTGCATTAGAACCCATCTGGGATTGTGAGGGGACTGGAGAGGGAGGGGGGAGAAGACCCGCTCTCCCTAGCTTTTCACTATATAGAGTAAAAACATCAGAAATCACCCCAAGAGAAAGGACATACCAAATGCCCACCAGAAGGGCCAGGGACTGCAAGCCACCCTGAGCGCAGGAGGGTGTGGTGAAGGGTGGTATGGCCCCGAAATTTGTGTGTGTCCCCCACTCCCCCTGCAAATTCACATTGGAATTCTCACCCCCAAGGTGACAGTATTAGGAGGTGGGGCCTTTGGAGCTGATTGGGTCATGGGGGCGGAACCCTCATGAACAGGGTTGGAGTCCTTATAAAAGAGGCAGGAAGGAGCTTGCTTGTTTGTGCTTCTACCATTGAGGATACAGCGAGAAGGCACCATCTATGGATCGGGAAACAGCCCTCAGCGGAGTCCGAATCTGCTGGCCTCTTGATCTTGGGCGTCCCAGCCCCCCAGGACTGTGAGCAATACGTTTCTGTTGTTTGTAAGCCACCCGGCCTACGGCATTTTGATATAGGAGCTCGCTGGACTAACAGTGGGGCCAAGCAGGCTCTGTCAGCCACAACCTCAGGGAAGAATGTAAAGGTTGGTGTCTTACCATCACAAGGCAAGCGGCTCAGAACCAGCTGTAACACCTCCCTTGCAGAGATCTAGGGGCGCCAGACACAGCTGGGGTGGAAGGCTCCTAGTCTGGACCCTTGCTCCATCAGCCCCACCTGGGGAGGAAGGCTTCTGGGGAGGTAGAACTGGGAGAAGAGAGAAGCAGCTCCTTGGCTCTGCTTTCAGAAGGCTGTTACCTGGGCCAGGTGCTGGGAGACCAGAGGGACAGGTGCCACTCAGGGCCAGAGGAGCCACGCAGGACAATGTGATGTTAGGGACTGGGGGAGGATGTTAATGACCCTGCTTAACCTCTAAGAGAAGCATGGTTCCCTTGTGTTCAAAAGCTGGACATACAGGGTGTATAGATGGTGAGCACTTTCTCACAATCCACCCCATTCCCAGGCCACTGCCCAGCAGCCCCTGGGGATCTGCTGGTGTCAGAGGGAACTCGCTCATTTCCTCCCTCAGTCCAGGCCACACTTTCCTCCAAAGGAAGGCCGGTCTGTGGGCCCAGGGTGAGGCTGCCTGCCCACCGCAGACGGAAGGCTTCCCAACCCTCTCCAGGTGGCTGTGGTAGGGCCATCTCCCCTGAGTACAGTGAAGCCTTTGTGGCTTTGCCATTGCTGTCCCTTCAAGGTTGTTGCCTGTCCCTGTCCTCAGAGTGATGTGGAGGCAGACAGGCCCTGGAGGCAGAAGGAAGGGGTTCAACTCTCACTAGGGTGCTCCCTCGGGAAGGACAAAAACTCAGAAATACGAGAGGATAGAGAAGGGTTTGGCAACTTTCTGGTATTACTTGTAAACACTGGTTCCTTCAACTTTCTGATATTACTTGTAAACACTGGTTCCTTCTCAACCACCGTATTCTGATTGGGTCTATAAGTAGCACCCAGTCCACACCACAGCACGCTTCTGGGGTCCAGGAGACCGCCTTCACTACTGTGCTGGCCCCGCCTGTGTACGGGCCCCGGGGCCGGGCCATCCAGGGTGCCTGTGGTGCTCACACCCCCATGGCGCTCTTCTCGCTGTCTTTGGGGCTGGGCTCCTCCGGAGTCTTCTTCATCTCCCAGCCCCTGACCCAGGTGTAGGCGGAGGAGCCGCCCAGCACCATCATGTTGCTCGTCCACCAGAGGAAGCTCTTGGTCTCCTCGTAGTAGAGCACGGCCAGCACTGTCTGGGCACAGGCCTTGGCCGTGCCCGACACATTGTGGGTCAGCGGACTGGTGAACTTGATCTGCAGTCCTGTCACGTAGCCGATGGCAAAGCCAAACAGGCCGCCCAGCGTCATCATCCCCCAGAAGTGGGCACTGCCCAGCTGGGCAAAGTCACGCAGGGCCTGAAGCTCCCCGAGCAGCAGGAGCAGGGGCAGGAAGAGGATGCAGGCGTTGACGTTGTTGTAGAAAGTCAGGCGCCAGATGCTGCCGTCCACCGCCGGGAGCACCTTCGTGGTGTAGATGGCGTTGAGCGAGACACAGAGGCTAGCCAGCACGCCGAAGACGGTGCCCAGCCACGACAGGGTGCCTTCTGCCCCCTCCTGGTCCACACCAAGCCAGAAGCCCCCTGCAGTGGGGAGAGGAGGAGTGGGGAAGGGTGAGGAAGAGGGATGAGGACGAGGAGGAAGAAGGACAGAGGATCAGACACCAAATTTCACAGACTGAGTATTGCGGCCCTCCCCGTTCCTCCCCAGGCCTCCCTCCAATAAGCACAGCCAGAGTCTCCACTGCAGGCAAAGCACTCCACATGAACTATGGGAGCCGCCCAGGGCAAGAAAACCTCCTCTGGCAGCTTATCTGCTAGCAGAGGAGAAAGACATTAAAACAAATCTTCCCAGTTACTTCTTTAATTACAATTGTAAGAATTGTAATGAGGTCCATAAAGTAGTACAAGGTGCTGTGAGAGCCTGTAAGTGGGCGACTGTGCTGGCCTGGGGCATCTGAAAATAACAGTTGAACTGAGTTCTGAAGAATGAGTGCCACTTAGTGGTTAATGTGATTTAAGGTGACCCTGCGTAAATGACTTCCAGTGTCTAAGCCTTGGCTGCTTCTTGCATGGAATGGGAGCCTATGATGTCATCATGGGGCACATTAAGTTAGAATCTCTTGTGTCATTTGGGGCAGTGACTCTGAGACTCTCATCTTGTGTCACTTCCTGCTCAAAGAGCTTCCGTGGCTCCCCACTTCTGCCATGAGGACTACACTCCTTGGCGTGGCAGGCGGGGGTGCAGGCCCTTCCTCTGTCCTATGGTCGCCCCAGCTTCCCTGCTCGTCTCCCTGCTTCTCACCCTGGGCCTCAGTGTCCTTGTTCATGTCCTGTGCCAGAAACACCCTCCTCCTTTCTGGGGGATTCTACTCATCTGTCAAGGTCAAAGTTGGCTTCTCCTGGGGAATCCTTTCCTGATAATCCCAGAACCTGGACTCTTACTGCCTCGCTTTCCTGCAAAGCCCCTTGCCTGCTCTGGGCTGCTGGGCCCCTGCCCATGGTGACAGTCTGGTCTTTTTAGCCAGATCCCATGCTCCCAGAAGCCAGGGGCTGAACAATGCATGTTATACTTCCTGCCACAGCATCTGGCAACACGGGGCAGTGGGGAAAGTTTTGGGGTCAGAGGGATTTAGCCTCCAATCAGGCTCTGCAATTTAGAAGCTGAGTGGCCTGGGAGAAGTTACTTAACCACTCTGAGCTCTCTGGGTCACCTCCCTGTCCTCCACTCCAGCCAATCTACTCTCCACCTTGCAACTGATATGATCATCCTGAAGTCCAGATCGGTCCAGGCTGTGCCCTGGTGTGAAGCCTCTCTGTGGCTCTCCACTGCCTTCAGGAGAAATTCCACTCACTCACCACAGCTCTTAGGACCTGCACCACGTGGAGTCGGCCTGACTGGGCAGCCTTGTGTCTGGTGAGTCTTGCTGTGGCCCAGCCATGAAGAAGTGCACGTGCTCTTCCTTCTATCTAGAATGTTCTGTCCCTACTTCTTCCTCTAAACCCAGTTTCTAAACTTCCTCCAGAAGGCCTGCTTAGACTGCCCTGTCCCCGGGTCCCCTCCCTTGCCCAGAGCTCCCACAGCCCCTTTTATGCATGCCCCATCACAGCCCTTACTATGCTAGCGTAACTGTCACCACCATGCCCTCCAGGAGTGTAGGAGCTGAGGTTACCTTTTCCAAACTTGTATCCCCAAAGCCTGGCATGGTGCCTGGCATGTGTTTAGCCACCAATTACTAGTCGTGGAATGAATGAATGAAAGTTGTTATGGAGGTGGTTGTATTAAAGGAGACAGGATACTTCCTACATCATAGGCACTCAACACACAGCACTCTTCTCTTTTTCTCTTTGTTTTTTGAGACGGAGTCTCGCTGTGTCACCCTGGCTGGAGTACAGTGGTGCGATCTTGGCTCACTGCAACCTTCGCCTCCTGGGTTCAAGCGATTCTCGTGCCTCAGCCTCTTGAGTAGCTGGGATTACAGGGATGCGCCACCATGCCTGGCTAATTTTTGTATTTTCAGTAGAGAGGGGGCTTCACCATGTTGGCCAAGCTGGTCTTGAACTCTTGACCTCAGGTGATCTGCCCGCCTCAGCCTCCCCAAGTGCTGGGATTACAGGCATGAGCCACCATGCCCAGCCCAACCACAGAGCCCGACCCTCCTCTTTCTTGACAGAACCTTTGCACAAGGGGTACCCACAGACCTGCTGGGGGTAGGGTGAGGGGGGCAGAGGGCTGCACCACCCACTCACCTGCTTGGCTACAGCACCCCTAGCCCTCCTGGTGGTTACCTTCTGAGTCCAGAAGCAACTGCAACATCAATGTTCTAGAGCGACTCTTGCCCAGAAAGAACTTTTTTTTGAGACTGTGTCTTGCTCTGTCGCCCAGGCTGGAATGCAGTGGCGCGATCTTGGCTCAATGCAACTTCTGCCTCCCGGGTTCAAGCAATTATCCTGCCTCAGCCTCCCGAGTAGCTGGGATTACAGGCACATGCCACCACGCCCGGCTAATTTTTTGTATTTTTAGTAGAGACAGGGTTTCACCATGTTGGCCAGGCTGGTCTCGAACTACTGATCTCAGGTGATCCACCTGCCTCAGCCTCCCAAAGTGCTGGGATTACAGGCATGAGCCACTGTGCCTGGCCCAGAAGGAGCTTTGAAAGTTACTGTGTGACATGGGGGGCTAGGAGGGGAGGCCTAGAATAGTTGCCTGAGACTCGTCTTCCCCTACAAGGAGGAAGAAAGAGGAAACATTGCAGATAGGGAGCCAGGTCCTGGGCTGGCAGAGAGCGTCCACCTCCCTGGCCCCTGTCCCAGTCAGGCACGCCCGTGAATGCACCATTCTCAGAACCTCACCACTGGTTACTTGGATTACCTTTGGGATTTGGGCCCAGTTACCCTAGTGTCTTCACCTTCCTGCAAGCAAATTCTCCAACTAGGAGCCTCTACCCCTGAGGCCACTCCTGGCAGGGTCAGCAGGAATGAAGTAGAGAGCCCTGGGGCATCTGAGGAGGACAGGGAGGAGGGGAGGTACACCTGTTCCCTGGAGAGGGAAATGGAAGCAGGCTGGGAGAGTTCTGGCAGGGGGGGTCTTGCAGCTTCCCCTACTCTAACTGTGACCTTCTCCCTTCTCCCCTCTTGGACTTAGACCCAGCAGCCCTAGATCCAGCAGCTGCTCAACAAGGGGAAACATTTTCTAGGACAGGTGGCATGGGATGGGTCCCTTCCCCCACCAACCGGTGCATCTAGCCTGGGACCCTGAGCCATCAGCAAAGAATATGATATGTAGGCCAAATAAGATAAACTTTATAGCACCAGGAAAAACCAGCATAGGTTCAAATGAAGACCCCATTCCTAGATGACGCAGCCCTGGGAAGACTCGGAGGGAATGGGATGCTGGAGGCTCTCTAACGCAGCATGGGGCCCAGTAAAATATGGGCCCATCTAACCTGTGCTGTCCCATACCATAGCCCTCAGCCACATTTGGCTACTGAGCCCTTGAAATGTGGCTAGAAAATCAGGTTGTAACATCTGCAAATGAGGAAGTGAATGTTTAACATTTTGCTTAATTTTAACTAATTTAAATAAGTGGCCAATGGCTACTGCATTGAATACTGCAGTTCTAACCTCCAAGACGAGCAGAGGGGATAGAAGCACAGGCCTGGGAGTCTGGCCAATCTGGGTTTGCATCCCAGCCTGGCTGCTTGCTAGCTGTGTGGCCGTGGGCAAGTAATGTAACATCTCTGAGCCTCAGTTTCCTTGTTTGTATAGAGATGACCGCTGGTAGTGATGCCACAACCCAGGGGATCTCTGGGAGAACAAAGGAGATGCTATATGTGAAATAATTAGCATAATTTCCCCATCAATAATTATTATTTTCTGAGGGTCAAGTCCAGGAAGACAGCTGAGGCCTCTCAAAGCATATTGCTTGCTACTGTCTCAGGCGCTATCCTGAGCTGGCAGAGAGTGATGGTATATTTATTAAAAGACGTATTGTCCTCTACTAAGAGCACTGGCTGGGAAATCAGGACACCTGAGCTCTTGAGAAACAATAAAGTACAGTGGTCGGGCATGTGAACTGTGAAGCCAGATTGCTTGAGTTCAGATCCCAGCTCTGCCACTTATTAGCTGGGTGATCTTGGACAAGTTAGTTAACTTCTCTGTGCCTTGGTTTTTCCCTCTGTAAAATGTGGATTATAATCCCATCTTGTTATGAAGATTAGCTGAGTTAATATGGCTAAGATCCATGTGCCTGGCACATTTTAATCACTCAACAAATGTCAGTTGCTTTTGCTGCTGTTGTTACTATTATTATTACTATTGTTCTTGCCCCGGCTGGGCTCCTAACTTGCTGGGTGACCTTTAGTAAGTTACTTGCTCTCTCTGTGCCCCCAGGCTCTTTCTCCTATGACTGCTGCACCAAAGGAGCTGGGACAGATGAAGTCCTAGGATGCCTAGAAGAGTTGTTCTTCACTGCTTCAGTCCCCATGACCACTCTATCCCCCGTGGCCCCAGCTGCCACTCACCGATGATGATACCGCAGGTGAGCAGGGCATAGAAGGAGGTGGTCTGCTTGAGCAGCAGGTAGGAGAGCAGCACGTTGAAGACGGTGGTGAGTGAGCGGCCCACATTGTAGAAGGCCACACCGACGTACTTGAGGCAGAGGTTATTGAAGGTGATCATGCCGATGAAGACCACCGACAGGGGCAGGACGCTGCGGGCCACCCTGAGGTCCAGGCGCAAGCTGGGGAAGTCCACGGCACCAGGGCAGCAGGCGGCCAGAGCGCTGAGGCCTTTGCACAGCAGCGTGGTCACCAGGCACTGGTAGAAGGTGACGAAGATGGGGGTGTCCAGCCGCAGGGAGGGGCTGTCCAGCAGGTACTTATTAAGGAACACCATGGAGATGGAGGTGACCCAGTAGAGGGAGACCACCAGCGCGATCTGCAATGCCCGCAGCAGAAAGGGCTTCTCCCCGTTGGCCTCTGCCTCTGCAGAGGGGTCTGAGGCCCCGGTCAGCGCCATGTGCAGGATCCTGGACCGCTTCAGAGGGGCCCTATTCATGGTAGCAGAGGAGCTGGGTCACCCCGCGGCCAGAACTCTGATTCCCTGGAGTCCAGGGCAGTGAGCTCACTTGTGCTCTCCGCAAGGAAGCCGCAGCCCTCCATTGTCACATGTGGGCTGGCCTAAAGGCCTCCCCATTGTCCTCATGGATTGAGAAGTTCTGCTTTGGGGTGAGCCCAGTTGTGCTGCTCCACAACCTACTCCCACCCCGAGGGGGCTCTGAGACAAGACACAGGGCAAGGGAGAGGAATAGGATAAGGCGGTGAGGCCAGGACAGAGAAGACCTGTGAGGGGAGAAGAGGCTGGGGCCTAACAGGGAGGGGTCGCAGAGAGAAGGGAGGGGAGAGGAATGGCAGGGCGGGGCAGGAGTAGGTACGCGGGGCGAAGGTGCAGGAAAAGGACGCGTGGCAGAGTGGGAAGAGGTGCCGAGAGGGCGTCATGGGCGGCTGTGGGAGGGAGGGGCGGGCAGGGGGAGGGAGGCGTACAGGGAGCTGCCGGAGGCCGGGCGCGGCTGGAGGGAGGGCTGCGGAAGGGTCAGAGGGGCTCGGGGCTTGGGGCTGAAGGACGCGGGAGGGGGCTGGGCCGGCGCCCACGTCTCGCTGCCTTCCCGGGCTCTGTCGCCGGCTCAGCCCAGGAGCCTCCGGACATCCGAGGCCGACTCCCCGGGAGGCGGGCCCTGGACTCACTTCCTGACACGCCCCCACGTGGCCTTAAAGGGCCCGCACGCCCCGCCTTGCCCTTAAAGCGACAGCCCCAGAGAGGCGGAGTTCGCCAGTCCCCAGCCCCGCCCCTGCGCTCCGCTGCCCGCTGCTGGCGGGGGACCTCGGCAGCCACAGGTTTTTCTGGGTGCTTGAGCCTCGCCCTGCTTCCTGGAAGGGCTCCATCAACCTCGCCTGCCCACCCTCAGCTCCGTCCGCCCCGGAGCCTCCGTCCCCCGACTTGGCTAGGCTTGGCTCGCAGGTCCACTTCCCGGAACCCCGACCCAGGACCCGGGCGGCGCTACATCAGCCTGGACCCCTCCACCTCCGGAGACTCGCGTTGCAGCCCCGCGTCCCTCTGCCAATCCGAGCTCACTCTTCCATAACAATGTTGTGGTCCCCTCCTTTCCCCCCATTTTCACCGCCCCCAGGCCCTCTCCCAAGCCCGAGACCCCCGGCAGCGCTCCCCGAGGCCGGAGGCCACGCCGCCTCTCTCGGACTTCAGTTTGTCCTCCCTGTGCTCCTGTCGAGGTCCTCTGGGCGGCCCGGATCCGAGATTCCAAAGGCTCAAGACAGCATCTCTTACCCCTTCCAGAAAATACTGTTTCCCCGGCCGGTCCAGCCGCATCAGCTCCCGCGTCCCTGCCTGTGTCCCCGGGCCGCGAAGGCGACCTGGCGCTCACCTCCTCCGGTGCACTGGGCGCCCGCCCCGCGACCCCGTGCTGCATCTGCAGCGCCGCACCCTGGGCCGCGCCCGCGGGATCGACTTCCTGCTTTCCGCCCCGGGCCCGGGCACCTTGCCAGCCTCGCCGGCCTGTTCGCGGCATGGGCCCCGGGGGTGCCGGCGGAGAGGCGGTGATCCGGACGGTCGTGGGAGGAGGCCCTCTCCTCTTTCCAAGGCTACTCCTGTCCCTGGTACCCCCGCCCGCCCGGGACCCGGCTTCAGTTACCGCAGCTGGCACGTCCCGGGACTTGGCTGTATCCCTGGCCCGCCGCGCTACCGGCTTGCACTTCCAGAAGTGCGTGCGGGGACCGCTCGGATTCTTCCAGCTGGCAGTGAGGGGGAGGGTTCCCCGCCCCTTCCAGGGCCGGGGCCTGGGAAGTCTAGCCTGTGGTCTGCCACTCACCAGGCAGCCGGGGAGACCAGGAGGATCGACTTCTCTTGGTTCGCGCTCTAGCACCTGCGTTGGGCAGGCCACTTTCTCCGACGGCCTGAGTTATCTTCATGGTAAAACTAAGGGGCTAGGCTTGACCTGTGGGTCCCAACCTTCTTGCCCAGAACTCTAGGTGGTATGGTCGAACATAGATGTTTGTAATATTTCAAGCACCATTTAATTAGTGCCATTTAATTAACGGGTAAGATGATGTCATGGCTGGGATTTGTTTTAAAATACTAAGAATACTTACCAAAAATATTTTTTATTTTTATTTATTTATTCTTTTTGGGACGGAGTCTCGCTCCGTCGCCCAGGCTGGAGTGCAGTGGTGCTATTTCAGCTCACTGCAACCTCCGTCTCCCGGGTTCAAGCGATTCTCCTGCCTCAGCCTCCCGAATAGCTGGAATTACAGGCGTCCACCACCACGCCCGGTTATTTTTTGTATTTTTAGTAGAGACCGGGTTTCGCCGTGTTGGCCAGGCTGTTCTCTAACTCCTGACCTCAGGTGATCCGCCGGCCTCGGCCTCCCAAAGTGCTGGGATTACAAGCGTGAGCCACCGTGCCTGACCTCAAAAAGATTTTTTTTAAAAGGTTGATAGATTAAATAAGATAAGCCATTGATAGTTGTAGCTAGGCGTAGATACACAAGGACCCATTATAAGAGTTTCCTTACTTTTGTGTACATTTGCAAATTTCCAGAATAAAAAGGTAAAACCTATATAGTACGCTTAAACTCTCAGATCCTAACTGCACAAACCTTCACTGGAGCTGAGCGCAGCCCTGGGTGGGCTGTAGGGAAATGGGAGGGCTGCAGGCTGCAGTGAAGTAAACAGCTGCCCCACAACGAGCCGGGCCCACACCCTACCCTCTTCCACTAGCCCCGGGTACTAGCACTCCCCTCTTCCTCCTCAAGGAATGAGACTCTGCTTCCTAGTTGTGGGCTGTTCTCCACCTGGAGGATACCATCTGGTTACCTTGTCACTTTTGGAACTAAAATATCCCTTTGGGGAAAGAAAGACTCAAGAGGGACTGAGCTGGTCTCCTCAACCCCACCTGGAGAGTCTACCTCTGGGATTTTCCTTTGAAGCTGTGGGTTTTGGTTCATTAAGAGCAATTCGTATCTGTTCCAGTCTCTCCTCTCTTATGCCCGAGAGTTCACCATGACAAACAATTTAGTGACAGACAGGGCAAACTTGTCCCTGAGAGGCCCTGGTGATCTGGAAGGGCCTTCTCCTTAGCACATTAGCAGGAACTTGTCTGATGACTGCTGCCACCTTGAACTGGAGGGAAGAGATATATCTTGTATATAGGCCAGATGCACTTCGCTGAGAGAGGCCCAGGGGCAGTCAGTGCTGCGTGTGTGGGGGACAGTGTGGGCTCTCTATGGAGGCCAAAGTATACCCCTGTCTCCAATCTCTCACATCATACCTGAAATTCTGTCATTAGTGTCACTCCCTTGGATTAAGGTTGTTAACAGGCCAGTACAGCAAGTTTCCTGGATTCTAATCATTTTATCCCTTATGAGGGAAAGGAGGGGTGGGGATGTTTCTTAGGGGGTCTAAGGCCCCTGGGAATTGTGTACCTTGCATAAATGGTTTGCTTTTGAATTTTCTTTAAGGAATGTTAATTGTTTAAACCATCCACAAAGGGTGAAATTTTAGGTCTTGCCAACAGTGATTATCCAGGGTGTGAATTTGGTGTGAGGTAGAGCATAAGATCATCAACGTGGCAGCTGAAGGGCTGTAATAGTTCCTTTATGGGTGTAGTCTCATTTTCTTGCCTTGGCTGGGAGCCACTAATAATGTCAGCAGGAAATTATTTCTGCCAGTCACAGTGAACAGAACTAACTTCCCAGGTTCAGGGGTCAGTGGATCTGTACCTGTGCGGCTTGAGAACTTCTGGGAACACACAGATGTTGACTGTCTCACTCTGAGTTCAACAAGGACTCATGAGCCTACCCTATGTGATAGACACTCCTAGTTGTCTACCAAAATTCACTCCCCCATTCATCCAAAATAATTGGATTGTAGCTAGTCTTATGGTTGCCCAGCCAAAGACTACATTTCCCAGCCTTCCTTCTAAGTAGATGAACCATGTGACTTAGTGGATGGTGAAGGGAAGTGTCTTGGTGAGTTCAGCCTGCTATAACAAAAATACCATAGATTGAGCAGCTTAAACAGTAAGCATTTATTTCTCACAGTCTGGAGGCTGGGAGGTCCAAGATCAAGGCCCAGGTGGATCTGGTGTCTGGCAAGGGGCTGCTTCCAGCTTGTAGAAGGCTGCTTTCTCCTTCTGTCTTCACCTGGCACATAGATGGGGGTGGAGTGGGGGGAGGATCTCATGTCTTTTCTTATAAGAGCACTAATCCCACCATGAGGGCTCCACTCTCATGACCTAATTACCTTCCAAAGACCCATCCCCAAATACCATCATATTGGGGCTTAGGGGTCCATTGGAGTATATAAATTTTGGAGGGATACCTCCAGTCTATAGCAACACGTGAGATATGCTACTTTCTAGGTCTTTAAAACTTTAGGAGTGTGTTCCTCCATGCTTTTTCTTCCTCTTCCCATAACCTGGAAACCAAATGCATCTATAAGCCAGTCTTGACCATGAGGACAAGGACAACGTCTTAGAGGCTGTGGAGGAATGTGATGGAAAAAGCCGAGGTCCCTGATTCTGTGGAGCAGAGATACCTGCCACTGTGGACTGTGGGAAATCAACTTATGTTCCTGCATACCTACACAGTTCTAAAGGGGTCTCTTTGCTACAGCAACAAGGCCTTTACCCACATGCCTACTGGAATGGCATTTCCTCCTCACACACATATTTTCTAGGCAAAATTGAGAAGGCATGAAATTGCTTAGTCTAATTTCTCTGTTCCTCTCTCTCTCTTTTGCTTTATCTCTCACAGTTTCCCATCCATCCATCCATCCATCCATCCATCCATCCATCCATCCATCCAACTGTTCATCCATCCAACCATCCATCCATCCGTCTGTCCATCCTGTCCTTATCCAGGACCTAGCACAATGCCTGCCACAGTAGGTGCCTAGTGCCTCGTTGTGGAATGAATGGAAGTCAGACCATGGGTAGGAATGCCTGGAAATCAGGGCCAATTTAAGAACCGTATTGACCCTAATCCCTGAAGTTTATAAGGCTTCTCATTCATCCCACATATAATTCAAAGTAAAAATTAACACTAAACTACAAAATACATGTAAGCAGAGCAAAAATCTTTTTTTTCCTCATTATTACTGGAATGCTCTTTTGAAAATAATAAGCTATTTCCAGAAAAAAATTATGTCTTCCTTTTCTAGTACTTGTGGCAGATGCTACCAATCATCTATTTCAGGAGTTGGCAAATTTTTTTTGTAAAAGGCCAGAGAGTAAGTGTTTCAGATTCTGTGGGCCATATAGTCTCTGTCGAAAGTACTCAACACTGCTATTGTAGTATTGTAAACAAATGGATACAGCTGCATTTCAATAAAACTTTATTTATAAAAATGGAGGAATGGACAGAAGTTGGTTAATGGGTACGAAAATACAGTTTTAGATAGAAGGACTAAGTTCTAGTATTTGATAGTACAGTAGAAGAATTATAGTTAACAATAACTTATTGTATATTTCAAAATAGCTAGAAGAGAAGAACTGTAATGCTCCTAACACAAAAGATAAATGTTTGAGGTAATGGGTATCCCAATTACCCTGATTTAATCATTATACATTATATACATGTATCAAAATATCACATGTACTCAAAAAATACAATTATGATATATCAATAATTTTTTAAACATTAAACAAGTAGTGGACCAGATTTGGTTCACTGGTTGTAGTTTGCAGACCTCTGGTTTACTCTATATTAAATTATTCTTCTTGGCCGGGCATGGTGGCTCACGCCTGTAATCCCAGCACTTTGGGAGGCTGAGGTGGGCGGATCACTTGAGGCCAGGAGTTTGAGACCTGCCTGGCCAACATGGTGAAATCCAGTCTCTATTAAAAATACAAAAATTAGCTCAGCGTGGTGGTGCATGTCTGTAGTCCTAGCTACTCGGGGGGCTGACATATGAGAATTGCTTGAGCCTAGGAGGCAGAGGTTGTAGTGAGCTGAGATTGTGCCACTGTACTCCAGCTTGGGCAACAGAGTGAGACTCTGTCTCAAAATAAATAAATAAATAAATAAATAAATAAATAAATAAATTCTTCTTTCTTACTAACATTACCCATATTTTGTTTGTAAGTCAACATGTCAACATGTTTCACCTCAAACTGGTTACTTGCAGCTAGAGGTGACCATGTGACATAATTTTGGCCAATGAGTAGTAAGCTGAGGATTTCTGGGAAAGTTTTTGCTTTTTGCGATAGGTATAGACTTATTTGCTGTTTTTTTTTTTTTTTTTTTTTTTCCCCTCCTTTGTTCTGCCTATAATGTGGAACTGATGTCTGGAAAGGCGGCAGCCATCTTGTGGCCATGAGGCAAAAGCTACGAAGAGGAAAACTAAGGATGGCAGAACTAAGGATGGCAGGACAGCTGGGAGCTGTCCTGAGTCCTTTAGAGCTTGGCTAAGCTGCCCTCTCAGCTCTGGGCTGCCTAAGCCTTACTGTAGGAGATGAATAACCCCTATCAGTTTAAACCGCTCCAGGATGGTATTCTGGTTTTGGCTGTGGAGGAAAGTCCTAATGTAAACAGTGCTCTATTGAGCAATTCAGTGTTGCTGGAACTCATGTTGAAGGTTCCAGGAAGGCTCGGGACTGCGTAGTTTCTGGGTCTGGGGCAGCAATGTGGAGGATTCACTTGTCAGGGAGTGAACCCATGCTGATGAGCTAAAGGTGGGGTGGAGAATTCCAAAGGCAGGGCCCACTTGCCAGACAAGGATTGGGAGTGGGAGAGTCAGAACAAGGACAAACAAATCCCAAAGCATGAGATGTGTGGCCAGAAACGGGGGGAGGGGATTCTTCAGGCAAGAACGGGAAATAGGCAGGGGATTGGCACGGAGCTGGCTCCGCTTTCACAATGACACTTACGAGGCGTCACCTTGCATTCCTGGTCTGGCTCCTGGGCAGTGGCTGACTTTGGACGGTGTTGGCCTTTTTGGATCTGTTGAGATGTAGAGTAGTGATATGGTCTGGCTCTGTGTCCCCACCCAAATCCTGTGTTGAACTGTAATCCCCAGTGTTGGAGGTGGGGCCTGGAGGGAGGTGATCGGATCACAGGGATGGTTTCAGATGGTTTAGCATCATCTCCCTAGTGCTGTCTCATGACAGAGTTCTCCCAAGATCTGGTTGTTTAAAAGTGTGTAGCACCTTCTGCTTTGCTCTCTTCCTCCCTCTCCAGCCATGTGAGACGTGACTGATTTCTCTTTACCTTCTGCCATGATTGTAAGTTTCCTGAGGCCTCCCCAGCCATGCTTCCTGTACAGCCTGCAGAGCTGCGAGTCAGTTAAACCTCTTTTTTAAATAAATTACCCAGTCTCAGGTAGTTCTTTGTAGCAGTGTGAGAATGGACTAATACAAGTAGTAAAAAGCATTACTTCACAAAACTCCCGAAATATGCATCTGATTAATCTCTGAGCAGGAGTGATGTTTCCCCAGTCCTAATCCATTGGGAGTAATGGTGTCTGCCCCTCTTGGTGGAGGGTGTGTTACCAGCAGCTAACATTTATTGGAGATTGGCTTCATACCAGGTGGTTTATATACAACATGTTAGTCCTCACAACAATGCTGTGAGGTAGAGTCCACCATCATATTCTTATTTTCCAGAGGGAGAAATTGAGACACAGAGATGTTAAGTCTTTGGTTCAAGGCCACCCATGAGGAGGTAAGAGCTGGATTTGAACCCAGGCTAGTTTGACTTCTGAGCAGAAGTTTATCCTGTTGCATGAGCTCACCTTACTCCCAGAGAGTTTTCCAATTGGTCTTCTAGGTCCTTGGGCCTATGGAGTGACCCTGGCCTTGCTGCTCTCCGTCCTGCTGTTGAAGGGCAGATACGTGCCTAGGGTTGGATTGCACCAGTCCCAGGGTTCTTTCCATGCTGGTACTTGAGAACCCTCTGACTGATCCATTATCTGGTCTTTGTCTGTAGCTTTTCCACCCATTAGTTTTATCTCCCACCTAACTGTAAGCTCCGTGGTAGTAGAGAGGATGTCTAGGGATCATGATAGCTAATAGTTATTGGGCACTTGCTGTGTGCTCTGCCCTGGCCTCAACACTGCATGGATTAATTCCTCTAATCCCCATGATACCTCTGTGAATTGGGCATTCTTATTCCATTTTACAGAAGAGGAAACTGAGGTCTGGAGAGGTTAAGTTAACTTGCCTAAGGTCATAGGGGCTGACAAATGGCAGAGCTGGGATTTGAACCCCAGGCCGACTGATTTACTCCCTTAACTATTCATGTTATTCTGCCTCTCCTTGTGTATATAGCACTTTGTGGTTTACAAAGCATTTTCACCCACATTTAAAAAGGCTCTCAGAACATCAGGGCTTCAAAATACCTTAGAGATTGCCCACTCCTCCTCATTTTACAGAGAATGAATAGGTCAAGAGAGGAATGAGTTGCTCAGGGTCACACAGTTTATGAAAGGGTGAGACAGGACTGGAACCCCACTCTCCTAACTGTTCATAGATAGCCCTGCCAGACCCCAGGCTCCTTCCCTGCCCTGTGAGCTCTCTAAGCACTGGGGCTGCATCATAGGCATCCTTAGGCCTCTGGCCCCTAGCACAGTACCTTGCACACAATAGGTGCTCAGGAAGTGTGCACTGAATGGATATGAGCCCAGGGCTCACGTCATTATTAGACACACCACTCCATTCCAGTACATCTTTGGTATGTCTCATGGCATGGGGCACAATGGCCGGCATATAGTCGGTGTACTGTGTTGAATAGTATCCCCCACAAATTCATACCCAGAACCCCAGAATATATGACCTCACTTGGAAATAGGATTATTGCAGCTGTATTGAGTTAAAATGGGTTCATACTGGATTAAGGTGGGCCCTCAGTCCTATGACTTGTGTCCTTGTAAGGAGAGGGAGATTTGGTGATGCAGAGACGCAGAGTGGGCACACATGGCTGAAAGGCCTCGTTAAGATGGAGGCAGAAGGTAGAAATAGGACTAGTGCAGCGCCAGGCCGAGAATCTCCAAGGATTGTTGGCAAGCTCCCGAAACTTGGAGAGAGGCACAGAACAGATTCCTCCAGGAGGAACCAACACAACTGACACCGGCTGATTTTTGCCTTCTGGCCTCCTGAACTGTGAGAGAATACATTTTTGTTGTTTTCAGCTACAAGTCTGTGGTAATTTGTTACAGCAGGTCTAGGAAACTAATGTAGTAGGTCTGTGAAAAACAAAATCAGAAACTGTTGCTTCACTGATAGATCCCAGGGGGACCACAAAAGCAACAGCTTTTGGCCAGGCGCAGTGGCTCACTCTCTGTCACTTTGGGAGGCCGAGGCAGGCAGATCACCTGAGGTCAAGAGTTCGAGACCAGCTTGGCCAACATGGTGAAACCCCATCTCTACTAAAAATACAAAAATTAGCCGGGCATAGTGGTGGGTGCCTGTAATCCTAGCTACTCGGGAGGCTGATGCAGGAGTATCACTTGAACCTGGGAGGTGGAGGTTGCAGTGAGCCAAGATTGTGCCATTGCACTCCAGCCTGGGCGACGGGCAAAACTCGGTCTCAAAAAAAAAAAAAAAAAAAAGAAGCAACAGCTTTGTCTTAATCTTGGCTGGGGATGAGGGGAGAGAGGGTTCAGTGGCTAAAACACTTCACTCTGCAAGTCCATGGCACAGATCCACCTGGAAAGACATTGAGGCATGGTGGAAACCTCCCTAGACTTTTAGTTCTTGGCCTGGTGGCTACAGTCTTGAGATTTTTAGATAATTTCTCCATCACTCTAGACTTCAGTTTTCCCATCAGTAAGATGGAAGAGGAGCCAGGCTTAATAGCTTCTAAGGTAAAAGACTCCGATTCTCATCCCAGATGGTAAGTGGGTTGTAGGGAAGGGCCTGTTGAAGCCAAATGGAACTTATTGGCCCATGTCACTGGGAAGTCTCAGAGATCTACCAGGTTTAAGTGCAGCTTGACCCAGTTATTACAGATCCTAGTCTAGGCTCTTATCTAAGTAGTGGTTTTGCTCTGAGGCTCCATGGGATGGCAAAATGGCTTCAACTATTCCACACCTTACACCATCTGGTTGAAGTCTGGTGGGGGAAAAAACAATCACTGTTCTTCCACAGTCTTGAGGTACACTCTGATTAGTTGGCTCAGGTCACATGACCACCCTGACCAATCACGGTGGCCAAGCAGATAAGACCAGCGCTCTGGTTTAAGCCTGTGTCACAAGCTCCACTCCCTGGGAACTGGGGGTTCCTAGCCAAAGGTCCAGACAAGGTGGGCTGAGAGTCGGGGAGGGCTCTGCAAGTGAATTTTGGGAGGCGTTATCACAAGGGGATGAATGCTGGATGGCAAGCTACCAGGGTCCACATGAGGAGCCTGCCTTGGAAGTGGGGAAGGCAATCTGGAAGGTTCCCACTTTGTTCAGCGCTCTCCCACACTCATCCCTACACCCGGCTAATGTATATTTCAGGGCTCAGTGCAGATGTCCCTTCCTTGGGGAGGCCTTCCCACTAGATTCGGTCTTCTCGATGGACACTCTGAGCTGCTCCTGTCCATTCCTTTTGTGATGAGACATGAAGGAGGTATGCGCAGGAGGCATCTAGTAAGAGCGTCCTTTTTTTTTTTTTCTTTTTTTTTGAGATGGAGTCTCGCTCTGTCACCCAGGCTGGAGTGCATTGGCGTGATCTTGGCTCACTGCAACCTCCGCCTCCCGGGTTCAAGCAATTCTCCTACCTCAGCCTCCCGAGTAGCTGGGATTACAGGCAGACGCCACCATGCCCTGCTCATTTTATTTTTATTTTTTATTTTCAGTAGAGATGGGATTTCGCCATGTTGGCCAGGCTGGTCTCAAACTCCTGACCTCAAGTGATCTGCCTACCTCGTCCTCCCAAAGTGCTGGGATTACAGATGTGAGCCACTGCGTCTGGGCCCCATTTCTTGTTGGCAGTGTCCCACCTCAGCTGTTTTAGTATTCTGGGGCCATCAACCAAGACACCTGCTCTCCTCTAGGCAAAGGGCATGACCTAGCCGAGGGTACATAACCCAGGCAAGGCTAATAAGCCAATTATGTACTTTTTCTGCCTCTGAAATGGAATCCAGAGCAGATGCAACAACAACAAAGCCTGAAATTGGTTATAGCTGATTCGCAGTTGCAGAAACATCCAGAGAGACCATTCATGGTTTCCTGCAACTGAGATTTCCAGAGCTGCCCTGCTTGTGCTTCCATCCCAGCCTGATTCTTCAGCTTTTTCCTCAGTTCTGTGAGCTTCCCTGGACTCTTTCATTAACCATTTCTTTGCATAACTTGGCTGGAGTCTGTATCCGTTGCTTGCAATCAGAGAACCCTAGATAACATTGTGGGCATTTATCGCTGTCCAAGGTGAGAGGTTAGGGCAGGAACTGGCCAGTGCCAGGGAGTGTGTCTGGACCTCACAGCCCCACCTTCTTCTTAAGTGGTGGGGTTCCAAGAGCAGGGGCAGGGAGAAAGGAAAAGAGCCGGGCAGCAGGAAGTGTAGATCAGGTTGTGTACATACTGGTGTGTTTGCAGAAGGGCTGCCAGCAGGTGGGTGCAGGTTAAGGTTGGCTTCTTTCTCTCTGTCCCTGCTGTAAACCTGGCAGGTGCAATGAGGTGGTGGTGAGGTGGGCTGCTGTGGATATCTGGGAATTTGAACTCAGTTTAATTTAACAAACATCTTCCGAATGCTCTTTCTGTTTTCCCCATCCCTAGGTTTACTGTTCAGTTCAGATGATTTAGGGACATCTCACCCTGGCATGCTGATAGCACTTTTAACCTTTCATGGGTTTTGAATGGTCTGAAATGAACATCAAGAACCCAAGTTTAACATGCAGATTATATAAATGAATGAATGACGACATAAGTCAACCGAGTTAAGCAATTTCAATTTTGGAGCCATAGAATCCATAACAAGAGTCCTCTCACTAATTTTTTTTTTTTTTTTTTTGCTTTCTTCCCCTCTCTCTTGTGGTACAGCAGAGCAATGGAAACCTTACCTTTTAAAATGACATGGACCTAGGTTCAGGTCTTGGGTTCGCTGCTTTATAAGCTAAGCTGTATTTGTTTGTTTGTTTGTTTGTTTTGAGACAGGGTTTTTGCTGTTACCCAGGCAGTACAGTGATGCGATCATGGCTCACTGCAGCCTCCACCTCCCGGGCTCAGGAGATCCTCTCACCTCAGCCTCCCAAGTACCTGGGACTACAGGTATGTGGCTAATTTAAAAAAAATTTTTTTTTGTAGAGACGAGGTTTCACTATGTTGCCCAAGCTTCTCTTCAACTCCTGGGCTTAAGGGATCTGCCCACCTGGGCCTCTCAAAGGATTACACGCCTACTGCACCCGGCCTGAAAGCTGTATTTGTAGGCAGAGTTTCCCTCTGTCACCCAGGCTGGAGTGCAATGGCATGATCTTGGTACACTGCAACCTCTGCCTCCCGGGTTTAAGTGATTCTTGTGCCTCAGCCTCCTTAGTTGGTGGGATTACAGGCATATGCCACCATGCGCTACTAAATTTTGCATTTTCATTAGAGACGGGGTTTTTCCTTCTTGGCCAGGCTGGTCTTGAACTTGAAAGCTGTATGTTCTTTTTTTGTTTTTTGAGAGGGAATCTTGCTTTTTTTGCCCAGGCTGGAGTGCAGTGACGCAATCTCAGCTCACTGCAGCCTCCGCCTCCCGGCTTGAAGCAATTCTCCTGCCTCAGCCTCCTGAGCAGCTGGGATTACAGGTGCCTGCCACCATGTTCGGCTAATTTTTATATTTTTAGTAGAGATGGGGTTTCACCATGTTGTTCAGGCTGGTCTCAAACTCCTCACCTCAGGTTATCTGCCCATCTCAGCCTCCCAAAGTGCTGGGGTTACAGGTGTGAGCCACCGCTCCCAGCAGAATGCTGTATCTTAAAATAGAGAATTGTGATAATATATTACTTAGCATAGTGTCTGTCATTTAGTTACCTATTATTATTTTTCCTTGTGTTTTTTTTCCCTGTGCTGGGTTTTCAACTGTTCCTAAGAATCCTCTTGGCACTGGGCACATTCTTTATCATTGCACTAACACTCTGTCAGTTAGCTATTGCTGTGTAACAAGGCTTTTCAAAATTTGGCTCATGAATCTATGGGTGAATTAGGCAGTTCTGCTGATCTTGGCTGGGCTTACATGTTTGGTGGTCAGCTGACTATAGATTGGTTTAGGATCATCTCAGTTGGGATAACTGGGCTCCCCTTCATGGGGTCTCTCATCCTTCAAGAGGCTAGCCTGGGATTGTTCTTTATTATTATTATTTTTTGAGATGGAGTCTCCCTCTGTTGCCCATGCTAGAGTGCAGTGGCGCGATCTTGGCTCACTGCAACCTCCGCCTCCTGGGTTCAAGTGATTCTCCTGTCTCAGCCTCCTGAGTAGCTGGGACTACAGGCACGTGCCACCATGCCTGGCTAATCTATCTGTCTATCTATCTATCTATCTATCTATCTATCTATCTATCTATCTATCTATATATTTTTAGTAGAGACGGGGTTTCACCATGTTGGCCAGGCTGGTCTCAAACTCCTGACCTCAGGTGATCTGCCTGCCTTGGCCTCCCAAAGTGCTGGGATTACAGGCATGAGCCACTGCACCCGGCCGGCTTATTCTTATGGTGATCAGAGATCTGAGAGAGAGCAACAGTAGCAGGGCCTCTTGAAACTTATGCTCAGAATTGGTACAACATCACTTCTGCCTTATTTATTCTACTGGCCAAAGCACACCCCTAGGCAGAGCAGAGTCAGAGTGTGAGGAGGGTACAAACTTACAGGACAGCATATCTACCTGTATTGAATACAGGTAGGACAATAGTTGGGACTATTAATGCATTGAAATCTATCTGATACACTATAGTCTACTAATTGTTTACTTCTCTCTCTCCAACCAGACTCTGTTTTTTTTTACTGCTGGATTCTTTGTGCCTAGCACCAAGCTTGGCGCATAGTAGGTGTTCAATGAACATTTGTTGACTGAGTCAATGAAGAGCTGGACTGTGGAGCTGTCCCTGGCTTGGGAGCCAGTTGCCTGATCATTCCTAATCTAGATGAGAACCTTTGTGAGTCAGTAGGCATTGAAGTTTGGTTTCAGCCTTCCAACTCAGCCAAATTCTTCTGTTTCACCTGGGTTTTGGCCTTTGGAAGGTAAATAGTTGAATGCTTATTTTGGTGTCATTCTGACATCTCTGAAATTTTGCAAATCAATGGTCTTGTGATTGAGAAAGGAACATAATATTTAACCAGTGTAATTACATCAGGAATACAAACAAGGCAGCTCATTTGGATTTATCATTAATATCTGGACATTCATTTTCAGACATAGGTAAATATTTTAAAAGTCACTTGAACTGAAAAATCTCCTTTCATGCTTTATATGTTGAAATTATTTCTCTCAGTTGGTGAATACACATATATTATTCCAGGATAAAATAGTACAATAATTAATGATAATTGAAAGATGTGAACTTTATTTGCAAACGTAATTGTTAAGTTTCAAATATTTAAATAAATAGAAAATAAACTGATAGTTCATATTAATAATAAAAGAGTGTGTTAGCTAGATAACTTTAGGAAGAACATTTTATTCTTTAGGAGCCAACAAATGTTTATACAAATTTAAATAAGAATACCTAGGCAGAATAATAGAGATTCAATTATCTTCTATAATTCCAATCTTTATAGAATTATTTGGCAGAATAGCAGTTTAAACATTAAATCAAAGAATTTTTAAGAACTATATTTAACTTGTAGTTATTTAATTCGACTTAGACCATTAATCTCTTAAGAAAATGTCTACTTGAGAATTAGTCATAACTTGTGGGATCAATTAAGAGTAAAATGTCTGTTTTGCTACTTCAAAATTTTATAAGGAAGAAAAATTCTGATATTAAGTGCAAGATCCATGATAGATTAACTTCCATCCAAATTCATTCAAATATGATAAAGAATATTAAAAATATGAAAGAAAAAAGAAAGTGGTTAAAAATAAAGAAGTATCTCCGTTTTTTTTTTTTTTTTTTTTTTTTTTACAAGTACAAAGATCTTGTTTTGGGCCAGGCATGGTGGCTCACGTCTGTAATCCCAGCACTTTGAGAGGCCAGGCGGGCAGATCGCCTGAGGTCAGGAGTTCGAGACCACCCTGGCCATCTCTACTAAAACTGCGAAAACTAGCCGGGCGTCGTGGCAGTCCCCTTTAATTCCAGCTACTTGGGAGGCTGAGGCAGGAGAATCGCTTGAACCCAGGAGACGGAGGTTGCAGTGAGCTGAGATCGTGCCACTGCACTCCAGCCTGGGTGACAGAGTGAGACTCTATCTCAAAAAAAAAATCTTGTTTTTTTCACTAACTTCAGTTGAAAATGAGAGACTACTTAGTATGACAAATGTGCAGTGTGTGATTTTGAGAGCAATGGAACCTTTTAAGGTACAGAGAAGGTAGCATTCAGTTTTTTTGAGACAGAGTCTTGCTCTGTCTCCCAGGCTGGAGTGCAGTGGTGCTATCTCGGCTCACTGCAACCTCCACCTCCTGGGTTCAAGTGATTCTCCTGCCTCAGCCTCCTGAGTAGCTGAGATTACAGGTACACGCCACCACACCCAGCTACTTTTTGTATGTTTAGTAGTGACGGGGTTTCATCATGTTGCCCAGGCTGGTCTCGAATTCCTGATCTCAAGTGATCCGCCTGCTTCAGCCTCCCAAAGTGCTGGGATTACAGTCGTGAGCCACCATGCCTTGCTGAAAGTAGCATTCCTGCACATAATTTCAAATTTCTTTAAAGTTAGGTTTATTGAGTTATGTGTTACATACAGGAAAATTTATCATTCTTAGGGTGTGCAGTTTTATGAGTTTTAACAAATGTCTATACTTGGGTAATCACCATAAAATCAAGATAAGGAATAGTTCTATCACCCTAAAAAGTTCCCTCTGGTCATCAGGAAACTAATTTCCCTACCTAGTTTTGGCTTTTCCATAATGTCTTACAAATGGAATCATATAGTATATAGCCTTTTGTGTCTGACTTCTTTCACTTAACATGGTGCTTTTAAGGTTCATCCATGTTGTTGCATGTATCAGTCGTTGGTTCCTTTTATCATGTACCACAGTATGTTTTCCAGTCACCAGTTGATGGACTGTTATAACAAAATACCACAGACTGGGTGGCTTAAACAACATACATTCATTTCTCAAAGTTCTAGAGGCTGGGAAGTCCAAGATCAAGGTGCCCTCAAAGTAAGTTTCATTCTTTTTTTTTTTTTGAGATGGAGTCTTGCTCTGTCGCCCAGGCTGTAGTGCAGTGGCGCGATTCTGGCTCACTGCAACCTCTGCCTCCCAGGTTTAAGCGATTCTCCTGCCTCAGCCTCCTGAGTAGCTGGGATTACAGGCACATGCCACCATGCCCCACTGTTTTTTGTATTTTTAGTAGAGACATGTTCACCATGTTGGCCAGGCTGGTCTCGAACTCCTGACCTCAGGTGATCTGCCCGCCTTGGCCTCCCAAAGTGCTAGGATTACAGGTGTGAGCCACTGTGTCCAGTCCAAAGTTGGTTTCATTCTAAGGCTTTTTCTCTTGGCTTGTAGGCAGTTGCCATCTCACTGTGTACTTACACGACCACTTCTTTGTGTATGTGCAGAGAGAGAGAGAAAGACAGAGAGAGGGAGAGAGATTGCTGTTGGGTTTCTCTTCTTATAAGTACATTGATCCTGCTGGATCAGGGCTCCAACTTTATGACGTCACTTAACCTTAATTACTTCCTTAGAGGTCCTGTCTCCTAATACAGCCATAATAGGTGTTAGGACTTCAACATACAAATCTTGGGAAGAAACAAACATTCAGTTTGTACATCGGTCCTACAATAATTGCTGGAGACTGCAATATCCCACTTTCAATAATGAATAGAGCAACTAGAACAACACTGTATATAAACTAGACATAACTGACTTATATAGAACACTCCAAGTCCCGGCGTGGTGGCTCGCAGTTGTAATCTCAGCACTTTGGGAGGCTGAGGTGGGCAGATTGCTTGAGGCCAGGAGTTCGAGGCCAGGAGTTCGAGACCAGCCTGGACAGCGTGGCAAAATCCGGTCTCTACTAAAAATACAACAATTAGCCCAGCATGGTGGTGCATGCCTGTAATCCCAGCTATTCGGGAGGCTGAGGCAAGAGAATTGCTTGAACTCAGGAAGTGGAGGTTGCAGTGAGCTGAGATTGTGCTACTGGTCTCCAGCCTGGGCAATGGAACCATACTCTGTCTCAAAAAACAAGCAAACAAACAAACAAAACCAACAAAAAAACCCCCAACACCAAAATGCCCTCCTCCCCCAACAAGAAAACAGTGGCTTTAGATCCCAAATTTGTACTACCCATTGTGATTATTTTCTTTTTAAAAAAATTATGAAGAAAAAGAACATTCCATCCAGCAACCACAGAATACATAGTCTACTCAAGTGCACATGGAACATTTTCCAGGATAGACCCTATGTTAGGCCACAAAACAAGTCTCAATAACATTTAAAAGATTGAAATTGTACAAAGTGTCTTTTCCAATTAACATGAAATAAAACTAGAAGGCAACAACAGAAAAAAACCTGGAAAATTCACAAATATGTGGAAATTAAGCAATATATTCTTCTTTTTTTTTTTTTTTTGAAATGGAGTCTCACTCTGTTGCCCAGGCTGGAGTGGAGTGGCGTGATCTCAGCTCACAGCAACCTCCACCTCCCAGGTTCAAGCGATTCTCCTGCCTCAGCCTCCTGAGTAGCTGGGATTACAGGAGCATGCCACCATGCCCGGCTAATTTTTGTATTTTTAGTAGAGACAGGGTTTCGCCATGTTGGCCAGGCTGGTCTCGAACTCCTGACCTCGTGATCTGCCCACCTCGGCCTCTCAAAGTGCTAGGATTACAGGCATGAGTCACTGCACCTGGCCTAAGCAATATATTCTTAAATAACCAGTGGGCCAGAGAAGAAATTACAGGTGAAAGAAGAAAACACTTTGAGATGAATGAAAATAAAATAACAACATACCACAACTTATAGGATGCAGCAAAAGCAGTGCTCAGAGGGAAAGTCATAGTTATAAATGCCTACTTTAAAAAAGAAGAAAGATCTCAAATAAATAACCTAACTTTACAATGTATGTCAGTGTCCCCAATCCCTGGGCCACAGACTGGTACTGGTCTGTGGCCTGTTAGGAACTGGGCCACACAGCAGGAGGTGAGCAGAGGGTGAAGCTTCATCTGTATTTACAACTGTTCCCCATTGCTTGCATTACCACCTGAGATCTGCCTCCTGTCACATTAGTGGTGGTATTGGATTCTCATAGGAGCACAAACCCTATTGTGAACTGTGCATTCAAGAAATCTAGGTTGTGTGCTCCTTATGAGACTCTAATGCCTGATGATCTGTTATTGTCTCCTATCACTCCCAGGTGGGGCTGTCTAGTTGCAGGAAAACAAGCTCAGGACTCCCACTGATTCTTTGTTATGGTGAGTTGTATAATTATTTCATTATATATTACAATGTAATAATAATAGGAACAAAGTGCACAATAAATGTATTGTGCTTGAATCATCCTGAAACCATCCTCTCCCCAACGGTCTGTGGAAAAATTGTCTTCCACAAAACTGGTCCCTGGTGCTAAAAGGGTAGGGGACTGCTGCCTTAAGCTACTAGAAAAAGAATACAATCTAAACCCAAAGTTAGCAGAAGGAAGAAAATAATAAAGATTATAGTGGAAAAAGTAGAGAATAGAAAAACAGTAGAGAAAATCAAGGAAACCAAAAGTTGGTTATTGGCCTTAAAAGATCATCAAACTTGGCAAACCATTAGCTAGACTGACAAAGAGAAAAGGGAGAAGATTCAAATTCCTAACATCAGAAATGAAAGTGGGGATATTACAAAAGAGTTTACAGAAAAAAAAAAAGAAATTGTAAGAGAATATAATGAACAATTGAAAGTTAACAAATTAGATAGTCTAGATGAAATAGACAAATTCCTAGAAACACAAACGACCAAAACTGACTCAAGAGGAAATAGAAATCTGAACAGCCCATTAGTAAATAAAGAGAATGAATAAGTAATCAAAAACCTCCCAATAAAAACACGCTCACAACCAGATGGCTTCACTGGTGAATTTTACCAAACATCTGACAAAGAATTAGCACTGATCTTTATCAAACTCATTCAAAAAATGGAAAGGGAGACCATTTCTTACCCCATTCTAGGAATTCAGCATTACTTTGATATCAAAGACAGATAAAGACATCACAAGAAAAGAAAACCACAGACGAATATCCCTTATGAATGTAGATGCAAAAATCTTCAACAATATACTAGCAAACCAAATCCATCAACATGTGAAGAGGATTATACATCATTGCCAAGTAGGAGTCATCCCAGGAATGCACTGTTGGTTCAACATAAAAATTAATCAGTGTAATATACTGCCTTAATGGGATGAAGAAAAATCCCCATAAGAGCATTTCAAATTGATGCAGAAAAAATATTTAACAAAATCCAACACCTTTCGAGACTAAAAGTCTCAGAAACTAGGAATGGAAAAGAACTTCCTCACCATGATAAAGGACATTTACGAAAAACTCATAGCTAACATTATACCCAATGGTGAAAGTGTGAAATCTTTCCCCTAAGATCAGGAATAAGATAAGGATGCCTACTTTTGCTACTGCTATTCAACATTGTACTGGAAGTTCTAGCCAGAGCAATTAAGCAACAAAAAGAAATGAAACATCCAAATTAGAAAGGAAGAAGTAAAATTATATTTATTCACAGATGACATGATTTATATATAAGAAATTCTAACAAATCCTCTATCAGAGCCAACTATTAAATTTAGAAAAATGACAGGATACAAAATCAACACACAAAAACTAGTGGCATTTCTATACAGGAGTAATGAACAACACAGAAAGGAAGTGAAGAAAACAATTCCATTTACAATAGCATCAAAAAGAATAAAACACTTAGGAATAAATTTAACTAAGGAGGTACATGATTTGTACACTGAAAACTACAAAACATTACTGAACAAAATTAAAGAAGACCTAAATACCTTGAAAGAAATCCTGTGCAAGAATGGCAGTATACCCCAAAGCAAACTACAGATTCAAGGCAATCCTTGTCAAAATCCCAAAAGCCTTTTTGTGGAAATGAAAAAATTGATTCTAAAGTTCATATGTAACTTCAAGGGACCCAGAATAGCCAAAACAACCTTGAAAAAGAACAAATTTGGAGGACTCACACTTCCCAATTTCGAAACTTCTTATAAGGCTACAGTGACTAAAACAGTATATAAGGATAGACATATAGATCAATAGAATAGAACAGAGAGTCCTGAAAAACATCATCAATGTAGATGTCAGTAGTTATTTGATTTTCAAAAGGAGTGCCAAGACTATTCAATGAGGAAAGAATAGTTTCTTCAACAAATGATGCTTGGACAAATGGATATCTACATTCAAAAGAATGAAGTTGGAACCTTATCTCACACCAACTATAAAAATTAAATCAAAATATATCAAAGACCAAAAAAAAAAGTGTCAAAGACCTACAAATGAGTTAAAACTGTAAAAATTTGGCTGGGCACGGTGGCTCATGCCTGTAATCCCAGTACTTTGGGAGGCTGAGGCTGGTGGATCACCTGAGGTCAGGAGTTCGAGACCAGCCTGGCCAACATGGTGAAACCCCCATCTCTACTAAAAATACAAAATTAGCCATTCATGGTGGTGTGTGCTTGTAATCCCAGCTACTTGGGAGGCTGAGGCAGGAGAATCCCTTAGAACCTGGGAGGCTGAGGTTGCAGTGAGCTGAGATCACGCCACTGCACTCCAGCCTGGGTGACAGAGCAAGACTCTGTCTCAAAAAAAAAAAAAAAAAAGTATAAACATTTCCAGCAAAACCTAAGGTAAACCTTTGATTTGGCAATGGATTTTGGGGTATGACATGAAAGCACAAGCAGTGAAAGAAAAATATATACCTATTTTAGACTTCATTAATTAGAAAAATTTTGTTCATCAAAAGACACTATTAAGAAAGTGAAAGGATAATCTGCAGAATGGGAAAAAAATTGTAAATCATATTCAATAAGGGTCTACTATCCGGAATATATAAAGAACTCTTACAATTCAACAACAAATAAGACCAACAACCCAATTTTATTTTATTTTTTTTTTTTAAATTTTACTTTAAGTTCTGGGATACATGTGCAGAACGTGCAGATTTGTTACATAAGTATACATGCGCCATGGTGGTTTGCTGCACACATCAACCCGACATCTAGGTTTTAAGCCCTGCATGTATTAGGTACTTGTCCTAATGCTCTCCCTCCCCTTGCCCCCGACCCCCTGACAGGCCCCAGTGTGTTATGTTCCCTCCCTGTGTCCATGTGTTCTCATTGTTCAACTCCCACTTGTGAGTGAGAACATGTGGTGTTTGGTTTTCTGTTCCTGTGTTAGTTTGCTGAGAATGATGGCTTCCAGCTTCATCTATGTCCCTGCAAAGGTCATGAACTCATTCTTTTTTTTTTTTTTGAGATGGAGTTTCGCTCTTGTTGCCCAGGCTGGAGTGCAATGGCACAGTCTCGGCTCACCACAACCTCCGCCTCCCAGGTTCAAGTGATTCTCCTGCCTCAGCCTTCCTGAGTAGCTGAGATTACAGGCATGAGCCACCGTGCCCAGCATGAATGTATTCTTTTTTAATGGCTGCATAGTATTCCATGGTGTATATTTGCCACATTTTCTTTATCCAGTCTATCACTGATGGGCATTTGGGTTGGTTTAAAGTCTTTGCTATTGTAAACAGTGCTGCAGTAAACATATGTGTGCATGTGTCTTCATAGCAGAATGATTTATAATCCTTTGGGTATATACCCAGCAATGGGATTGCTGGGTCAAATGGTATTTCTGGTTCTAGATCCTTGAGGAATCACCACACTATTTTCTACAGTGGTTGAACTAATTTACATTCCCACCAAGAGTGTAAAAGCGTTCCTATTTCTCCACAGCCTCGCCAGCATCTGTTGTTTCCTGACTTTTTAATAATCGCCATTCTAACTGGCATGATATGGTATCTCATTGTGGTTTTGATTTGCATTTCTCTAATGACCAGTGATGATGAGTTTTTTTCATATGTTTGTTCGCCACATAAATGTCTTCTTTTGAGAAGTGTCTGTTCATATCCTTTGCCCACTTTTTGATGGGGAATAACACAATTTTAAAATGATCAAATGACTTGAGTAGATATTTCTCCAAAGAAGATATGCAAAATGCCAACAGGCACAGGAAAAGATGCTAGAAATCATTAGTCATTAGGGAAACAAAAATCAAAACCACAATAAGTAGCACTTACATCCACTAGGGTGGCTATAATAATAAAATAATAAAAATAATAAAAAAACAGACAATAACAAGGTTGGCCAGGACATGGAGGAATTGCAGCTTTCATAAATTGCTGGTGGGAATGTAAAATGATGAAGCTGTTTTAGAAGCAGTCTGGCAGTTCCTCAAAGGAGTAAACACAGAGTTACCATATGACCTAATAATTCGGCTCCTATGTATAAGCCTCAGAGAAATTAAAGCAAATGTCCACCTAAAAACTTGAATGCAGATGTTCATAGCAGCATTCTTCATAATAGCCAAAAGGTATAAACAACCCAAATGTCCATCAGCTGATCAACAGATAAATGAAATGTGATATGTCCATACAATGGAAGGTTATTCATTCATAAAAAGGAAAAAAGTACTGATAACATGCTACAACATGGATGAACTTTGAAAATATTACATTAGGCTGGGCGCAGTGGCTCACGCCTGTAATCCCAGCACTTTGGGAGCCTGAGGCGGGTGGATCATGAGGTCAAGAGTTCGAGACCAGCCTGGCCAACATGGTGAAACCCCATCTGTACTAAAGATAGAAAAATTAGCCAGGCGTGGTGGCACGTGCCTGTAATCCCAGCTACTCTGGAGGCTGAGGCAGGAGATTCGCTTGAACCTGGGAGGCAGAGATTGCAGTGAGCTGAGATTGTGGCATTGAACTCCAGCCTGGGCGACAGGGCAGGCTCCATCTCAAAAAAAAAAAAAAAAGAAAATATTACATTAAGTAAGTGACACCAGTCACCAAAGACCATATTGTATGAATTCACTTATAAAATCCCAGATAGGTAAATCTATAGAGGCAGAAGCTAGATTAGTGTTTGCGTAGGACCTAGGGGGCTATGGGAAATGCAAAGTGACTGCAAAAGATAGGAAGGTTTCTTGCTGGAGTGACTAAATTATCCTAAAATGGTTGTGGTGATGCTTATACAACTCTATGAATATAGTAAAAACCATTGACACTTCAAATGGATAAATGGTATGGTGTGTGATTTATACCTTAATAAAGTTGTTTTAAAAAGCTATTAGAGGTAAAAAAAAAAAAGCTATTAGAGCTTATAAGTGAGTTAAACAAGGTTGCAGAATACAAGATCAATACACAAAAATCAATTGTATATATAGAAAAATCAATTCTATAGATGGAAATAAACAAGCAAAAATTGAGATTTTTTTAAAAAAAAAATACCATTTATGGCCAGGCATGGTGGCTCATGTCTGTAATCCCAGAACTTTGGGAGGCCAAGGTGGGGGGATCACTTGAAGTCAGGAGTTCAAGACGAGCCTGGCCAACATGGTGAAACCTCCATCTCTACTAGATATATAAAAATTAGCCAGGTGTGGTGGCGCATGCCTGTAATCCTAGCTACTCCGGAGGCTGAGGCAGGAGAATCACTTGAACCTGGGAGGTGGAGGTGTCAGTTAGCCGAGATCACACCACTATACTCCAGCCTGAGCGACTCTGTGTCAAAAAAAAGAAAAAAAGGACCATTTACGATATCAAGGAAAACCTGAAATACGTGCAAGATTTGTATGCTAAAAACTACCAAACATTGGCCGGGTTCGGTGGCTCAAGCCTGTAATCCTAGCACTTTGGGAGGCTGAGATGGGCGGATCACGAGGTCAGGAGATCGAGACCATCCTGGTTAACAGGGTGAAACCCCGTCTCTACTAAAAATACAAAAAATTAGCTGGGTGTGGTGGCGGGCGCCTGTAGTCCCAGCTACTTGGGAGGCTGAGGCAGGGGAATTGCTTGAACCCGGGAGGCAGAGGTTGCAGTGGGCTGAGATCACGCCACCACACTCCAGTCTTGGCAACAGAGCAAGACTCCATCTCAAAAACAAACAAACAAACAAACAAACAAAAAACTACCAAACATTGAAGAAACAAAGACTTAAATAAATCAAAAGATATGTGATGTTCATGGATCAAAATGGATCAAAAGACTTTAAATTGTTAAGATGTCAATTCTCCCTAAATTGTATTGTATTATAATAATACAATTGACTGTTTTTCCATAAGTTCTGTTAATTTTGCTTCATATATTTTGGGGTTCTGTTGCATGGTGGATATACATTTATAATTGTCATATCTTTACCTCCATAAAGACCCTAACTACAATACAGTCAAAATGGCAGGGGATGTTAGGGCTTCAACATACGAATTTGTTGGCAGAGAGCGGGGACGCAAGTCAGCCCATAGCACTGAATGATATTCCACTGTATGGATATCCTACACTTTATCCATTTACCTATTTTTTTTTTTTTTGAGACGGAGTCTCACTCTATTGCCCAGGCTGGAGTGCAGTGGTACGATCTCAGCTCACTGCAAGCTCCGCCTCCCAAGTTCAAGTGATTCTCTCACCTCAGTCTCCCGAGTAGCTGGGATTACAGGCGTCTACCACCATGCCCAGGTAACTTTTGTATTTTTAATAGAGATGGGGTTTCATCATTTTGGCCAGGCTGGTCTCAAATTCCCTATCTCAGGTGATCTGCCTGCCTCAGCCTCCCAAAGTGCTGGGATTACAGGCGTGAGCCACCGTGCCTGGCCCTGTTCACCTTTTGAAGAACATCTTGGTTACTTACTTCCAGGTTTTGTCAGTTACGAATAAAGCTGCTATAAACACTTGTGTGCAAGTTTTTCTGTGGATATGTTTTCAACTCATTTGGGTAAATAACTGAATGCGATTGCTGAATCGTATGTTATGACTATATTTGGCTTTGGAAGAAGCTGCCAAACCGTCTTCCAAAGTGGCTGTGCCACTTTGCATTGCCACCGGCGTGTATGAGAATTTTTGTTGCTCCACGTCCTCTATAGCATTGGTTACTGTTGGTTTTTTGGGTGTAGCCATTCAAATAGGTGTGTAGTGGTTATCTAATTGCTGTTTTAATTGACAATTCCCTAATGACATGTGATGTTGAGCATCTTTTCGTTTGCTTCTTTCCTATCTGTGTATCTTCTTTGGTGGAGTGTCTGTTCAGATGTTTTGCCCACTTTTAGTTCATATATTTTCTTAATAGTGAGTTTTAAGAGTTATTTGTATAGTTTGGATAACAGTCCTTTATCAGACATGTGTTTTGAAAATATTTTCTCCTAGTCCGTGGCTTGCTTTTTTTTAATTCTCATAACAGTCTCTTTTGCAGAGCAGAAGTTTTTAATTTTTTTTTTTTGAGACAAGCGTTCACTCTGTCACCCAGATGGGTGTGCATTGGTCCAGTCCAGGCTCACTGCAGCCTCAACCTCCTGGGCTCAGGTGATCCTCCCACCTCAGCCTCTCTAGTACCTGGGACTCAGGTGCATGCCACCACACCTGGCTAATTTTTGTATTTTTTTTTTTTTTTTGTAGAGACAGGGTTTTGCCATGTTGTCCAGGCTGCTCTCTAACTCCTGGGCTCAAGTGATGCTCTCGCCTTGGCCTTCCAAAGTGCTGGGATTATAGGCATGAGCCACTGTGCCCAGCTGAAGTTTTTAATTTTAATGAAGTCCAAATTATCAATTTCTTTCGTAGATTATGCTTTTGGTGTTTTGATCTTAGTGGGCTGGATTATTGTCCACATTTGATTGTTGGAAAAGCAGGTCTGAAGTGAACTGCTCAGGGTCAGCCAGTTCCTGTGCAGAGGCCAAAGTTCATCCTCATTGAGGGTGTTCTTCACCACACGGGGAGCAGCAGGAGGGGCCCAGGTGTATGTGTGTGTTTGTGTGTATGCACATAGACACATTTTTGTGCATGAATGCAAATAGGTAGGGCATACACATTTGGTGTTGAGAAGCCAGCAGATTGTTGCATAAAAAGCAACGTGGTTGGCTGGGCGCGGTGGCTCACACCTGTAATCCCCAGCACTTTGGGAGGCCGAGGTGGGCAGATCGCGAGGTCAAGAGATCAAGATCATTCTGGCCAACATAGTGAAACCCCGTCTCTACTAAAAATAGAAAAAAATTAGCTGGGCGTGGTGGTGCGTGCCTATAGTCCCAGCTACTCGGAAGGCTGAGGCAGGAGAATCACTTGAACCTGGGAGACGGAGGTTGCGGTGAGCCGAGATTGGGCCACTGCACTCCAGCCTAGGTGACAGAGTGAGACTTTGTCTAAAAAAAAAAAAGCAACGTGGTTGAACAAAGAGATACAATTTCTTACCTCTTAGAATTAAAAAAGACATTAAAAGCTGTCATTTGTTTGTCAGAATGGGGAGCAGCTGGAATCCTCACATACTGCGGGGTGATGGTGAAATGGTAAAGTCACTTTGGAAAACAGCTTGGCAGTTTTTTTGTTTTTTTTCTTCTGAGATGGAGTCTCACTCTGTTGCCCAGGCTGGAGTGCAGTGGTGCGATCTCGGCTCACTGCAAGCTCCGCCTCCCAGGTTCAAGCGATTCTCCTACCTCAGCCTCCCGAGTAGCTGGGACTACAGGCGCCTGCCACCACGCCCGGCTAATTTTTGTGTTTTTAGTAGAGACGGGGTTTCACCGTGTTAGCCAGGATAGTCTCGATTTCCTGACCTTGTGATCTGCCTGCCTCGGCTTCCCAAAGTGCTGGGATTACAGGCATGAGCCACTGTGCCCAGCTGGCAGTTTTTTAATATAGTGACACATTTTCCATATGACCCTGCACTCTCATTGTTAGGTATTTACTCAAGAGAAATGAAAAGTTATGTTCACCTTAAAACCTATGCAAAAATCTTCATAGCAGTTTTATTCCTAATACCAAAAAATCAGAGAAAATCCAAACGTCCATCAACAGGTGAATGGATAAACACACTGTGATATTTGCATACAGTGGAACACTACTTGATAAAATGGGTAGAATACTACTCAGGGAAATGAAAGAACTGCTTGATTGTAACAACAAAATGTATGAATCTCGGCCGGGCGCGGTGGCTCACACTTGTAATCCCAGCACTTTGAAAGGCTGAGGTGGGCAGATCACTTGAGGACAGTTCTAGACCAGCCTGGCCAACATGGTGAAAACCCAGTCTCTACAAAAAGTACAAAAATTACACAGGTGTGGTGGTGTGTACCTGTAGTCCCAGCTACTTGGGAGGCTGAGGCATGAGAATCGCTTGAGCTGGGGAGGCAGAGGTTGCAGTGAGCTGAGATCGTGCCACTGCACTCCAGCCTGGGTGACAGAGCGAGACTCTGTCTCAAAATAAATAAATAAATACAATGTATGATCCTCAAAGGCATTTTACTGAGTGAAGGAAGATAGACACAAAGGAGTACATACTGTATGAATCCATTTATATGAAATTCTAGAACAGACAAATATAAGCTCTGGTTATAGAGCACTGATCATTGGTTGACTGGTGATGGGGTGGATTGATTACAAAGAGGCACAAGAAAACTTCCTGGGGTGATGGAAATGTTTAATATCTTGTCATTGTCAGTATCAGTCAGGCCAGGTGTGGTGGCTTATGCCTGTAATCCCAGCACTTTGGGAGGCCGAGGTAAGAAGATCGCTTGAGGCCGGGAGTTCAAGACCAGTGTGGGCAACAGAGCGAGACCCTCTCTGTACAAGTTAGAAAAATGAGCCCAGCGTGGTGGGACACGCCTGTAGTCCTAGATACTGGGAGGCTGAAGCAGGAGGATCGCTTGATCCCAGGAGTGCAAGGTTACAGTGAGCTATGATCACACCCGTGCACTCCAGCCTGGGCAACAGAGTGAAACTTTGTCTCTAAAACAAACAAAAGCAGTCAATCAATATCTTGATTATACGGTTGTTATAACGCTACACTTACAAATCTTTGCATTTTATTGTATCTAGTTATGCTTCAATAAAACTGACGCCAAAAAAATTTGGTTGAAACAGTATTTCTGGCCCCTGTTTTATCAAGTATTATTAATTTTTATGTACAATGAGGATAGCTTCTAAAGTGCATTTTAGCTCTATACACCAACCCCACCTTCAGACTTCTGGGCTTTTAATTGCTAAATAATTTCCCAGCAATTATGCATTCATCTGATGAAGTTATTACAAATTTTAAAGTTTTTCTGGGTTCCAAGTGAATCAACTGAAAGAAATTCAGTTGGAAATGAATGTTTACAGCCATTAGTTCCTGTCTTGATAAGGTCATTGCACCCTGGGGAGATTTTGCAATTTTTGCATGCATTTTGAAAGCAATTTTGTCTTCTTTCTAGGTTGTTTCATTTAAAAAAATTCATTTTCAGTCATCCATGTCCACTTTACCTATTTGGCTATGTTTTCACAAATTCCATGAATATTTCTAGTCTCTTAGAGAGGAAGACAAGATTGACAGTTCACAGAAACATTGCCAAACAAATAGGGCAGGGGTAATGAACTGAAAATAGATTAGGATATGAAATTAAAAAAAAAATGTCAAAGTCTGAAAGAGGACTACAAAAATGGAAAAATATTGTACACAATGGATAAAGAATGATTTTATAAAGTCCCCAAATTCTGTTACCAGCTTGCTACATGGGGCAAGTTTAACCCCTTTACGCCTCATTTCCAGGTCTGAAAGGTAGAGGCTAATGATGGAACTCCCTTATGGATTACTGTGAGGATTAAATGAAGTCGTTCACATCAAAGCCTCAAGCCCAGTACCAGGTGGGCCACTGCACTCCAGCCTGGGCGACAGAGTAAGACTCTGTCTCAAAAAATAAAATAAAATAAAATAAAATAAAATAAAATAAAATAAAATAAAATAAATGTTTGCTGCTATTATTATTACCTCCATAGTACATAATAATTACTAATTACAATTTTATAAAAACCCAGTGACTGGATGTACTGTCAACCTTTTTGGTCATTTCACCTGGGTCATATTGGGGGTATGGCTGGCCGGCTGGTGGTTTAGAAGGTGATTTGGTTACTGGACTGGTATAAGGAAAAGGAAGGATAGTTGCAGGGTTAAGGAGGCTAAGAGGCTTAACTTTGAGGGAGCGTTAGATCTTGGAATCCCCAAGTTCTGAATTTATTCATTTAGTCACTTGACAAACATACCAATTCCTCAGCATCCATGAATAAGTCAGGGATATGGGGAGACGGCAACCAGGCTGGGGAGGGGTTAGCCTAAATGGCCTCTAAGCTCACATCCATCCCTCAGGGAGGAGACCCAGAGGCCGAAAGTGGCTTGACAGATATTTGGGCAAAGTCAGGGCTGGGACCTGCTACGTGTCCTCCCTCCCATTGCTGAGCAATTCTCCTAGGACCTGTGATCACAGGCCAGGGTAGGAAGTGCTTGGGTCCTAACAGGGGGGTAGTCACTTTCATCTGGGAAATAATGGCATGCAAGCCTGGCACTGACAGACTCGGGGCATTTGGACACCTATGGAGAAAGGGCTGTCTAGGTGGTGGGCGTGGTACAGGAGAAAAAAAGGTGGATCTGGGAAACATCAGACACTGTTTCTTGTATCATAGACTTTCCCTCCCAGTCCAGAAGGGCTTCCTGGAGGAGGAAGAATTTCAGGCTGACATTAGGACCTGGGTTTGATGAAACTGAGTATAGCAATTCTTTAGTATTATCAGGCAACATAAATCTCTACTCCCAGCTATCTGTCCTCTCCCCATGCACACTTATTGGCAGCTGGCACCTTTCGTGACTCACATGATAAAGATTTTTAGAAATGTAACTCAAGGTAGGAAGGACATAGACACTCTTATAGTATTATTGGATATGAAAATTATGCAGGTGGGTGATTTCCCCTAGGAGACAATTCTATGTGAGTTTTAGACATCTTGCCGGAAGCTAGGCCATGATAAGGATCCCATCTCCTTTCCCCTGTCCTTATGATCAAAAGCCCCTGCTTCCCCATATTTTTTCTCATTCTAAAGCAGGGTCAGAAAGAGCCAGAAATGACTGAGTCTCTAGGTGGGAGGCTGGAGGCAAGCAGAAGAGGGGCTTGGGGGAGAGGGGAAGGGAGGCAGAGAGGGGAGGGAAGTGTGGGCCTGAGGTAGAGTCCTTTCTTTTATTTTTGTAGACTTAGGTTATTCACTGTGAGAGTCCTTTCTTTTTGCTTTGTTTTTTGAGAGAGATTCTTGCTCTGTCACCCAAGCTGGAGCGCAGTGGCGCGATCTCGGGTCACTGCAAATTACACCTCCTGGGTTCAAGCGATTCTCCTGCCTCAGCCTCCCGAGTAGCTGGGACTACAAGTGCCTGCCACCATGCCCGGCTAATTTTTGTATTTTTAGTAGAGAGGGGGTTTTGCCATGTTGGTCAGGCTGGTCTCGAACTCCTGGCCTCAAGTGATCCACCTGCCTTGGCCTCCCAAAGTGTTGGGATTATAGGCCTGAGCCACTTGCCCAGTGAGAATCCTTTTCTGACTGCATGGTTTGGCCCTGAGTGGACACTTGGAATTCAGGCTACAGGCCGGGAAAACATTACCATCCTTGCACCTGCTGGGTGGGCGCCCATTCTGTCCGACCAGGAAACAGGTCCCAGCACCCAGGTGCTAGGCATACAGCGAGGATAGCCTGGGTGTCTCCTGCTCTCAGGACCACCTTGTCTGGTGGGAGACATGCATATGTAGAAACATGGGAACATGGCAGAAGAGGCAGGAATGGAGCTGGGGGCTTTGGACCTAGGGCAGGCATGGCTGAGCTAGGCCATTTCATTCTCTCCTCCTGAAGAATGGCCCCCTTCCTTCTGCTATTGTTCTGTGGAGTCCTTCTCTGGTGCTTGGGAGCCCAGCCAGCAGTAGCCTCAGTGACCCCAGGGACAGGCCCCCACAACAGCAGAGGAGAGAGAGAGGGACCGGGGTGTTGGCGGCGAGGCTGGTGTGGAGATAGGGAGATGAATGTCTTAGCTGGAGGAGCTGGAGAAGTCCAGGCTGCCCATTTTTCAGAGGGGAAAGCTGAGGCCCTCATAGAGCAAGGGATTGTCCAGGGAAAGGAACGTGAGTATCGAGGAAGAAAAACCTGGGGGGCAGGGGCCCAGAAGAGAAGGCAGATCCCTCTCCACCCCACCCCAGGCAGGAAGCCCAGGCTCCAACCACCGCCTTTGGGCCAGGCACCTCTGCTGTCCTCTGAAGGGGTGGGGAGGATGAGTGTGGCTTCTGGCCCACTGGACATGCTTGCAAGGCACATTTGCAGATTTGCTGCTGCAAGGGGAGGGGTGGGCTGGTGGGGAGGTGCCGGCCTGATGGGGCACCTGGAGGGTGGAGAGACCCCTAGGCTCCTGTTTACTCCCCCTCAAGTCTCAGAGGCAGCCCAGAGGCAGAAGGAGACTTGATGGACACTTGCGCAAAGTCAGGGCTGGACCGGGCAATTCCACATGCAGTTCTCCTGGCTGGTGAATTCTTGAATTAGTGGGAGGGCAGGTTCACTCTCCAAAGTTGGACCATAAATTCTCCGAGGGGCAGGATCGCCTCACCCGGACACTGGCCCTTATACATCCCAGGGTACCAGTAAATGTACGCCTCATCCAGTCGCTTTTCTAACTGCAACAAGAGCGAAGGAATATTTATTGGGCACTTACTCTGTTCTAGACACTATCACAGCAGGGACTGCTTTTCATTCTGGCACCAATTCTGGGAAGTAGATGGTATTATTATCCCCATTTGACAGAGGTGGAAACTGAGGCCCAGAAAGGTGAAGTGCCTTGCATAGAGACTTGCTCAAGGTCACATGCAAATGGAATCAGGACTGGAATCCAAGTGGGTTCAGAGCCTGCCCTGAATGCCCCACTTTTCCTCCTTCCTAGGGCCCGTGGCACTCTTTCTGGGGCCAAGCTCAGGCCAAGCTGAAGGAGCCATTCTGGAAGCAATTCTGGGCAGACGAAGGCCAAGAAGCCAATTCACAGCGGTTGTGCTGACGAGTTTCTTGGCAATGTGGAAAGTCTGACGATCTTACAAATGTGTGAAACTGAGACTCAATTTTCCCTCATCCTACCTCCCCTTTCTACCCACCCTCCAACATGGATCTAAATATGGATGCTATATTGGGGGAGTAGCCCCCCTCTCTAGACTGCAAGAGAAGATGACGTTGGGGAGGAGGTGGGGCCAGCCAAATTGGGCAAGAGCGGCCTCAGATGATGCTGCCTCCAAAAAGGTCCCTGTGTAAGTATGAGGTGGGTGGCTGAGATTTCTGAAATCCGTATCTGAGATGACTAGGTGGAGTCATACATTTCCACCCTTCTGGGGTTAAGGACACAGCCTTAACCATTTAGGGTGACCATTTAGGGTGAAGTCACTGTTTATGGGAGTCTAAACTGTGACTTTGGCAAGGTGCAATATAAAAATGCTAATACATGTTTATGCACTAAGCTGGAAATAATGCCAAGCCCCTCAGTTAAAAAAAAACCTGTCAAGAATTGCAGTTTCCTTGAGTCGGAGGAACTAAGTGAGCTGTTAAATGAGGACTGTAAACCTGCCACATGGCGACGTTGCTTTGGTTATTAAATAGAAATACCTGCTTTCTATATGCATGCACTGTTGTTTACATGCCTCTGAATTTCTAATTTCTGCAGGAGATTCTGGTGACTGGTGTGCCATTTTCTCAATGTTCACAGTTATTATAACTTTAAATATTTTACCCATATCCTGTAACAATGTCATCCAAGTGTTCTTTAAGTGGTGGTGCTGAAAAACGCACCTGAAAATCGATAACATTGGAAAGGAAGTGAGATGTGATAAAACGTTATGAAGAAGGCCAAACCACCGGCAGGAAATGCTGCACTGTTAATTTAGCAGAGAGTGCGTTATGAAATATTAGCGATAATGCCAGGGAAATAAAAAGCAGCATTAAGGCAAAAATATGCCACAATTGGAGTAATGTATGCAACCTATCCTTTCTACTTTGCATTCATTTCTCTGGCAAAATTAGTCAGAAATTATGCACGCTTTGAATTATGCAAGTTTTTCAGGACCACATGCTTTGCATAAAACTCTACTGCCCTGAGGTTCTCAGTGGGTGGAAGAATGAGTGACCATATTCTAGGGTTATCTTAGGCCAGGCCGTTGTACCCTCCTGTCCTAGGTGGGGATGAAGTGACCTCATGTGTAAAATGGGACCGTTGGACTGGCTTGTCTTTCTTTCCTTATTAGACTATGTCGAGACAGGCACCATTATATTTCTGCCCCAAAGGTGTCTTTTTCTGGACGGATCCCACAGCTGATACCAAACTTGTCTTTATTAACTGTGAGGCTGGCCATTCAAACACCAGGTGCCAGAGAGGGTCCCTCACTCATCGGAATCCGGGTGGGATGAATCCTCGGAGGCAAGGTCCCTCCACCTTCACCCTAGAGTCACACAGAGACTTGCCCTGGCGGCTGGTGACAGGTGGGCGGGAGAAGAAAAGGCCCCTGGGGAGCAGGAGAAAGCCAGGTGCCATGGGGACCCAGCGCCGCTGGAGGGCAGCACCAGCACACAGCTGAGGCCGCCTCTCCCGGAGCCCGGAGGGAGCTGGGTTCCGGTCGCCAGCGGTGCCCGGGTGAGCAGTTCACCCTCACGTCCCTGCTCTGACGAAGTTTCCATTCTTCTGGAGAAGACAAAATAAACGTGAACAAATGAACAAGTGTGCATTGTCAGGCAGCAAGTGTTGGTACAAACAAGATAGTGGTGGGGGTGGGGACACCGTTAAATAGGGGCCAGGGAGGCCTAACCCGGGAGGGGATAGCTGAGATGCCACTTGAGTGGAGAAAACAGTCCGAGATCTGAAGGTGTTCATGGAGAGGGGAAGGGGCCCCTAGAGGAGTCGGGAAAGCCTGGGTCAGGGAAGACGAGAAAACTGAGGAACAGAGAAGCCAGGTAACTTACCCAGGGTCATAGAGCCGGTGAGCTGGGGACAGCGCCTGTCAACGCCCCAGAGCCTTCCACGGCACTGGTTTCTCCGACCTTCCTCTCTAAACAGGACCGTGACAGTGACAGTTTCTGCCCCACTCCCCATTTCTGACCGCAGTCCCCATAAGGAAACAGGGCAGGGATCACTGGCTGTGAGCCCAGCAAGTCCCCTCCCGTGGCTTTCTCAGTTATTAAATGGAAGGGTGGGTCCCCCCATAACTCCGAAGCTCCCCTCTCTAAGCGTCCGCGGGCCGGGAACGCCTGAATTCTGGCTCCCGAGCACCTTCTTGTGGACAGTTTTGGAATCACACGCTCAGCGAGAAAGGGTCGTGGGAAAATGGTCTGTGCTAATTTCGGAGAGGCCAGTGGATTGGAAGGTTATCACTGAGGGTGGGTGCACGTGTGTGTGTGTGTGCGCGCACGTGCATGCGTGCATGCATCTGTGTGCCTGTGTGTGTTGGTCTGTGTGTGAATGTACCTCTGTGCGTATCTGTGTGTATGGTTGTGTGTGAGCACATACTGCCCGAGCCTGTGTGTGTGTGAGTGTGTGTGTGCACTAATGTTTGTTTATATGGGCACAGGCACACACATGTCCATGTCCATGTGTGTGTACCTGCATCTGTATTTTTTCGTCTGGTGTATGGGCTTGTTTTTGTGTGCCTGCATGCATGTGCCCATGTGCGTGTGTGTTTTGGGAACTGGGACACAGAGGATGATATGAGAAGTCCCCAGTCTTTCTCACAAAGGCCTAACCACTCTCCCTGAAGCCAGCTTTCTCCCCTACTTGCTTCTGTCTGCACCATCACCTGAGTTCTCCCACCTGAACTTTTCACCGACATTTTTGATGATTTTTCTGTTTTGTGTCCGTTGAGGCTCATTTGAATGTTACAGATCATAGCTCAAGAAATGATTCTCAGGCCGGGCATGGTGGCTCATGCCTGTAATCCCAGCACTTTGGGAGGCTGAGGCAGGTGGATCGTCTGAGGTCAAGAGTTCAAGACCAGCCTGGCTAACATGGTGAAACCCCGTTTCTACTAATAATAACAAATTAGCCAGGTGTGGTGGCGTGTGCCTGTAATCCCAGCTACTCGGGGGGCTGAGGCAGGAGAATCACTGGAACCGGTGAGGCAGAGGTTGCAGTGAGCTGAGATCCCTGGGTGACACAGCGAGACTCCGTCTAAAAAAAAAGAAAGAAAGAAGTGATTCTCCTCTAGTCTACTCACCCAAATCATGAGTTTCACTTCTCAGGTGGGCTGATCACCCACTGTCCTGTTGAGACCTGGGGACTTGTACAAAGTCGTACCCTGGAGGGTTGAGCAGAAAACCAGGCACATAGTAACTAAGACAATGGCGCGTTAGCAAAGCACTCCACACATCCCGTTCACATGTGTGTCTTACTTGACTCACAAACTGATCTTTCATCCTTTTTTTTTTCCTTTTTTGTGGTGAACAGGGTCTTGCTATATTGCCCAGGCAGGTCTCAAACTACCGGCTGATCTTTCAAGCCTAGGCAAGGTGAGGCTAATTATTCCCATTTTACAGATGAAGACACTGAGGCTCAGAGAGGGAAATAATGAAAATAGTACTGCAGGAACCATCTAACCAATATGCAAACTCTCTCATCCAGTTTTCATAACATCATCAATTCCCTTCTTTAAAAGACAAGGAGATGGAGGCTTTAAAAATGTAAGGCGAGTGCTTAATGCCATATAGCCAATCAGTAGTTGAGGCAGGATTTGAATCTCGCTCCAGAGATTAAAGCCCAAGTCCTAAACACAATGGCAGGCGTGAGGGCCCTGGGCACACACTGACTCAAGCTCTTTCAGCCACACACTGTCCCTTTGCCATGCCTCTGGGGTCCTAAGAACATCCTCCTCTGAGCCCACAGGGAGGTCATTCCCCATCCTGGGTGCCCCTGCTCCTCTCCCAGATGCGGGGCAGGTGAATCTTGTAACCTGTGTCACTCTCAGAGGCTGAGATGGGGACTGAGCATTAATTATGCAATAACCTCGCTGTGGTGTGCCTAATTGTCTGATAACCATAATTGAATCTTATGGATTACACCAACATTATTGCAGGGAGCAGCTTAAGGCAGTTAACAGAAGCTGCACTCACTTTGTGATATCTTCCTCCTGTCTCCTTGCTGGCTGGGCTGTGAGTCCTTTCCTGGGGGCTGAGGGAGGCCTCGAGGTGCAGGGGGCAGGCAGGAGGTGAGTGACAGCACAAATGTCGCATCACCTTATCCCCCCGAGGGCACCATCTTCCTGGCTGAGAAAAGTCTGTGTGGCAGGTGGAATTATCATTTTGTAAATGAGAATGTGGCATCAGAAGGCTGAGAGACTCTCCCAATTTCAGTCTTGCTCATTGCTACTGGTCCTTGCTAGCATCATCTGGGACTGTTTAGACGTGCAGCATCTCAGCTGGGCTCGGTGGCTCACGCTTGTAATCCCAGCACTTTGGGAGGCCAAGGCGTGTGGATCATGAGATCAGGAGTTTGAGACCAGCCTGACCAACATGGTGAAACCCCGTCTCTAAAAATTAGCTGGGCATGGTGGTGCGTGCCTGTAATCCCAGCTACTCAGGAGGCTGAGGTAGGAGAATTGCTGAACCTGGGAGGCGGAGGTTGCACTGAGCCGAGATCACGCCACTGTACTCCAGCCTGCGTGACAGAGCAAGACTCCGTCTCAAAAAAAAAAAAAAAAAAAAAGAAATGCAGCATCTCAGGCCCCACCCTGGACCTACTGAATCAGAAGCTGCATTATTTTTTATTAAATGAATTTTTTTTCTTTAAAGAGATGAGATTTTGCTCTGTCTTCCAGGCTGGAGTGCAGTGGTGCGATTGTGGCTTGCTGCAGCCTCGAACTCCTGGGCTTGAGAGATCCTCCAGCCTCAGCCTCCCTAGTAGCTGGGACTACAGTCGGAGCCACCATGCCTGGCTCTCAGAATCTGCATTGTAATAGCATCTCAGGTGATTTATTTTCACGTTGCCGTTTGCTGAGTGCTGGTTTATGTAATTATTTATTCATTGCCTATGTGGGATCCATTGCCCTTTCTTGTGTCAGCAACACCTTGACTTCCATTTGGGAAATAACCCTTCTTCCCATATGGGAGACCCCTAGCTGTACCCTTACTCCTACCTCCCTCAGGCATTGACCCCAGGCCAGGCCAATGAGTCAGTTCCAAGATCTTTGAGGCACTGTTGAGGAAGACGTGTTTGATGGAGTTTTGCTGAGGCTTCTTCATTCCCTCCCTCCCTTGCATGGTTCACTGTGGGTGAATATTCTTCCCCACACCATCCATGGTGAGCTCAGCCACTGACTTGCTTTGGTCAATGGAATGTCGGTAGAAGTGATGATGTGTGGGTTCCAAGCTAGGCCTTAAAGAAGTATCTTGTGTTTCCGCTTGCCCCTCTAGAGCTCCTGCCCACCATGAGAAAGGAAGGTACACCCAGGCGACCATGGCACCTTCATCTGGAGTCCAGGATGGAGACTGTGGGGCAAATTGAACCTAACCAGAGACTGGAGTCCAGCCTAACTCTGATATTAACAACCCCCCAACTAACCTGCAGACCCATGAGTATGAAAGGAATGGTTGTTATAAGCAACTGAGATTTTCAGAGTGCTTGTTGCATGGCATTGGTGCAGCAGACACCTGACTGGTATAAAAGACATACTTTCTTTCCAGGGGGATTGCTAAGCTGAATTTGGATTTTAGGTGTTATCTTGTCACTAGGAAAGCAGGGCCTGCCTAAGGGCAAAACCAACCCAGAGGGAAATGGAGCTGAGATAGGATGAGAGCCCTGATCATGATGACAGCCTTTGTTTTCATGGATCCAGCCTCACAGGAGTTAGTCAACTCTTTCAGTCTCAAGGAGTAGAGAGCTGAAACTTCGCTGGCTTAAACCCAAGAAGGAATTAGCGGCTCACATAGCTCAGAAGTCTGGAGGTGATGTGGGTTTCAGGTGAGGCTTGAATCAGTAGCCCCTGGACCAGTGTCCTTGTCTCTCCACTCTGGGTCCCATTTTGCTGGTTTCATCTGGAGGCTGGCTCCCCTTTGTGATATCGTAAAATACATATTGAGTTGTTGTCCACATTTCCTGGCATGTTACTCCTAAAATCTATGGAATCTCCAAAGTGGTAAGTGTCTTTTTGTATGCTAATGAGTTGACAGTTGGCTGGCAGCCCCTAGGTAGCTTGAGGATGGGGGCTACTCCAGAAAGTTCAAGGCAGGATTAGAGGACTGGGGCTTTCAGCCCCACTCCCATTCTCTCTTAGAGGGGAGAGGGGCTGGAAGTTACGTTGATCACCAATGGCCGATGGCTTAATCAATCACGCCTGTGTAATGAAGCCTCCATAAAAACCCTGAAGGACAGGGTCTGGAGAGCTTCTGGACAGCTGGACACACGGGGCTCCTGGAGGATGGCGCTCTGCTCCCCCATACCTTGCCCTATGCATTGCCCATCTGTGTCCTCTGTGGTATCCTTTATAATAAGTGAGTCAACGTGTTTCCCTGAGTTCTGTGAGCTGCTCTAGCAAATTAATCCAACCAATGAGGGGATTGTGGGAACCTCAATTATAGTCAGTTGGTCAGAAGCACAGCTAAAATACTCTGGGACTTGTGATTGGCATCGGGAGAAGGGGAGCATCTTGGGGACTGAGTCCTTAGCCTGTGGAACCTGACGCTATCTCCAGGTGGGGAAGTGAACTGAATTAGAGGACACCGAACTGGTGTCTGCTGCGTAATTGATTGCTTGCTTACTATGTGGGAACGCCTCCCCAAACACCCATCTGGTGTAAGAAGCCCACTGTGAGTGTATAGTGGGAGAAACAGTCTGCTTATCCATGTATTCTCAGACCCTCATTGGAGCACGATGGCGTCCTTGTTCGGGTCTAACAGGAGAGAGAGTGTTTGTTCTGGAAGCGAGGAAGCTTCTTTCTCAGGAGCTGGCAGCAAATGTCTCAGGTCTCATGGCCTCAGGTCAGGTCACATACCGTCCCTGCACCAATCTCAGAGGCTGGAGACAGAATGTGCTGATGGGCCAAGGCTGGCTGGCTGGGGGGCAGGTTAGTGTCACTGAACAGCACAGAGCCTCAAGAGAAATAGGGCTTGGCCTGAGGAGAGGTGTTGGGGATGCTGGCTGGGAAGACGCAGGAGTTCCCTATTGCTGCTGTAAAACAGCATCACAAACGTGGGGGCTTAAAGCAACAAACATTTATTCTCTCACTTTTTTTTTTTTTTAGATGAAGTCTTGCTTTGTCGCCCAGACTGGAGTGCAGTAGATTGATCTCAGCTCACTGCAACCTCCGCCTCCCGGGTTCAAGCGATTCTCCTGCCTTAGCCTCCTGAGTAGCTGGGATTACAGGCTCCCACCACCATGCCCGGCTAATTTTTGTATTTTCAGTAGAGACAGGGTTTCACCATGTTGGCCAGGCTGGTCTCGAACTCCTGACCTCAAGAGATCTTCCTGCTTCAGCCTCCCAAAATGCTGGGATTACAGGCATGAGCCACTGTGCCCAGCCTATTCTCTCACATTTTTTGAGGCTAGAATTCAGACAAGGTGGGGCAAGGTTGGTTCCTTCTGGAGCTTCTGGGGGAGAATCGGCTCCATACCTCGCCCAGCTTACAGTGGTTGCCAGAAGCACTTGGTGTTCCTTGGCTTGTAGCCACATCACTCCAATCTCTCCTTCTGTTGTCACATGGTGTATGACACATGCCAACACAAACAACTCATTTCTTTTTTTTTTGTATTTTTTGTAGAGATGGGGTTTTGCCATGTTGCCCAGGCTGGTCTTGAACTCCTAGACTCAAGTGATTGCCTGCCTCGGACTCCCAGAATGCTGGGATTACAGGCGTGAGCCACCATGCCCCACCAAGCCACTGTGGTCAGCCCACATGGCCTTCTTACAAAAATACCTGTCATTGGATTTAGTGGCCACCCTAATCCAATATGACTCCATCTTAATTTAACTAATGACATCTGCAAAGAACCCATTTCCAAACCAGGTCACATGCTGAAATTCCAGATGAACATTTTGGGGGAATGTGATTCAACCCGGTACTGAAGATAACTAGCTAATGCTCACCAGATTAAATTAAGATGATAAAATCCATTCTGTTCAAAATGTTTCTTATTTTGGAATAATTTCAGACTTACTAAAAAATTGCAAAAATAGTACGGAGTTCCTTTAATATCCTTCACTTAGCTTTCCCTAATGTTACTGTCTTGCGTAACCATAATACAATGATCATAACCAAGAAATTGACATTGACACACTACTACTAACTAACCTACAGACTTTCGTTCAGATTTCCCCGGTTTTTCTATTAATAGCTTTGTTTTGGCTCCAGGATGCAGCCCAGGATTCACACTGCATTTAGTTGACAGGCCTCCTTAGTCTCCCACAGGCTGGGACAGCTCCTCAGCCCTTCTCTGTCTCTCATGACCTTGACACTTTGGAAGAGTATTTGTCACTTATTTTGTAGGATAGTCCTCTATTTGGGTTGTCTGTTGCTTTTTCATAATTAGACTGAGATTACGCATTTTAGTTACGAGCAGCCGCAGAAGTAATGTGTCTTTCTCAGGGGTTGCGTGGTGGCCATATGTCTGGTGATGTTACTGGTGATGTTAACCTGGATCACTTGGTTAAGGTGGCATCTTCTGGGTTTCTCCACTGTCAACGGACTCAACTGACTATTCTCTTTGCAATTAATAAGCATCTGGAGATACTTTGGGTGGAGATACTTTGAGGCTATCCAGTTTATTAGTTGGAATTCTTCTGTCCTGAAAAAGTTATCCTTTCTTCCCCATCCATGCTGTTTGCATAACTTTTCTTCCACTTAATACTAACTCTCAGATCCTAGATTTGCCGAGTTGTCCACTGTCTGACTATATCCTGATTATTACTTAATCATTTCTCAGTTGCTGGGTAATATTTATCAATTTCCCCTCAACTACAAACAATGTTGCAATGAATGTACTTGTATTTATTGCTACTTGCTTTTGAGAGTCATTTTGAAGGCTATAGTCCCCCAAATAGAAAGTCCGAGGCAAGAGGTATGAGCATTTTTAGTTTTTCTTCAATATTGCCAAATTGCCCCTCTATGAGACTGCACTTGGTAACACTACCACCCTCGGTATATGGACCTCATTTGTCCATCCATCCGTTCATTCATATGGCTTGCCTTTGGTCAGGCTGTGCAAGCGCAGATTCAGGGGAAGCAAAGCCCCCTGCAACTCTACAGCTGCTTTACAAGCTCAGCACCCTCCTTCTCACTTATTTTATTCCCTGCCTCATCATCTTCTTCTTTTTTTTTTTTTTGAGATGGAGTCTCACTCTGTTGCCCAGGCTGGAGTGCAGTGGCGCGATCTCAGCTCACTACAACCTCCACCTCCTGGGTTCAAGCAATTCTCCTGCCTCAGCGTCCTGAGTAGCTGGGACTACAGGCATGCTTCACCATGCCAGGCTAATTTTTGCATTTTTTAGTAGGGATGGGTTTTTGCCATGTTAGCCAGGCTGGTCTCGAACTCCTGACCTCAAGTGATCCACCTGCCTCAGCCTCCTGAAGTGCTGGGATTGCAGGCATAAGCCACTGTGCCTGGCCCCTGCCTCATCTTCTTTAGCACAAATAAATTCCACATGTACAATATTTTAGAACAGTGTATTTTTTTCAAGACATAATTCACATAGAATTCACTCTTTTACAGTGTCCTATTCAGTGGCTTTTGGTATATTTACATTGTTGTGTAACTATCACCATTATTTACTGTCAGAACATTTTGATTGCCCCCAAAAGAACCCCCATGCCCGTTAGTAATCACTGCCCATTACCCACTGCCTCTAGCCCAGGCAACCAGTGATCTGTTTTCTGCCTTTATGGATTTGCCTACTCTGGACATTTCACATAAATGGGATCCTGTGATATGTGGCCTTTGGTGACTGGATTCTTTGGTTTAGCATAATGTTTTCAAGGTTCATCCATGTTGTAGTGTGTATCAGCACTTCCTTCCTTTTAATGGCTGAATAATATCACATTGTATGTGTCTCTTAGTTTGTTCCTGCATTACTAAAATAAATAAATATGTGAGACTGGGCAATTTATAAAGAGAAGAGGTTTGTTTGGCTCACGGTTCTGCAGGCTGTACAAGCATGGCATCATCATCTGCTCAGCGTCTGGGGAGGCCTCAGGGAGCTTTCAATCATGACCAAAGGCGAAGCGGGGGCCACTGTATCTCATGGCCAGAGCTGGATGGAGAGAGAAGCGGAAGGTGCCATGCTCTTTAAACAACCAGGTCTCACGTGAACTACCAAAGAGAAAACTCACTTATTACCACGGGAATGGCACTGGGCCATTTATGAGGGACTCGCCCCCATGATTCAAACACCTCCCACCAGATTTCACCTCCAACATTATATATATATATTTTTGAAATGAAGTCTCGCTCTTGTCACCCAGGCTGGAGTGCAGTTGTGTGATCTTGGATCATTGCCACCTCCGCCTCCCAGTTACAAGTGATTCTCTTGCCTTAGCCTCCTCAGTACCTGGGACTACAGGCACCTGCCACAATGCCTGGCTAATTTTTGTATTTTTAGTAGAGATCGGGTTTCACCATATTGGCTAGGCTGATCTCGAACTCCTGACCTCAGGTGATCTGCCAGCCTTGGCCTCCCAAAGTGCTGGGATTACAGGCGTGAGCCACCATGACCAGCCCACCTCTAACATTGGCGGTCACATTTCAACATGAGATTTGGAGGGGACAGACCTCCAAACCATATCATATGCTAGATCACATTTTGTTTACCCATACATCAGTTGGTGGACATTTGAGTTGTTTACATCTTTTGACTATTATGAGTAAGGCTGCTGTGAACCTTGGTGTATGAGCTTCTGTATGAAGGTATTTTTTAATGTATCATGAGTAGGTACCTAGGAGGGTGACTGGGTCATGTGGTAACTTTATGTTTCACTTTTGGAAAAATTGACAAAATGGCTGTACCATTTTACGTTCCCACCAGCGATGTATAAGAATTTTGACAAAATCCTTATACAGATCCTCTCAAACACTTGTTATTGTTTGTCTTTTTGATTACAGACAGTCCCCGACTTACAGTGATTTGACTTAATGACTTTGCGATGGTGCAAAAGCAACAGCTATGCAGTAGAAACATACTTCCAGAACCCGTGCAATCATTTCGTTTTTCACTTTCAGTATACTAGTCAATAAATTACATGGGCTATTCAACAATTTATTAGAAAATAGGCTTTGCATGAGATGATTTCGCCCAACTGTAGGTTAATGTAAGTGTTCTGAGCACATTTTAGGTAGACTAGGCTAAGCTATGATGTTTGGTGGGTTAGGTGTATTAAATGCATTTTTGACTTATTAAATTATTTTAAAATGTATTAAGTGCATTTTCCACTTATGATGGGTTTATTGGGATGCAACTCTATTGTAAGTTAAGGAGCATCTTTTCTTTTCTTTTTTTAAGAGCCAGGGTCCAGCTCTATTGCCCAGGCCGGAGTGCACTGGTGTAGTCATAGCTTGCTGTAATCTCAAACTCCTGAGCTCAAGTGATCCTCCCGCTTCAGCCTCCTGAGTAGCTGGGACTACAGGCATGCACCATTATGCCTGGCTAATTTTTATTTTTATTTATTTTTTATTTTTTGTAGAAATGAGGTCTCGATATATTGCCCAGGGTGGTCTCAAACTCCTGGCCTCAAGTGATCCTCCTGCCTCGGCCTTCCAAAGTGTTGGTATTACAGGCATGAGCCACCTTGCTCAGTGGACCTGAGGAGCATCTGTATAGCCAGACTAGTGGGTGTGAAGTGATATCTCATAGTGGTTTTGATTTGCATTTCCCTGGTGACTAATGATGTTGACCATCTCTTCCTGTGTTTGCCGGTCATTTGAATATCTTCTTTGGAGAAATATCTATTTGAGTCTTTTGCCCATTTTTAAATTTGAGGTTTTTTAAAATTTATTTTTTAGATGGAGTCTTGCTCTGTCGCCCAGCCTGGAGTTCAGTGGCGCGATCTTGGCTCACTGCAACCTCTGCCTCCTGGGTTCAAGCAATTCTCCTGCCTCAGCCTCCTGAGTAGCTGGGATTACAGGCGCACACCACCACACCCAGCTAATTTTTGTATTTTTAGTAGAGATGGGGTTTCATCATATTGGTCAGGCTGGTCTCGGACTCTTGACCTCAGGTGATCCACCCTCCTCGGCCTCCCAAAATGTTGGGATTACAGGCATGAGCCACCACGCCCAGCCTAAAACTGAGTTTTAAAATTGTAGAATTGAAAGAGTTCTTTATATATTCTAAATACTAGGCCTTGGTAAGATATATGACTCGCAAATATGTTCTCCCATTTTGTGGATTGCTCTTTCACTTTTGTGATGTTTGCCTTGAGAATACTCGCCAGTGGCACTTGTTGGCTGCAGGTTTACCCTGAGATAATTTGCCATGAACGATCTTGCTATTATTTATTTATTTATTCATTTTTTTAGCGGGAGTCTTGCTCTGTCGCCCAGGTTGGAGTGCAGTGTCGCAATCTCGGCTTACTGCAAGCTCCACCTCCCAGGTTCACGCCATTCTCCTGTGTCAGCCTCCCGAGTAGCTGGGACTACAGGTGCCCGCCACCACAGCCAGCTAATTTTTTTGTATTTTTAGTAGAGATGGGGTTTCACCGTGTTAGCCAGGATGGTCTTGATCTCCTGACCTTGTGATCCGCCCACCTCAGCCTCCCAAAGTGCTGGGATTACAGGCGTGAGCCACTGCGCCCGGCCACGATCTTGCTTTTATTATTATTTTTGCATTGCTCCAGTATAATTGACATTGGAAACAAAAGACATTATTCTATTTATAGCAGGCTGGTTTTAGCAGTGGTATTTCCATTTATAAATTATAGTCATTCTCAATCGCTGAAAATGTCAAATCCTAGAAAATGTAGCTTTCTTACATGTGATGTTAACCTCATTCTCGGACAGTTGTTGACTGAAGATTCATTTGATGAATCCGATTTTTTCTGATATAGACTCTTCTGATGATTCAGATGATTCTGATGTTAGTTCTGTTTAGAAATAACTCCAAGAACAGTTTTTACACTTTATTTTCACATTGAAAATCAGTCAGGTTTGCTTCAGCCTCAAAGAGCATGTTTACATAAATTTAAGTGAGCATTGGCAGTGAGCTGAGCTTTTGTTCTAAACGGGAAAATGGTTAATAATGTTCTTTGATGCACAAAAGTTTTTAATTTTGGTGAAGTCCAATTGATTATTTTTTCTTTTGTCGCTTTTGCTTGGGTGTAATTTCTAAGAAATCATTGCCTGATCCGAGGTCAGGAAGATTTACACCTATGTTTAGAGCGGTGTACATTTTTTTTGTTTTTTGAGATAGGGTCTCACTCTATCACCCAGGCTGGAGTGCAGTGGCGCAATCTTGGCTCACTGCAACCTCTGCCTCCTGAGTTCAAGTGATTCTCATGCCTCAACCTCCTGAGTAGCTGGGACCACAGTCGAGCGTCACCATGCCTGGCTAATTTTTTTTCTTTTTCTTTTTTTTTTTTTTTGAGATGGAGTTTCACTCTTGTTGCCCAGGCTGGAGTGCAATGGCATGATCTCGGCTCACCGCAACCTCCACCTCCTGGGTTCAAACGATTGTCCTGCCTCAGCCTCCTGAGTAGCTGGGATTTCAGGCATGCCCTACCATGCCTGGTTAATTTTGTATTTTTAGTAGAGATGGGGGTTTTTCCATGTTGGTCAGGCTGGTCTCGAACTCCTGACCTCAGGTGATCTGCCCACCTCAGCCTCCCAAAGTGCTGGGATTACAGGTGTGAGCCACCATGCCCAGCCTAATTTTTGTATTTTTAATAGAGATAGGGTTTCACCATGTTGGCCAGGCTGGTCTTGAACTCCTGACCTCAAGCGATCCACTCACCTCGGTCTCCCAAAGTGCTGGGATTACAGGTGTGAGCCACCGTGCCTGGCCAGCAGTGTATTTTTAAATACAAGTTTTTGACCACTACTCACAGGAAGAAAACATGTGTTGTTACCTAGCATTCCCATACGTGTATAAGTTTCATGAAATAATATATACTCTTTCTGTTTTCTATTCCGTTCTATCTCACTGGAAACAATGCCAGTCAAATCCCACTAAATTGAGCTTGTGACCCATTTATTGGCTGGGAATTGTAGTTTGAAAAATCACTGCTTAAGAGTTTACAAAGTACTCTTGTGTACCTGCCCTCATTTTCTCCTCAAGGCAGGCTTGTGAGGCAGATGATGCTGTGTCTTGTTATTATTTATTTATTTATTAATTATTATTATTATTTTTTTGAGACGGAGTCTCACTCTGTCACCCAGGCTGGAGGGCAGGGGCGCAACCTCGGCTCACTACAAGCTCTGCCTCCTGGGCTCATGCCATTCTCCTGCCTCAGCCTCCTGAGTAGCTGGGACTACAGGCCCCCGTCACCAGGCCCGGCTAATTTTTTTGTATTTTTAGTAGAGACGGGGTTTCACTGTGTTAGTCAGGATGGTCTCCATCTCCTGACCTCGTGATCCACCCGCCTCGGCCTCCCAAAGTGCTGGGATTACAGGTGTGAGCCACTGCGCCCGGCCGATGCTGTGTCTGTTTAACAGGTGGGAAAACAGGCTCAGAGTGTCTTCCGGTGGTGACATGGCAGAGCTGGCATTCTGACCTATGCCAATGCATTTTTCATCTTTGTCATCAGCTTCCCTGCAATGATTTCCACACATTAGCATGTTTAAGAATGTCCTGGGATGGCTTGTTAAAAATGCAGTTTTCCAACCTTCACTTGCAAAGATTCTGACTCTAGGTCTGAAGTGCGGTGCAGGAAATCCCATTTTTAAATTTTTTTTTTTTTAATTTAGACAGCATTTTGCTCTGTTGCCCAGGCTGGAGTGCAGTGGCTCGATCTTGGCTCACTGCAACCTCCGCCTCCTGGGCTCAAGCCATCCTTCCACCGCACCCTCCTAAGTAGCTGGGACTACAGGCACATGCCACCATGCCAGCTAATTTTTGTAGAGACAGGGTTTCACCATGTTGCCCAGGCTGGTCTTGAACTCCTGAGCTCAAGTGATCTACTCGCCTCAGCCTCCTAAAGTGCTGAGATTACAGGTGTGAGCCAGTGTGCCTGGCCTAGGAAACTGCATTTTTTAACAAGCACTTCCTTGAAAGCAGTGAGATGAGCTGTGAGTTTGTGGCAGGAGCACTGAACCAGGAGTCAGGAGACCTGGATCTCCACCTGCTGGCTCTGGGAGAGGCTTCCATGGATGTTCCCTGAGACTGAGCACATAGGACGCCAGCCTGGGGAGATGGCAGGAGACAAAGATGCAGCCAGTCCTGGAGCTCAGCGGCTCACACTCCAGTGAGCACATTTGGGAGGTGATGGGATTGCATTTTTTGAGGTTGCTGGTTGTGCCAGTGGGCTGAAGCCAAAAGGCAGTGACATTTTGCTTGCCTGAATAGAGTTTGTTCTTTTATTAAAGCATTGAGCCAACATATACAAATAGGGAGATTTCAAGTCATAATATGATTTCTGGCATCTCTTGAAGAGTCAGAAGATCTGGTGACTCTGAGTCTGTGTTGCTGCATGACCAGGAGAGCCTGGAGTTGGTCTGGGCCTGCCCCTGTTCCGTTCACCACAGTCCTTACCACTCCCTATTGTCTTCCCTGCCACCCACTCACTTACAGGCTGCTTTACCCTGTGGGCGTGTGAGAGTGGGTCCCTGGACTCCATGGTGTCCAGAGGCCTCCGTGCTCTGGCTCTGAGACCGTAGGTTTCCCCCAGCTGCACTTGACCCACGTTTGCACACTCCTCCATCCTCCCTCCATCCTCTTCCCACGCTTTCTCTGTTCCCTTCCCCTGGACTGTGGGCTTTTCTCTGAGACATAATCGTGGTGGTGTGAAAGACCATAGGCTCTGGGTTCCAGTGCCCACCCACCATTCCCTACTGAGTGGCCCTGGGCAAGTTAGGTAAACTCTCTGTTAAGTAACCTCAGCTTTCACCTCTGTAAAACAGGGGGAGCACTTCCCATCCACTCCTGATATTTCCGTCCTTGTAGAGGGGTCATCTGTTAACAAGGTTGGCCTGGGCCCAGCCCAATATTCCCCAGGGAGGAGGGGGTGACTGGCCTAACTGGTGCGCCTGGGACCAAGTCACTGCCTGTGCGGCGCAGCCCCTTCCTTCTCTTCTCTTTGGAGCTCTGCCCACCTGCGGAGACAAGCCTTCTCTCCACGCTCTTCTCTACCTCAAGTTTTACAGGGGCCAGCTCTGTCTCTGTGAGGGGAGGCTGGATTCTGGGGGCGAAGTCCAGCAGTCTGGGAGTGAGTCGTTTTGTCTTATTCTGGGGTTCAGTATTAGGAAACCGCAGACCTAAGATGTATTCTCCGAAATCACCTTCACCAATAGTCAAGTCTGAAATTCATCTCACTTGGTTCTGAACAGGGGCTGGGAAGACGGATACTGGGTCCACTCAGACACCCTCAAATAGTAGTTCCTTTGGTGGCTGTTGTGAGGGGCCATGCCTGGCAGATAGTTGCTCAATAAACAGCAATTGTTATTGTTAAAACTTTTGCTCTTCCTACTTAGTTACACATTGAGAAATAGGAAAGGGGGACCAGTGCAGGGAGGGGTGGAGTAGGGTGGGGACAAGAGGAGGTGGGTGTGTGTGGGGGCTGGGCTCAAAGGAATGTGAAGAAATAGATAAGAAGGAGGGTATAGCCTGGATAATGCTTCTCTTAAAAGCTGCCTTCCAGGGCCTTAGAAGTGTATGCAAATCACATGCAAATATCACCCATATTTATCAGCAGCCCTCCTTGGGACTTTGGCCTGGATGTGGCCCTGGGGGAAAATTTCGGTGGAGGTCACTGAATTCCTGAGAGTTTGCAGTGAGAACCAGGGAGAACAGTTGCCTCGGAATGGGTGTGGGGGAGGGTGGGAGGAAAGAGTGGTGAGGGCAGACATGGTGGGGGTAGGTGGGGTAGGGCTGGGATCTGGGGTGCGCATGGGGGCGGAGGCCAGTCCGGATGGACACAGGAGCCTATGGAGCGCGGAGACTGTGTGAAGGTGCAGGCGGTCGCCAGCAGCAAGGGGCACTCAGCAGCTCTGCATCCCTGGACCGGATCCCTCTCCCAGCCAGGCCCACTCCTTAGCCAGTCCGGAAGCTTGGAAAGACAGCGTGGGATCCTGAGCCAGCCCTGGTCCTGCCATCAGACAGACCTTGGTCATCCTCCAGCTGGGTGACCGTGAGCCAGTTACCAAGCCTCAGTTTCCTCTTCTGTAATACAGGTTAGTAACAGTCTCCCCCTCACAGAGCTCCTGTGAAGATGCGGGGAGCGAGGCATGGCCAGGGCCGGGGAGAGAAAGTGCTCGGTGAGTGTGAGTCTGGGGTCTTCAGGCTGGTTCCAGCTGCTCCTACCCTTCACAGCCCAGCTGGGAAATCTGTGCTTTACATGCTCTGTTTCATTTAATCCCAATAAGCTCTGGCTATGTAGCCACTATTATTACTCCCAGTTTACAGATGAGGATGCTGGAGTCCCATGAGGTAGAAGAGCCAGGACAGATCCAGCTTCACACTCAGACTTGGGCTGTTTCCTCCTGATGCTCTACAGCCTCCTCCCAAATGTTAGAGCTGGTGGGTCTCAGAGATGGGTAACTCTTCATTTAATACATGAAATAAAGCCCAGAGAGGTTGAGGGACTTGCCTAAGGTCACACAGCTAGTTAGGGGCAGAGCTGGAGCTTGACCAAGGGTCCTGACTGGCGGTCTTGCTCTCTTTCCTGCATAGCATACAAGACTCCCCTCCCAGGCAGCCCAGCCTGACCACTGTGGGGGCTCTGTTTCCCTTCTCTGTCTTGTGGCACTGACTGCCCGGGGTGGCGGCTGGGTGCCTCTGGGACTCCTTGGAGGTCCTCTTCTCTCAGCTGAGAGTCTGGGGGAGTGCTGCCTGCTAAGGGCTTTGGGGAACTTCCTGTCTTCTGCCCATCTCCTCCCCCCACGCTCCCTCCGCCTCTGCCTCTGCCTCTGCCTCTGCCTCTGCCTGGGTCTCTACCGCCCCTGCTCATCAGCTGTCCCTTCCCCTTTCCCACTCCAAGGCTGTCAGTGTTTGGGGGAGATTATGCAGTGTTGACATTGGAATATGAATTAGGCGAGAGCGGCAGCCAAATATTGGAATTAGGGAAGGCAGGAGCCCAGGCGGGGATCCAAGAGTGGCTGGAACATCTGTGTCTTGGCTGTTCCAGATGCCTGACCCTGCGCCCACCTGAAAACGACGGGTCCAGAGCCACAGACAAGCTCTGATGCAGCCGAGGCTTGGTCCTTGACTTGCCAGCTGAGACTACAACTAACAGTCCCACAGAACTTGGCCCCATCAGCTCGCTGTATTCCGAAGCCCAGGAAAAGGCAGATGCTTCTGCTGTGAGTTGATAGACAGAGGCAAGATGCTGCCCCAGGATGTATTCTTCATCTGATTGTCTGAAATCCCATCTTCAGTGCTCTGTTTCTACTGCTCAGGTCAGCATTTGCAAGAATGTGTTCCACAAAACCCAAGTTCTGCAGGCTGTTAAGAAGTTGTGTGTAAAAGGCGGTTCCATGGCCATGTACTTGGGAGAGATGTTGAACAGAGCTAAGCAGGACTTCCCAGGCAGGGCCTTGAGTAATTTAATAGGCACAGCGATTCATCAGAAGCGGGAGGGATAAAGTCTGGAGTATTTCCTAAGCTTGTTTGACATGTAACCCTGTTCTCATGGAGTATCTTTTTGGACCAGTGCGAACGGATCTAACTGTATTCTAGCAGCTGCTGGTACCTCTGTCCAGGCGCTGGCGTGAGATGGACACTTAATACATATGGATTGAGTCTGAATCTCTCAGAACCTGCTTCCTGTAAAATGGAATAGCAGCACCTGTCCTGAGTGTTTTTGTTTTAATTTTTGAAAGTCAAATGAGAGGCCTGTGTGTGGGAGTAGTTGCAAGCTGAATAGTTGCACATATTTCGGGAATGATTACGATCAGCCCTGTCTCTTCTTTTAACTAATCTGATAAATGTAGACATGCTGACAGTTTTGTGATAATACTCCCCCGCCTGGGGCTTTTCCATTTTCCTCTCCAGGAAGAGGGCCGTGTTTAGCATAGCATTCCTCAGTGTGAGTTCATGCCTTCATGGGCCTTATCACATGGGAGTGCTAGTGGCAAGCTCAAGGCCAGCTTGCTGAGTGGCAGGACAGAAAGGCAGTAGATTCCAGGGCTCTTGACTCCTGAGTCCAGCGCTGTGCTTGTCCCAGTGCTGCCATGGTGCCAGGTGTGGGACAGGACACTGGGGAGGCACGCACGTGACAGAGGCACTTCCTGGACCAGCTCGTGGTGGCACCTTGCCCACCACCAGACACCCCTCCCAGGGCCTGAGCACTGCCCCAAGCTCCCTGCAGGACAGCCATGCTCGAGTCTGGGACCAAGAGTGCTCTCTTTAAGGAGGCTGGGATCTCAGAGTGGGACTCTCAGCATCCAGATACCAAAGGGGGTCGTCCTCTTCCTCCCTCTTTTCTTCCTGCAGGGGTTTCTTGGGCCACAGCCTCACCTTTGCCCATCCCCCTCAGTTGGGAATTGTCTGAATTAAGAGTTAAAAAAGGTCAGATCTTGGAAGGATTGAGCCTCCTCTCCCAGGAGGCCCAGAGAAAACTTCAAGTCATAAACCTATTGTCCTGGAAACCCTCACTTCCCCTAGCTGTGCCTCGGTTTCCCCATCTGTAAGCTGAGGAACCTCATCTAGCTCTAGAAAGTAAGTCTATGGATTGAGAAACATCATAAACTCCTGCCATTTACATATGAAATACTTCTTGTAATTCCCTCTCCCCTCCGTCCACCCTCCTGTGGGGTCCTCCTCGTGTCACTCCTGTGTGATTACAGTAGCTTCCTAAGGTGTCTCCTGGACTCTAGTACTTCTCCTTCACGTCTGCCTGGAGAAATCTTTGTAGGTTCTGCTCTCCTCATGTCCTTTCCCTACTTTCAAACTTGGGATGGCTTCCTGCTGCTCCTGTGTAAGGTCTGTGTCACATCTCTTCACCTCTGCCACAGAGACCACTTGGGATTTTCTAGAGTACTGGAAGTTTTACTCTTCCTAGCCTTTGCTTTTGCCATTTCTTCAGCTAAAATGCCTTTCCTCCTTCTCCTGATGATGACATTTTCTGCAACCTGCAAGACCTAACTTCTTCCCACCCATCTTACTTCTCCTCTTCTCCCTTGATGCTCCTATTGTAAGTGCCTTTGTGCTTTTTTTTTTTTTTTTTTTTGAGACACAGTCTTGCTCTGTCATCTAGGCTGGAGTACAGTGGCACAATCAAGGCTCACTGCAACCTCCATCTCCTGAGTGTGAGAGATTCTCCTGCCTCAGCCTCCCGAGTAGCTGGGATTACAGGCACTGGCCACCATGCCCAGCTAATTTTTGTATTTTTAGTAGAGACGGGTTTTCACCATGTTGGCCAGGCTGGTCTCGAAATCCTGACCTCAAGTGATTCACCCGCCTTGACCTTCCAAAGTGCCGGGATTACAGGTATGAGCCACCGCGCCTGGCCTGTGCTGGTTTTTTTTTTTTTTTTTTTTTTGCATTGTATCATAACCAGTTAACGTACTTGATTTTCATCACTATAAATCCCATTGTATGACCAATCATCCCAAACATTTAGCATTTTCCTTAAGTTATAAAAGTAAACCAGGCGCGGTAGATCACTCCTGTAATCTCAGCACTTCGGGAGGCCAAGGCGGAGGATCGCTTGAAGCTAGGAGTTCAAGACTAGCCCTGGCAACATAGCGATAATCCGTCTCTACAAAAAATACAAAAACACTTTGGGAGGCCCAGGCGGGTGGATCACCTGAGGTTGGGAGTTCAAGACCAGCCTGGCCAACATGGCGATACCCTGTCTCTACTAAAAAATACAAAAATTAGCCAGGCGTGGTGGCGGGTACCTGTAATCCCAGCTACTCAGGAGGCTGAGGCACAAGAATTGCTTGAACCCGAAAGGCGGGGGTTGCAGTGAGCCGAGATAGTGCCACTGCACCCCAGCTTGGATGACAGAGTAATACTTCATTTCAAAAAAAGGAAAAAAAAACCCCCAAAAACAAAAAAACTAAACAAATACAAAAAATTAACTGGGCAGGTGGCACACACCTATAGTCCCAGCTACTCAGGAGGCTGAACTCAGGAGGCTGAGGGGAGGATTACTTGAGCCTGGAAGGTCAAGGCTGCAGTGAGCCGTGATGTGCCACTGCACTCCAGTTTGGGTGACAAAGCAAGAGCCCGTCTCTCTTGGGGGCGGGAGGGAAGCGCACTCTTGTAACATCTCCAAATGGTTGAGAAGTAAAGTGAAACGCCCCCCTTCTCTAACCCTATTGGTCAGTCCTGCGACTCCTGGGTAATGGCTGCTAATGGTTCCTTATGTGTTCTTCCGCCCGTACGCCTTTGCATTTTCAACGTGTATGCATGTACCAAAATTGATGTAACTGGCCTCCATTACGGGACATTTAGGTTGTTTTCCATTATCTACTGCTGTAAATAATGCTGCAAAGATCACCTTCAGATTCAAATATTTCTGCAGGCAGCGTCTTAGAAATGGGATTGCTGGGTCACAGAGAACATCCACTTAAAATTTTTAATGAACACTGCCAAACCGTCGTCAGGGAAGACTTCCAGCAAGTCTCGTACTGATGTGGAAATATCTGTTCTCCTCCTTTGAAAGTGGGTCTGGATCTTAATTTGTCGCTGTGGCCCTGGCATGTAGTAGGCTCAGTAAATGCTTGCTGAGTGACCCTACGGGTTATCAAGCCCTGGCTCTCTATTTTCTCAGAAAAAAAGCAGCCCTTCTGCCCCTAAAAAAAGTCTACAAAGTCAATCGTGAGACCAGACCTTGACCTGTTCCGTTTGGCGCTCTGGATTGCGGAGCATACCGAGGAGTCCTGGGTACTTTCTTTGTTAAGTGGGGTGTGTGTGGTTTTTGTTTTCAAAGCTGGCCTGGAGGCTCTGGGTTGCCATGGCAACTGATGAGCAGGGCCGCCTTTTCCCTTCCCTCCATCTTGGGAGCCCTGGTTGCCATAACAACTGATTGGTCCTCTCCTCTTCCTCCACCTCTGCCACAGGGCTCCAGCTTCCCTCTGGGGGCACCACTGTTCTTAGGTCTGGGGCAACCCTGATTTCACTTGACCCATGTACCTTGGGACCCTCTTGAGAGGAGATGTGAGCGAGGCCATTACTGGGGAGGGTGACGGCAGAAAACAGCATGGCCACTGGGAAGGGGAGAGGGCTCAGGTGGAGGAAGAGTGAGGTTCCCTGCTCCGACCTAGCTTGGGAGAATCAGTGTTGCCTGGGGACCAGAGGGGGAAGCAAGTTCCTCTGAGGTTCAGGGGTGGTTTTGGGGATCAGTGAGTTACAGGGACTGTGAGGTCTCAAGCATTCTTCCTCAACATTTCCTGTTGTAGATGGCAGAGCAGATGCAACGGCACCCCTGAGCTGCCCTCAGGGGGTCCTCAGCCTTGGAGGAGGCAGGAGACCTGGGCTATGGAGCCACTCACAGGCCCTACTGAGAACAACTTGGTGTCCATCACAGTCCTCTTCAGAATGCCCAGAATATGGGGATAAGAAGGTGAAACCGGCATGTTTATTAACACAATGGAATATTCTGTGGCCAAATCAAAGGAAGACGTTGAGGATTCTGGTGACACCTGGAAACGTACTGCTAAGGGAAAAAAGCAGGACCACAATGTTATGTGGATATTGACTGCGACTATATATAATGCCAGCGTGGACTTCTCAGAGATGGAATTTGGAGGAATGTAATACAGATGCAAATAGAGTTTTCCCCACATTGCCTTCTCCCGCGGTGTTTCTTCATCTCTGTCAACAGCCTTGCCACCTACTCTGTTGCCCAAACCAGAAACTTGATTCAAACTACACTTCTCCCTCTGCCCTCATGCCCCGTTCCTGTTAGTCACAAGTCCTGCTGGTTCCAGCTCTGAGACAGCTTTCAGAGTACTCCTCCTCCTGTTCCCACATTCACATCCCTAGGGGACTCTCTCCTCCCAGCGTGTCTGTTCCCCCGCATGCCCCCCACGCTCTGCTCCCCTGGCACCTCTGCCATGCTGCTGCCCCAGGGCAGATGTGGCCAAGGGGCTCCTCTCCTCCCACTCCTCGTTTGCTCCAGGATCAAGGACACACTTCTTGGCCCATTGAAGGCCCTTCCGGATCCACTTCCTTAGCCTAGGCTCTAGCTTCTCCCTGCTTGCAGCCATGCAGCAGGAGGCTCTCTTTATTCCTCTTTGCCTGTGAAGATAGCTGCCTCTGGCAGGAATACCCTTTGCTGCCTCATCTGCCTGGTCAACTCCTATCCCCCATTTCAGATTTTGCCCAAGACTTTCTAAGACAGTAGAAGAAAGGTTTCCACTCCTTTCCCCTCCTGAAAACTGTACAGAAACCACAGGAGAACAGGAATAGAAGCCTGAACTCCGTCTTTGGTGGAACATGGAGACCTCCCTACTCTTGAATCTCAATACGTGGAGGGGGAAGCTGCTGGAGGAGGATAAAGCGCTCAGCAGAGAGGAGAAACATCAAACCTCTGTACTTACCAGTGGGGAAGGCACTATAGAAATGAGCTGATTTTCTCTACAGAGACCCAGAAAGGGTCCAGGATCAGAGGCACCAGGTATCACAGGAAGTGGGGCAGGACCTGAGAATAGGGGTAGGGGGTAGTTTGAAAGTCTGTGTAAGGAGCAGTAGACTTCCAAGTCCCACTCCATCCTATGCAGCCAGGTGACTGTCCTCCTTACTCCCACGAGAGACCAGAGGTCCTGGTCTCAGAGATGCCAAGTGTGAAGAGAAGGGGTGAGGTGTCCTAATAAAGGCTCCCAGCCTCCTTCCCCACCCACCTCCAGGGTACCAGAATCAGGCTTATGCCTGCATCCTGCACTAACCCCATGCAAAGATTGAAGTGTGTTTTCACTGGAGGAATTAAACAAGCCCAAAGAAATGACTGACAGATGCTTATGCTCAGGGGTCTGTAGCAGATAAGCTGGTGGGAGCAACTGAGTGTCCAATTAACATGCCACACTCAGGCACTTCATACCTCCAACTGGCCCTGCAGTGGGGAACCATTAAATACCAACACACACCCAAAGATCACGGACACTTGAGGGACACTTTCTCTCAGTATTCTGAGGAAGATATGAACCAAGAGGAAATGGAGACTATGCAGGGAGCAGAATATAAGGTTGAAGAAACCATAACTGATATCCTTAGAGAGATACAAGAACATATTGCACCCATTAAAAAGTAACAGAGTGAAATAAAAAAGAAATAGAGAAAAAGAAAGAATCCTTAAAAGTAAAAATCCTGATGGTAAAAATTTTAAAAATTATCAAGAGTTGGAAGATAAAGTTGAAGAACTTCCTCTGTACATATAACAAAGAGAGACAAAGACATGAAGCAGAGAAGAGGCAGGAGAGAAAGTGTAAGCAATTAGGGATCATGCTGGGCGTGGTGACTCATGCTTATAATCCCAGTGCTTCAGGAGGCTGAGGTGGGAGGATTGCTTGAGGCCAGGAGTTTGGGACCAGCCTGGGCAACATAGTAGAACCACATTTCTACAGAAAATAAACAAATTAGTTGCATATGGTGCACCTGTAGTCGCAGCCACTAGGGGAGGCTGAGATAGGAGGATCACTTGAGCCCAGGAGGTTTTTTTTCTTCTGTTGTGCTGGGATTACAGGTGTGAGCCACCATGCCCGGCCGAGCCCAGGAGTTTGAGACTGCTGTTGAGCCCTGATCGTACCACTGTACTCCAGTCTGGGTGACAGAGCAAGACCTGTCTCTGAAAAAATTTATATATAATTAATGAATCAATCTAGGAGGTCCAACATTCAGCTAATAGGGGTCCCGGAAATGGAGAGAGGAAGGAATGAAATTGTCAAGGAAATAATACAAGAAAATTTCCCAGAATTAAAGGACATGTGTCCTAGATGGTAAGATCCACTGAGTATCCAACTCAGTCAGTGAAAAAAATATCCACATCCAGGCTCATCATTACAACCTTTCAGATGCAGAGATCAAGGTAGTTCTGTGAGGTTTCTGGAGACAGCTGGCTGGGACTTAGACGAGACAAGTGAGGCACTTGCCTTGTGGGTGGAATTTAAGGGGGCACCAAAAAACTCAGTGATCAAGATAAAAAAATTAATGCACTATTTAAAAAAGAGGCCGGGCGCAGTGGCTCACGCCTGTAATCCCAGCAGTTTGGGAGGCTAAGGCAGGCAGATCACTTGAGGTCAGGAGTTCAAGACCAACCCAGCCAACATGGAGAAACCCCATCTCTACTAAAAATACAAAAATTAGCTGGACATGGTGGTGCACACCTGTAATCCCAGCTACTTAGGAGGCTGAGGCAGGAGAATTGCTTGAACCTGGGAGTTGAAGGTTGCAGTGAGCCAAGATCGCACCACTGCATTCCAGCCTGGGTGACAGAGCAAGACTCTGTCTCAAAAAAAAAAAAAAAAAGAAAAGAAAAAGAAAGCAACCCATGATAAACAAACAGCAAAATTTTAAGTAAAGACATGATGGTCCGACAGGACTGGGATTTGGGCGATGTGAGTGAGGTCAAGCTGAATAAGCGTAGGTTTGGATCTCGTCTTTATTTGAAATTGACATTTCAATGGGTGAATTTTTTGGCACTCCCTTGCATGTTTGCATCTCAGATGGGTGCTTCACTCACTTCGTCCTAGTCCCAGCTCCGCACAGGAAACCTCTGGAGTGATGGCATCAGGCTGCTCAACAGTGACACTGGAAGTTTGAAGACAAGGAAGCAATGCCTTTCAAAATTCTGACTAAGACTGGCTCATGAGCGGTGGCTTATGCCTGTAATCCCAGCACTTCGGGAGGCTGAGGCGGGTGGATCACTTGAGGTCAGGCATTGGGGACCAGCCTGACCAACATAGTGAAACCCCATCTCTACTAAAAATACAACAATTAGCCGGCTGTGGTGGCACAGGCCTGTAGTCCCAGCTGCTTCGGAGGCTAAGGCAGGAGAATTTCTTGAACCCGGGAGGCCAAGATCACACCACTGCACTCCAGCCTGGGAGACAGTGAGACTTTGTCTCAAAATAAGCAAAAAACAGATCTGACTGAAGATGTTTTTCTAACTAGTATTCCACACCAACCCAGACTGTCAGTTAAACATGATGGGAGAAATAAAGAGCTTTCTAGACATATTGTGTCTTCAAATAACTTGCCTCCTATGTACCTTTCTTAGGGAACTGCTGAAGGATGTGTTTAACTTAAATCAGGGCTCCAAGAAAGAAGTTAGATCCAGAAACAAGGACTGCAACAGAGGAGGGAAGAGAGAAGGGAATTCCTTGGGTCATGGCTCCAGGGACACAAGGAGACAGCTATGCCTTGGACCAGAGAGCAAGCTGCCTAGATCAGCAGAAGTCAGAAGGCTCTAGTGGCTGGGGGAGTTTGTCCTCAGGAAGAAAACTCGGCCTAACAAATGATCTGACAGGTTTGGTGATGTGGAAAATTATATTGAGGCATGGAAAGATTTCATCAATTGTTTTCATCATCAACAACAACAACAAACCGTACTAAGTTGATGAAAAATGAGGTAATTGTTAACAGGAAGAACAAAAAGGAAAGGAAATAAGATCATAGTGTGCTACTTGGCCCAGGAATAAGATAATATTTGTGTATTTATAAAAGTGAAAATGTGGAATGTGGATTTTAAAAGATTGAGATATTATTTTGGGAGCATAAGGGGAGGAAAAGAGGGAATGGAAGAAAAATTTCTCTAAACACAACGAGGCTGAGATGACGAGCCAAGAGATTGAAGAATACACATGTTATTTAGTTTTATATATTTATTTATTTATTTAGAGACAGGGTTTCACTCTGTCACCCAGGCTGGGGTGCAGTCGCTTGATCTCAGCTCACTGACACCTCCACCTCCTGGGCTCAAGAAATCCTCCTGCCTTTGCTTCTCCAGTAGCTGGGACTACAGGCATGTGCCACTGCACCTGGCTAATTTTTGTATTTTTAGTAGAGATGGGGTTTCAACATGTTGCCCAGGCTGGTCTTGAACTCCTGGCTTCAAGTGATCTCACCAGCCTTGGCTGTCCAAAGTGCTGGCATTACAGGCATGAGCCACCGCACCTGGCTTAAAGAATACATGTATTATTTAGAGATGGGGATAGAAATAACAGCAGAGACAGCTTTGGGGAAACAAGGTGAAAGGATAGGAAACAGGAGACTTCCATTTTCAATTGTAAGCTTTTTGGGGCACTATTTGGTTTTTCAGATTTATAGGTAATACTTTGATGAAAATAAAAACAAATTTAGACAAATAGGTTTGGCTCATATTCTCTCCTCTATGAAGGAAGATGCCCCCCCACCACCCTGCTGTCCTGAGCCTTCTCTCTCTGTGACAACTTGAGCACAGGGCTTGTGTCCCCAGCACTGACACATGGCCCTATTCTTCATTTACTCAAAGACTAAGTGAGTGAATTTTTTTTTTAAAATAAAGTTTGTCAAGTTCAGGATAATTTAAAAAACAACAAAACCCAACTTTTGAAGAGGTCAAACTGGGAAAGTTATGCTGCACTCACATCAAGGGGCACTTGTCTTTTACTGGCTGTTACAGGTGATAATGACACTTATTTATTTATTTATTCATTTTTTTATTTTTGAGGGTCCAGTGTGTTTGGGTGAGGTTCCAGGCCGGATGGGAACACGGTGGGGTTAGAGGCAGATATACCTGGGCTCCAAGGTTATCTCTGCCACTTACGAACTGTGGGTTTGAGGCAACTTACCCTGAACCTGTGTTTCCTTATCTCCACTGTGGGGATAGTAACAGAAAAAATACTTCGTAGTCTTGTTCAGGATGAGAAAAATGTCGGTGAAGTGCCTAGCCCATAGTAGGTGCTGGTTAAACAGGATCATTTTCTTAAGCTGCAGTATATTCAGTGACAGCAGCTCTTCCCTTGACCCCACTTCCTGAATTCCTGTCCTTATGGAACTTTCTGGGAAGCTCTGGCCTTTGTCTCTGACACCACTGGGCCCTGGGCTCTGTGTGGACACACTGCATATTAGCACAGTGGCTCATGGCACCTACACCATTTCAGAGACATCCGAATAATTCCATTTTGGGATTTGTGCTGAGATGGTTTCAGTGGCTTTGCTTGGTTTCTAAACAAAAGTTATTTAGGTGGGAACAGATTCAACTTGAGGTTTTCGTGATTTTCACACGACCTTTAAATACCCCTGATTTGCAGTTTCCTTCTTTCTCTAATGAAAAACTGGATCGTCTTGTTAAAAAGAAACTTAATGTGATGCTGTTGGCCTGCAAATCTCCTAGCCTCCCTCTCTCCGTTTCATTGGCTCCCACCCTCTCCTGTCTCCCTTGGCTGCTCCACCCACCCTCTACCCCGGCAGTCCTCAGCTGGCCTCCATCCACTGCTCCCTCCGTGGGAACGGCTCGCTCAGAATTCACCAAGGCCTTCCCGGTAGCCACATCCAGAGATTTTGTGCAACTTCCTTCTTCAGGCTGAATTTAACCCCTCTTCTTGAAATGTTCTCGTTCTCTGGCTTTGGGACACAAAAGAAGCCTACTTACTTGTTCCCTAAAGTTCAGTCCTTGCTTTTTTTTTTTTTTTTTTTTTTTTTTTTTACGTTATTGCTTTATTCTTTACGCCTTTAATGATCACCTCTATGTGGATTATTTTCTTAGCTCTCTTCCCATTTCAAGTGTCTTCCTGGAGTCTTACTCTTGAGTCCTGATGGACTACTGGCCATTTTCCCTGAGGCATCTTGAAGGTACCTCACCTCTAAGACAGATCCAACCATCTGTCCTGGCCCTCTGCCTTTACTCCCTCCCTTAATCCATGGCACTTGAAACCCTGGAGTCTTCTTCCCTTCATTACCACCCTCCCTTCAGCATTTTTTTTTTTTGAGACAGCGTCTCGCTTTGTTGCCCAGGCTGGAGTGCAGTGGCGCGATCTCAGCTCACTGCAAGCTCTGCCTCCCAGGTTCACGTCATTCTCCTGCCTCAGCCTCCCCAGTACTCAGCCTCCCCAGTAGCTGGGACTACAGGCGCCTGCCACCACGCCTGGCTAATTTTTGTATTTTTAGTAGAGACGGGGTTTCACCTTGTTAGCCAGGATGGTCTCGATCTCCTGACCTCGTGATCCACCCACCTTGGCCTCCCAAAGTGCTAGGATTACAGGCGTGAGCCACTGTGCCCGGCCTCCCTTCAGCTTTTACATCATGAACCAGTCCACATCCTCTGATCTAATCAGAGTGGCCTCCGCACTGTCCCCAAACATGCAGTCACTCCTGTGTTATGCCTGGAATATCTGGGAGGGCACACTTTCACAGTCACATTTTTCAAAAAGAGAGCCTTTGTGTTAACCCATGTATATATTTGCTCAGAGACCAAGGATCGTGCAAAACATCCTTTGTCCCATCAGTCTCCCAAAGCCGGGCCACAGACTGTGTGTATGGCCTCATCGCCGTGCAGAGGACTTGTCCTTCTTCTTGGGGTCAACTTGACCAAAGGTGTGTGCAGGGGGAGATGGTACTTCTAGGTTCACAGTTCAGCCCTCTCCTCAGAGTCTTGGCTCCACCCTGCAGAGGAGACGTTAGAGCCTTCAGAATTTAAATTCTCCAGATTCTTAGAGCATGTCTAAAACAAATCAACTATTCTCTTGCTCCTTGATGCATTATTATGCTAATAAAGTCGCTGTCTTTTTACTTAATCTTGCCAAGGAGACTTTCTCCTCAAGGATGGGGAGGGGAGGCACATTCCATCCCGCCATGCATCTCATACTCTTCCCCACCTGTATCTTGGTTTATGCTGTTCTGGTCATCTATTTGGGATGTATACTTCCCTCCCATCGCTGTAATAACAATCTACCTATTCTCCAAGGCAGGGAGATCTTAACCACTTTTGTGCCATGGGCACCATTTAATGGTCTGATAAAGCCTATTAGGCCTGTCTTCCAAAAAATGATTTGAAAGATATAAAATACACAGGATTATAAAAGAAACTGAAAACAGTTACTAAAGTATTCAAAAAACCAAATTTATGATATAAGAATACTTTCCTTTATTAACATAAAAAAACACAATTTCTTTTCTCTTTTCCTTCCTTCCTTCCCTCCTTCCTTCCTTTCCCTTCCTTCCTTCCTTCCTTCCTCCCTCCCTCCCTCTCTCTCTCTTTCTCTCTTTCTCTCTCTCTCTCTTCCTTCCTTCCTTCCTTCCTTCCTTCCTTCCTTCCTTCCTTCCTTCCTTCCTTCCTTTCTTCCTTTCCTCTTTTTTTTTTTTTTCAGGGTCTCTCTCTGTCACCCAGGCTGGAGTCCAGTGGCACAATCTTGCCTAACTGCAGCCTCGAACTCTTGGGCTCAAGAGATACTCCCACCTCAGCCTCCCGAGTACCTGGAACCACAAGCATATGCCACCATATCTGGCTAAATTTTCTATTTTTTGTAGAGATAAGGTCTCGCCCAGGCTGGTCTCAAACTCCTGGGCTCAAGTGATCCACCTGCCTCTGCCTCCCAAAGTGCTGGGATTACAGGCATGAGCCACCATGCCTGGCCAAAAAGCCACTATAATTTCAAAGTACAGTAGTGATGAACATAAATTATATTTTGTTCCTCTCTCCAATATCTGCAACATTACGTGTGATAGCAAAGTATCTGTTACATCTACTTCTGTGGTTTGTAGCCTACATTTATAATGGAAGAAAATGTGAAGTTTCAGAGATCAGTGAATCTGAAGATGTAAAATTTTCCTCATCTAAATTCTTCTGTCCATGAATTCTATGAGTTCTTAATGGGAGGCCCCTGTCAAGGACATTAACTCCTCCTTCCTTAATTCAACCCTTCTTGACTACCACACTTCTGTTGGAGTTTTCCCTCATGCTAAACTCTTACAATAGTTATTTGCCTATTCATTCAACAAACATTGATCAAGATTGCTCATACCTGCGCAAGTCACTGTGCCAGATGTGGGGAGCCCACATCATGCTAAGCAAGAACCAATTTTACCAGTAGTGGCAAGAGACAGACCTATTCCCATCCAGACATAACCCTAAACATAGCGCAGAAAGCAGATGGGAGAGCTTTAAACAAAGGTCCGAAGTATCCCAGAGAAGCAGAAGTTAACATTTCAACTTGGCGAAGAGATGGAGGAGTGAAAGGTTCCATGAGGAAATTGGCATATGAGCTTGGCCTGGTAGAGGGAATAGGATATAAACAATTTTGACATAGTTTAATTAGATCTCCCTGGTATTTTTCCTTTTTCTGTCTTGCCACAAGTAAATACAAAGTTTCTAGCGGTGGAGATCGCATCTTTTTTTTTTCCTTAGATGGAGTTTCACTCTTGTCACCCAGGCTGGAGTGCAATGGCGTGATCTCGACTCACTGTAACCTCCGCTTCTTGGGTTCCAGCAATTCTCCTACCCCAGCCTCCCGAGTAGCTGGGATTACAGGCGGCCACCACCATGTGCAGCTAATTTTTGTATTTTTAGTAGAGACCGGGTTTTGCCATGTTGGCCAGGCTGGTCTCGAACTCCTGACATCAGGTGATCCACCCGCCTCCGACTCCCAAAGTACTGGGTTTACAGGTGTGAGCCACTGCACCAGGCCGAGATTGCATCTTAATATGCTTGTTGATTAATAGCATTTTTGTAGAATGTAAGTTTCTGTATTAGTTAGTTATTGCTGTGCAACAAACCACCCCCAAACCCATGGCTTTAAATGATAGCAAGTTCTTTCTCATGGGTGTGCTGACCTGGGCCAGGACTGGCTGTTGTTAATTGGACTCTGTGGTCACTGGCAGCTTGGCAAGAGGCTGGCTGGTCCAGGGTGGCCTTGGCTGGGATGACTTGGCTGTCCTCTTCTTTTTCAAGTTGTGTTTGCATCAAGTTTGCTGCTGTACCATTGGCCAAAGCAAGTCACAGGGCCAAGCACAGAGTCAGTGTCGGAGGACACTGCCCGAGGACAAGGGAAAAGGGAGGCATAAAAAAATGTGGCCATTCATAGAGTCAATCCATTATCATCTTCACAACTTAAATCTTTAGCCTTAAATCCTTGGTGGAATGGGACAGATCTAAATCAATAACAAAATGCATAAGTAAGATAGTTAAAGTACAGGGTGGCAATTTAGAAATTCAACTAGTGATGGGTCTTCTCCTGTGGCTATATCCTAAACGTTTGAAGAATGTTATCCACAGAGGTTGACTGGGTCATGCTTTTACTATTATTTTTTAACCGATGCAAACCCATTGAACTGTCTTTTCATGTTTGATGTTCCATCAGTTAAGCATCCCACATGATTTTTCATAGAGATATTTTCTTTCTCCCTGAGGACATCTGCAATAGTCCAGAACACACTTTTCCTGGTGCTTGACTCTAAGTTGCTATAAATATCAGACATTCTGTCAGCAGCTCAGGGTCACAGCTCAGGTTTCCTGAGCTAATATCGCTTGCCCCTATGCCTTGAGTTGTGTCAGTTAAAGGCAGTGGCTGGGCAGGCAAAGTGAAGTGCAAAATACAGGTGAGAAAATGTGTTTTCTGAGTAACTGGGCAAAACATATATGTGTGTGTGGGTAGGGGGCAAATTTATCCATAACGGCAGTGTTGAGCTTGGTGTGTGGGGTCACGCAGACCTGAGTGTGAATCCTGGTTTACCTTTTATGGGCCATGTGACCTCTGGCAGGTGGCTTAAATCTCTGAGCTCCAATTTCCCCTTATCTGTGAAATGGAAGGAACCCACATAGATTGACTTCTCAGTTTGTGGCGAGGATTACATGAACTACTATGCTTATAAGGTAAGTGCTCAATAAGTGTTCAGTGTTATTTCTTACAGAGGGTGAAATTATCTGAATGAAGTTACCAATAGTTGGAATACAGTTCTCTGTTAGTTCAGATAACAGAGCCTAAGAGGCTTGCCTTTTGACCTTTGTCTTGCTGCTAACTAGAGGACTGTATGAGCCTCAGTTCTCATCTATAGAGTAGAGTGATTCACATTGTCCTGCACTGAATTCACAGTCTTGTTTTGGCAATCAAATAGCATATTGCACAGGAAATTCCTTTGCAAAAATAATTTAAAATCTCCTTGAACACATACTGCACACATCTCACTAATATGTGGAATATAAAAAAAGTCAGATGCTTAGGAGCAGAGAGTAGAATGGTGGTTGCCAGGGGCTGGAGGATGGGGGATATGGGAACAGGTTGGTCTAAGGGTACAAAGTTCCAGATATGCAGAATAAGTTCTGGAGATCTAATGGTGACTACAATTAGCAATAGTGTATTGTGTATTTGAAATTTGCTGAGAGTAGATCTTAATTGTTCTCACCAAAAAAAAAAAAAAAAAAAAAAATTGACTTTGGGAGGCCCAGGTGGGCAGATCACTTGAACCCAGGAGTTTGAGACCAGCCTGGGCAATACAGCAAAACCCTGCCTCTACTGAAAATACAAAAAATTAGCCAGATGTGGTGGTATGTCCCTGTAGTCCCAGCTACTCGGGAGGCTGAGGCAAGAGGATTCCTTTAGCCCAGGAGGCGGAGGTTGCAGTGAGCTAAGATCACGTCATTGCATTCCAGCCTGGATGACACAGTGAGACCCTGTCTTGAAGGAAAAAAAAAAAAAAGGAACTATGTGAGGTGATGGATATGTTAGATAATCAGCTTGAGTGTGGTGAACATTTTGCAATATATACACATATCAAAAATCACATTGCATGCCTTAAATATATATAATTTTTGTCAATTACATCTCTATAAAGCTGGGGGAGAAAAAGAAGACCCAGAACTGGGCAACAGCACTCAATCCTGATCAGTCTGCACACCCAAGACCCCAGCATTTCTGGAAATTTTGTTCTTTTGTTTCTGGTTTGATTCTACTTCTTTTGAGTCCCAAGAAACTGCCTGACCAAATCCAGCCTCTGTACACAGTGGGTCTGGCTCACTTCGAGGTCTGTCATCTTTAGCCTGTAAGTCTCTGAACTCTCCAGAAGCCCCTCTTCGAGGCTTGTGATTCTTATTTGGAATATGCTCCACTCTAACACATTTGTCAGTGTTTTTCTTTTTGAGTGCACTTGTTTTTACCTCAAAAACTGAACTCGCTGGCACGGTGGTGAGCACTTTTAATCTCAGCTACTTGGGAGGCTGTGATTGAGGCAGGAGAATCCCTTAAGCCCAGGAGTTCGAGACCAGTCTGAGCAACGCAGCGAGATCCTGTCTGTAAAAAGATAAAAAATAATAAAAAAGACAGATGTGAATTGACATAAGACCTGTGGTTTGAATACTTGTTTTTTGGTTTAAGTATGTTATGATGGTCATATTTTCAGTTACATTTTACCCATAAAAACAATGTTTTAAATCCAGCAAAAATAGAGTCTTTGCCGCCGCGCCGGCGAGCGCCGCCCGGGAGGCAGCGGCTGGAGGAGCGGACGGGCCCCGCGGGGCCCGAGGGCAAGGAGCAGCCGCCTGCCTTGGCCTCCCAAAGTGCCGAGATTGCAGCCTCTGCCCGGCTGCCACCCCGTCTGGGAAGTGAGGAGTGTTTCTGCCTGGCCGCCCATCGTCTGGGATGTGAGGAGCCCCTCTGCCTGGCTGCCCAGTCTGGAAAGTGAGGAGCGTCTCCGCCCGGCCGCCATCCCATCTAGGAAGTGAGGAGCGCCTCTTCCCAGCCGCCATCACATCTAGGAAGTGAGGAGCGTCTCTGCCCGGCCGCCCATCGTCTGAGATGTGGGGAGCGCCTCTGCCCCGCTGCCCCATCTGGGATGTGAGGAGCGCCTCTGCCCGGCCGAGACCCCGTCTGGGAGGTGAGGAGCGTCTCTGCCCGGCCGCCCCGTCTGAGAAGTGAGGAGACCCTCTGTCTGGCAACCACCCCGTCTGAGAAGTGAGGAGCCCCTCCGCCCGGCAGCTGCCCCGTCTGAGAAGGGAGGAGCCTCTCCGCCCGGCAGCCACCCCATCTGGGAAGTGAGGAGCGTCTCCGCCCGGCAGCCACCCCGTCCGGCAGGGAGGTGGGGGGGGGGTCAGCCTCCCGCCCGGCCAGCCGCCCCATCCGGGAGGGAGGTGGGGGGGTCAGCCCCCCGCCTGGCCAGCCGTGCCGTCCGGGAGGGAGGTGGGGGGGTCAGCCCCCCGCCCGGCCAGCCGCCCCGTCCGGGAGGTGAGGGGCGCCTCTGCCCGGCCGCCCCTACTGGGAAGTGAGGAGCCCCTCTGCCCGGCCAGCCGCCCCGCCCGGGAGAGAGGTGGGGGTGTCAGCCCCCCGCCCGGCCAGCCGCCCCGTCCGGGAGGGAGGTGGTGGGGGTCAGCCCCCGCACCCGGCCAGCCGCCCCGTCCGGGAGGTGAGGGGCGCCTCTGCCCGGCCGCCCCTACTGGGAAGTGAGGAGCCCCTCTGCCCGGCCAGCCGCCCCGTCCGGGAGGGAGGTTGGGGGGTCAGCCCCCCGCCCGGCCAGCCGCCCCGTCCGGGAGGGAGGTGGGGGGGGTCAGCCCCCCTGCCCGGCCAGCCGCCCCGTCCGGGAGGTGAGGGGCGCCTCTGCCCGGCCGCCCCTACTGGGAAGTGAGGAGCCCCTCTGCCCGGCCACCACCCCGTCTGGGAGGTGTGCCCAACAGCTCATTGAGAACGGGCCAGGATGACAATGGCGGCTTTGTGGAATAGAAAGGCGGGAAAGGTGGGGAAAAGATTGAGAAATCGGATGGTTGCCGTGTCTGTGTAGAAAGAAGTAGACATGGGAGACTTTTCATTTTGTTCTGCACTAAGAAAAATTCCTCTGCCTTGGGTTCCTGTTGATCTGTGACCTTACCCCCAACCCTGTGCTCTCTGAAACATGTGCTGTGTCCACTCAGGGTTAAATGGATTAAGGGCGGTGCAAGATGTGCTTTGTTAAACAGATGCTTGAAGGCAGCATGCTCGTTAAGAGTCATCACCAATCCCTAATCTCAAGTAATCAGGGACACAAACACTGCGGAAGGCCGCAGGGTCCTCTGCCTAGGAAAACCAGAGACCTTTGTTCACTTGTTTATCTGCTGACCTTCCCTCCACTATTGTCCCATGACCCTGCCAAATCCCCCTCTGTGAGAAACACCCAAGAATTATCAATAAAAAAATAAATTAAAAAAAAAAATAAATAAATAAATCCAGCAAAAATAAAAATAAAAAATAAAATCCCCTTGAATACATTTGAGGTAATGTTGTAGTTTTCAGCTCCTCCCACGAGAGATTTTATGGAGTGCCTAACTGTGCTACCCGGGTGCTGCTCCTGTCGTTAGTGGTGGCACCCAGGAGGAATTAAAATTACAAGAGTGTTTCCTTCCAGATGTTGTTGCTACAGGCTCAAGGTGCTCTTTTAACTGGGACATCAGGCTTTCTTGAAATAGACAAGAATTCTAGAAACATGACATTGTGCCTGATTCATCGCTTCAACTTGCCACTGACTCATTCTCTCCTTGATAGGTTATTCAACAGTAACTTTAATTACATCATTTACTTATTGTTTTCTTCCTTGATTTATTCTCTTTCTACAATTCTTGTTTATCATCTCAGTGATTGGACCATCTCACCTCTGAGACTTGGGTAGAATTCTGTGGACTCTGGAAATAGACATGGAGGTTTTCATGTATCTCTGTTAATGTGTACAAACACCCCCAGGCTTGTACACTTGAAATACATCAGTAGGAAGGGTAGTTCTCAATTTGCTAGTGTTTCACACAGCTTGTCTTATTTAATGATCTCAGCTGCCCTATGAAGTAGATACCATCCTATTAAAAAATGCAGGAGCAGAGGCTCTGAGAGGGGACTGTAACTTACCCAAGATCATGTGGTAGATTGCAAAACTGGTTCCAAATCCCTACCCTTCCCTGTACGCACACCTTTTGCCATTCATCTGCAATGTCCTTTTCTGATTCTGGGCTCAGCAATATAACTTGCTCTGGCCAACAGGATAACAACAGCAAATGTGATGTAAGCAAAAGCTTGAGAAATACTTGTGCAACTAATCATGTTTGCCTTCTCTCTTGTACCTGTGCCATTGCCATGAGAACATGCCTGGGCTAGGATTAGAGACACTTGGAGCAGAGCTGAGTCATCCCAGCTGTCCCAGTTGAGGCCAGCCTAGGTCAGTCGATGGCAACCAAGCCCTAAGCATGTTAGTGAGCCCAGCCATGATCAGCACAACCACCTAGCCAACCATCCCAGACCTGTGATCAATAAAGCCTTACTATTCCATACCACCTAGGTTTTGTGATTATTTATTTCACAGAATTATTATGGCAGTATGTAACTGATAGAAGCGGTGTACAGGGAAGAGTATTTGTTAGTCCGTTTTCACACTGCTGATAAAGACATATGCGAGACTGAGCAATTTACAAAAGAAAGAGGTTTAATGGACTTACAGTTCCACGTGGCTGGGGAAGCCTCACAATTGTGGTGAAAGGTGAAAGTCACATCTCACATGGCAGCAGACAAGAGAAGAAGAGCTTGTGCAGGGAAACTCCCCTTTTAAAAACCATCAGATCTCATGATACTTATTCACTATCATCAGAATAGCCTGGGAAAGACCTGTCCCCATGATTCAGTTACTTCCCACCGTGTCACTCCCACAACAAGTGGGAATTCAAGATGAGATTTGGGTAGGGACACAGCAAAACCATATTAGAGCAGATCTCTGGAATTGGGCAGGCCAAGGTTTGAATCCCATCTGTTATTTGGAGTGTGTGTTTCTTTTTGAGACTAATCTCCTTACCCTTGAAATGAGGTAATATACTTCCCTCATAGGGTTGCTGGGAAGATTAAACACGAGGTGAAGTAAATAAAGCCCCAGGGACATAAGCAAAAAATAATGGCTTCTCACAGCAATGCTCCAGAACATACAACAAGGGAATACTGGGCCCAGTCCCAGGACTATCCAAGTGTGAAGCCAACACCTTTTCACATCAACTCCAAGGTAAGGATTAAGAACAGAATGGCCTGGTTCTAATCTTACCATGAAATGCTGCTCCCCTGAATCTTCCATTGCAGTATAGAGAGCAGGACAGGCCTTTAAAAAATTAATGTTGCTTAAATTTAGGAGCCTGAAAAAAAAGCCAAATCCAAGATTTTCCTTTGGACTTGTGGTTTTGCCAGATAGGTGGCAGTGATTTCGGGAAGGAGGGTTGCTTTTGTCCTGGGTATGGGTGTGTTTCAAAGTCCTCCGGGCACAGTTGGGAGCAGGGGCCAGCCTGGCTGCGTTTGCCCTGACTCTGTTGGTTGCCCCTCTGCATGCACATGCATTTTTGATGACAGATCATTCAGGAAATGTGAATGTTTCCCTGGGAGGCTTTGCTTTTTTCACCTGGCCTTCTTTTCTGGGCCTCCTGTGGGGCTGCCCTTTCCCTTCCTTTGAAGCCATTGTCTTCTTGACATGAAAAATGTACTCAGGTACGCTTATGGCTAATTATCTCAAGGGGGAAGAAAAAACAAAATGAACTCAAGGCTGAAATATAGAACCATTAACTCTGTAAACTCTGAAAAGTCATAAGACACTTTTTTAAAATTAAAAAAATACATATACATTTGAAATAGTTTCTTCTTAAACAGATAAACAGAATTAACTTGGGATGTTTCCTACACAATTTAGCTTCCTTCTCTCTCCCTCCACTCCCACCCCAGATAGCTCACTTCCCTTTATCATCTCTGATGCTGATGATGGGTGACAACAGTTAGCTGCACTGTACTCTGCCTCTAACTTATTTTATGACCTTGGATAAGTTACATGGCATTTCTGAGCTTCTGCTTCTCATAAGTAAGATGACATTGCTATTACATTTCTTTAAAACTTTTTTTAGTACTGTAAAACAATAATTTATTACCTCTTGCAGTTCCATGGGCTGACTGGACTCCACTGGGAGTTCTTGATGTCTCTCGTGTGGTTGTGTGAGATAGTGGCTGGGACTGGACTCATCTGAAGGCTTGACTGGGCTGGATGCCCAAGATAGCCCACTTTTAGACAGAGGTGGCTGGCAGTTGATGCTGACTGTCAGCTGGGGACTCAGCTGAGAGTGTTAACTGGAGTCCCTAGACGTGGCTTCTCCACATGGCTTGGGCTTCTCATGGAAGGGCACCTGGATTCTGAGAGAGAGCATCCCAAGAGACACAAGTGGAAATGATAAGGCTTCTTATGACGTAGACTGGAGGTACTGAGACATCACTTTTGCTACATTAGAAGGTTAGATGCTGACATTTTATGATTTCACAACTTGGATCCTCTGTCCTCTGATACTGAATCAGATAGTAGTTTATGGAGCTGAGCAGAGAGCCAGCTGGTCCTGGGCACAGAGGAGGCTGTGTTCCATGCTGAAGACAAGAACATATGGTGGACGTACCATCCTAACTATCTGGGAAGGGAGCTTCGTGGCTACATGGGAGTTATCATCTGCCAGTGCCGGCTGCATCCTGGCTGTGCCCACCTCTGGACTCTGAATCTCTGCACCTCAGTACCCCCAACCCCAACACGACTGTGATGTTAGGCATATATTAGGCATGTGAAGATGAGAAAGAGAAGATACAGCTCCCATGTTTATCTCCATGAGAAGATAAGCCACAGGGAGAGAGAAAGACTGTTGTGCACGAGAGGGAGTGTCAAATGCCAAATGGATGTCAGCAGTCGGGGTGTGCTAGAGGCACTCAGGGGAAGGGAGGCTGGGCATAGAGGGTCATGCTGGAGGAGGTGACTCTGGATCTGAATCTTGAAAGGTGAGTAGGAATTACTCAAGGAAGGAATGGGAAGGGCATTTCAGGGGAGAGATCCATGTGAGTGAAATATGAGGACTGGCAGGGAACAGCAACCCACGTGGGTAACCGCAGAGTGACAGGAGGTGAGAGGTGGTGGGAGATGGAGCTGGAGATGCAGGCAGGGCCCAGGGTCATGCAGGGCCTGGGAGGACAGGTTACAATATTCCCATTTTCCTAGACTAGGACCTAGAAGCTCGGGAAGATAAAGGGACTTGACTAAGGTCACATAACTTGTAAGTGACCAGTCAGGCTTCGAACCCAGGACTCTGTGACGCCTCAGTCTCACCCCCTTTGCATCATCGTGTAATGGCAGTTGCTGCTGCTGGTTTTCCCAGCTCCCTCTCCCATTTCTCTGAGGCTCCTGGCAGACAAAGGGTGTTGCTTTTCTGCACCATTTATTGTAGTGACTTCAATTAAACCATCTTGTGCTGGATCAGTGAGCAGCTCTAGGGAATCGATGAGCAGCACTGGCTACCAGGGAAGCAGAGTCTCCTCCCTTTGTTCCTGCCAATCCTAGGTCTGGGTTCCTGTCCCCAGGTCTAGGGAGGACTCAAGAGAGGAAATGGGGACCAGGGGGGCAGGTAGCAAATCATGAGACAAGGAAGCAAGTGTCTATTACCTTCCTGACATTGAGGGTGGGTGGCCAGCCCTTGGATGTTCATCTTTCCTGGCCCTGCCCACTGCTGCCCTTGCTCAGCTGCCTTCCTCTGGCTAATTGGGACCTGCAGCTGCAGCTCCAAGACAATGGGGCATCCCACCTGGCTGCCTTCGGTGCAGGCCCAGTGTGCAAGGAACCTGGGCCCCAAGGAAGAGGAGCTAAGGGCCCTGTCCTAACTTGCTACATGGCCTTTGGCAGATTGCCTCCACTCTCTGAGGCTTCTTCTGGGGAAAAACAACAGGGTGGAAATTGCAGTACATGATGCTGTTGTTCTCCACTTGTCGTCTTCAATTCATTGTCTCTCCTTCTTAGAATTGCTCTGTGCCTCAGAAGGCTGATCCCTGTGGAATGAATCAATGGGTTCCTGTGTCTATTGGCTCCAGTATGATTTGGCCACTGGGAGACACAGGCAGGAGGCTGGAAAGTGGGAGAGTATTTCTTCTCTGCTACCTCTCTGCTTTGATGCAGGGTTGGGCCAGTGCCATTCTGCCTGGCTATAGCTTCTTTCCAGCAGTCCTTCCCACTGCTCCAGGCCTCAGTGGGCTCCAGTAACCTTCTTTAGGCCCATGGGTGGTTTCCAGCATGATATGGTTTGGATCTGTGTCCCTGCCCAAATCTCATGTGGAATTGTAATCCCCATTGTTGGAGGTGGGGCCTGGTGGGAGGTAATTGGATCATGAGGGCAGTTTTAATGCTTAAGCACCATTCCCCTAGTGCTGTTCTCATGATAGGGTTCTCATGAGATCTGGTTGTTTAAAAGTGTGTAGCACCTCCACCCTCTCTCTCTTCCTCCTGCTCTGGCCATGTGAATGCCTGCTCTGGCTTTGCCTTCTGCCATGATTATAAGTTCCCTGAGGTCTCCCCAAAAGCAGATGCTGCCATGCTTCCTGTACAGCCTGTGGAACTGTGAGCCAATGAAACCTCTTTTCTTTTTTTTTGAGACACAGTCTCGCTCTGTGGCCCAGGCTGGAGTGCAGTGGCATGATCTCGGCTCGCTGCAACCTCCACTTCCCGGGTTCAAGTGATTCTCCCACCTCAGCCTCCTGAGGAGCTGGGATTACAGACACTCCCCACCATGCCTGGCTAATTTTTGTATTTTTAGTAGAGAGAGGGTTTCACCATGTTGGCCAGGCTGGTCTCGAACTCCTGACCTCAAGTGATCTGCCTGCCTCCGCCTCTCAAAGTGCTGGGATTACAGGCATGAGCCACCATACCCAGGGCCTCTTTTCTTTATAAATAACCGAGTCTCAGGTATTTATAGCAATGCGGCAACACACTAATACACAGCAGTTTGCAGTCTCTGGGTTTCTCAATATTCTTCTTGGTTTCTTTAATCTAGCCTTCTGTAAATAGTACCTCCTCAGTAAGGTCTCTTCAGTTGAACTATTTGAGCAGAGTTCTGTTTCCTGTTGGGACACTGATGTATTCTCTGAAGGCTCTTTCCAACTCTGAAGTCTTACACGTTCGTGAGGGGACGATGTAACGACCTGGCTGACTCTCAGGCACCGGAGCCTGGGTTATCCCGTGACAGTTTACAGGCTGAGTGATCCCAGCTCCTCGGTAGTTCTTTCTTCCCCTCCTTTGGTCCTCAACCTTCACAGCCTTTGCTCAGATTCCCATCATTTATTTCTTGTTTTAATCCGACTTTATTGAGGTATAAATTACAAATAGCAAACTACATCCATGAAAGTATACAGTTAGATGAATACCTATCTGTTAAAGCTTGAATGTTTGTGTCCCTCTAAATTCATGTTGAAACTTAATCCCCATTGTGGTGGTATTAACAGGTGGGGCCTTTTGGGAACTGATTAAGTCATGAGGGTTCTTCCCTTGGGAATGGGATTAATGCTCTTGTAAAAGAGGCTTCAGAGGCTGGGCGTGGTGGCTCACGCCTGCAATCTCAGCACTTTGGGAGGCTGAGGTGGGCGGATCACATGAGGTCAAGAGTTCAAGACCAGCTGGCCAACATGGTGAAACCCCGTCTCTACTCAAAATACAAAAATTAGCTGGGCATGGTGGCAGGCACCTGTAATCCTAGCTACTCAGGAGGCTGAGGCAGGAGAATCACTTGAACCTAGGACACGGAGGTTGCAGTGAGCCTAGATTGTGCCATTGCATTCCAGCCTCGGCAACACGAGCAAAACTCTGTCTCAAAAAAAGAGGCTTCAGAGAGCTGCCTGGCCCTTCTCATCCTTCTGCCATGTGAAGACATAGCGTGCATCCCCTCTGGAGGGTATAGGAACAAGGTGTCATCTTGGAAGGAGAGAGCAAGCCCTCACCAGACACCAAATCTACCGGCACCTTGACCTCCAGAACTGTGAGAAATACATTTCTATAATTTACAAATTATCTGGTCTGAAGTATTTTGTTTATAGCAGCATTTGTTTATAGCATTGTTTATAGCATTGTTATAGCAGCAGGAATGGACTAAGGCAGCATCGTTTTTATCCAGGACTATTCTAACAACTTTCTTTCTTTCTTTTTTTTTTTTTTTGAGACAGAATCTCACTTTGTCACCCAGGCTGGAGTGTAGTGGCGCGATCTCAGCTCACTGTGAGCTCCGCCTCCCGGGTTCACGCCATTCTCCTGTCTCAGCCTCCCGAGTAGCTGGGACTACAGGCACCCACCACCATGCCCAGCTAAATTTTTTGTATTTTTAGTAGAGACGGGGTTTCACTGTGTTAGTCAGGATGGTCTTGATCTCCTAACCTCGTGATCTGCCCGCCTTGGCCTCTCAAAGTGCTGGGATTACAGGCTTGAGCCACTGGGCCCGGCCTATTCTAAAAACTTTCTAACTGGGCTCCAGTCTTCATTCTTCTCCCTGCAAACTCATACTCCTCAGATCTGATCATGTTACTCTCTGATCATGTGCTGTCCTGCTCATAAATCCTGGCCAGTACTCCTTTGCCTTGAGGTGAAACCCTGGCCGGTGCTCCTTGACCTTGAGCATGACATAAGAAGCCTTCATGAGCTGGACTTGAGCTTTCCAGGCTCAGCTCTCCCTGATGTCCTATGGATGCTCCAGCTGTCATGAACTACTTGAGTCATACTCTCTCCAAGCTCTGACTTTGTATGAACTGTTCCCAGCCCTAACGTGCTCTGCAACCTCACACCTCTGACCATCAGCTTCCCTGTGTGTCTCACTAATTCCTCTTTGTCCTTGGCCATGACGAGTCTCTCTTCTGTGCTTCCAAAGTACATTGCAGGTGCTTCTCTTGTTACACTTATCCTGAACCATAAACAATGCCTGTTTCTCTTACTAGAGTGTGAGCCACTTGAGGTTAGAGTGTGTGTCTCATATCTGCACCCCTAGCTACTAACACTGTATATGGTGCATGATTCATTTTTCATCCATCCATTCAACAAATATTTGATTGTCTACTAGAGGCCAAGCACTCTTCCAGCATGGGGCTAAGGAACTGTACAAGACAGGTGTACTAGTCATTCTGCTGTTGTATCTCTGCTCCAAATCCCACCTTTTTTTTTTTTTTTTTTTGAGTTGGAGTCTCACTCTGTTGCCCAGGCTGGAGAGCAGTGGCACAGTCTCAGCTCACTGCAACCTCCACATCCTGGATTCAAGTGATTCTCCTGCCTCAGCCTCCCAAGTAGCTGAGATTGCAGGTGTCCACCACCACGCCCGACTAATTTTTGTGTTTTTAGTAGATTTTTACTACTCTCTTTTTATTGGTTTGTTGTCTATCTTCCCTACCTGGAATTTAAGGTCCACAAGCCCATGAAATTTCATCATGTTGGCCAGGCTGGTCTTGAACTCCTGATCTCAAGTGATCTGCCTGCCTTGGCCTCCCAAAGCGCTGGGATTACATGTGTGAGCCACCGCGCCTGGCTCAAATCCCACCTTTTAATGCTCTCTTTGTGATGCTGGGGCTGGTATATCCTTTGACATGGGACTTCCGGTTTTCATTGGCGGTGATACTAGTTGGACACTGGAAGGCAGGCAGAGGAAGCAGGAAACTGATCTTTCCTTTATGCTTCCTCTATGCTTGCCAGGGTTGCCCCAGCAATGGCCCTTCTTCCTCGTGGCAGAAGCTGGCTCTAGTTTCTAGCTCCTTTCAACGCTCCCAGAACCAGCCTCCCTATGCCACCTTAGAGGTGAGTGGCAGCTGGGTGGTGCCCCCTTGGAGGACTGGCTCCTACCTCTGTGGGTTCTTCCTCACAGCACATAGATTCTTTTTTGCTTGTTTGTTTGTTTTTGAGATGGAGTCTCTGTTGCCCAGGCTGGAGTGCAGTGGCACAATCTTGGCTCACTGCAACCTCTGCCTCTGGGTTAAAGTGAGTCTCCTGCCTCAGCCTCCCGAGTAGCTGGGATTATAGGCACCCACCACCACACTCAGCTAATTTTTGTATTTTTAGTAGAGATGGGTTTTTACCATGTTGGTTAGGCTGGTCTTGAACTCCTGACCTCAAGCAATCCTCCCGCCTCAGCCTCCTAAAGTGCTGGGATTACAGGTGTGAGCCACTGTGCCCGGCCCCAGTACATAGATTCTGACAACACACACTACTTCTTGTGGTTATTACCTCTGTCTTACTTCAGTGTTCGTGTTTAGATTTTTCCTCTCCCTCTAATATGTTTTATTGAAAGTAACTTCTTTTATTAAATGACACCTCTGAAATATGTAGTGCAGTTCCTGTTCTCCTGGCTGGACCCTGACTGATGCCATGGGGAAAGCCCTCGGGCTCGTGGACCTTAAATTCCAGGTGAGGAAGGTAGACAACAAACCAATAAAAGAAGGGTAGTAAAAAATGTTACAATGAAAAATTAGACAGGGTAATGGATGGAGCCTGGGCTACTTTAGATTAGTTGGGGAAAGTCTGTCCAAGAAGGTGACATTTAAGCAGAATTGAATTTCCACCCATGTAAAGAGCTGGGGAAAGATGCCCCAGGGACAGAGACCAGTCAGTGCAAAGGCCTTATGATTTGAATGGGCTTGGATTCAAGGATCAGAAGGAGCGCTGGCATGGGCAGAGTGGGGTGAGGGATGGGAGCTGCAGAGGAGGGTGACTGAAAGGCAGGCAGGGGCTAGATCACATGGGCCTCCTTTGCCAAGGATTAGTTTCTCTTTTTTGTTTTTTTTAGAAATTCTGAATGTGTTGAAAAGGCTTTAGAGGGATTTAAAATATAGGAAATAACAAGGTCTGACTTAAATTTACAAAAGATCTCTCTAGCAGCTGATGGGCGACAGTCTATAGGGAGCAAGAGCAGAAGATCTATTCTCCTCAGGGCAGACAATAGGCACCTTTCAAGGACGAGGCAAGTAAGGCCCAGAGAGCTGACAAGATCTGTCCTAGCTCACTCCATTTTGTACTTTTGGTTCCCAGACCAGTGGCCCTTTGTGGCTACACATTCTCTAACTGAGGCACAACTGACCAGGCTCCAGGTGAAGCTTCTCGGCCTGGTATGCAGAGAAGACGAAGCCCTTGGGGCAGCCCAGCACCCACCCTTGACAATACTCCTGCTTCATTACAGGTCCTGTTGTGCCCAACTCATGATTTATCCAGGTCACACCAGTCTGGTCTGTCACAGTAAGAGGTGGGTGAGCCTTGAAAGAAAACAAGGCTCCGTGGGGGTTTCTGTAGATGTTGCTGTGAATTCATAAGTCCCAAAATTTGCATTATTCTCCTTTTTTCTTCCCCAACATGTAGTCCATCACCAAATCCTTCTGCCTTTCCAAACATTTGCTGACTCTGGCCCCTTTTCTTCAGGGCCACCAGGAAACACACCTTCAGGAAGCACCTTTTCTGTTCTATCCCAAAGGGCACCATCACATACACTATAATATGAATCATGACCCCCGGAGTTGTGTGGAGTTTCTGCATCTCTCCCTCCCCACTGTGGCTACCCTCATCCAGCAACCATCCTGTCTCTCACCGGTATTACCGCAGCTGAGACCCAGGTCTTAAGGAAGCTGAGACCCAGGCCAGCAGGGGCCTCACAGGTAGAATGAAGGTGATGCTGGTGGGATTTGGGGCTTACCTTGAATAGGCAGTAGGGACATTCTGAGTAGAAGGGAGGGGTCACTTTGTAAGTAGAGGTAGGAGAAAGAGAAGAATCTTTTTATATGCTTCAGGCAACAGGTTTTTGCTTTATTGAAATAACCCTTCCTCCTGCAAATTTTGGGGATGGGGGAAATGGCTGGATGGGTCCTGGGAGTGCTGCTGAGGTGATCTCAGGTCAGAAATTTTTCTCCACAGCTTGGAAAAAGAGGAGGGTGTAAGACTCTGGATGAAGCTGAGAGATCCTTCCATGCTTGGCTGAGAGACTACACAGACATGAGCTTCAGGAGACTCCAAAGCCTCGGATCCCCTTCTAAACTAGCACTGAATTCTGATTGGCTGTCTTTGCCTGCCTCAGTTTGTTCCTTTTACTGATTGGCTAGGTTCTTCTGCCCATGGCAGAGCCCTGCTCCAGCCACCGGATCCTCCCACCTGCCACAGTGTCACCTGGGATTGGCTGGGCTCTGAAAGGCCAGGCTGGCTTGACTCTTGCCATCATCAGATTCTTCCTCATTAAACAAATGAATCACAATCCTAATTAATTTGAGCAACAGAATTTATGTAACTACTCCCAGCAGGATGTCTGCTCTCAGTCAGCAGAGAGATTACTTCCTCTCTCTGGGAAATTCCAGCCTTGCTGGTCAATAAGCCTTAATGATGACTGAAATCTCCCATCTGTCTCTGCTCAGGGCAGGTAACCCCTACTAAGCAGACACCCAGTTGGCTCGAGGCAGTACCCCGGGCACCGGCAGGACAAGGACAACGATCTCCCAGCCTAGATGTGTCCTGAGCCACATGGAGCACACAGTAGGTGTTTACTTAAGGACAGGGGCTGCCCCTTCCAGGGAAGTTCTGAACCACTTAAAACCCACAGGAAGTGTTCAATGTCTACTTATGGAATAAATGAAAGGGAGGATGTGTCACTCAGATACTTATAAAATGGTCTCAAGATCCTAAACTCCAAGCAAGCTTCTCCAGCTCTTTCCAGCCTTTGCTCCCCCTATTTCCCATGACCATAACCCAATTCTGTCTTTTTCCTATTTTGAACTTTCCAGACTCAGAAATTTGGCTCTTCATGTTCCCTGCCCTTGAACCGTCCCAGCCCTCTCTCCAAAACAGGCTTCATGCTGGCTGCATGGGAGGGAGGGGTAGCAAAGTGGAAAGTGTTACAGAATTAGTGCTAATTCTGGCTTTGTCACTTACTCATTGTACTTCACCTCTCTGTTCTTAACTTTTCTCTCATACATAAACCACACGGGGTTCTTGGGAAGATTAAATAAGAAAACATGGTGAAAATGTATTGCACAGTACTTGACTCATTTAATTGGTGACAGACAGTGTTTTAGGTAATGGAGATACAGTGGTGCTCAAGGCAGGCAAGATTCCTGCTCCCAAAGAATTTAATTTCCAGGAGACAAGAAGCAAGCTAGCAAATGTATAAGATAATAGTTAGGGAACAGTACTCAGCAAAAATAAAAAATGTATGGAGAGGGACTGAGGGGAGTGAGGAACTCTTTGAGGAGGTGCCACTCTGAGACCCAAATGACAAGAAGGAATTAACCACATGACATTCTAGAAAGAGGGAAAAGAGTTGCTGTTAAGAAGATGTGGGTGTGTTAAAAAAAAATTGCAAAGTCCCTTAGGTACGATTGAGCTGCTAATGATCAATCTGAGGCTTCTGCTCTGTGTCTTATAGGTAAACGGGGTAAGGTTTGGTAGGACTGAAAAATTCATCCAGCCACCTATCTAGGGGGTGTGAGGGTCAAGATGTGGACCCAGGTCTTCTGCCCTTAAGAGCAGAGTGCTTGTCACTACAGCACAAAGAAGGTGCAAGAGAAAGGAAAAGTGAGTGGGAGGCGGTGAGGGAGGAACAGACTGCCTTGTCCTCCACCAGATCTAAATCTGTCTCCTCCTGATGGTTGGCAGGATTACAGGATCTGACTCCCATTTGGGCCTTCCACCTCCGCTGGCCTAAGCAGTCAAGTGTCAGAGAGCACTGGACCTAACAGCTCCCTCACCAGAGCAGCTGTGATTCCTTCTTCATTTCCAGCAGGGAAGACCCAACAACTTTTATAATATGGGATTTCTTTTATTCTCATGATAATAATGTTCATTGTGGAAAATAAAAAAAAATGATAAAATAAAAATCAGCCAGAATTCCAACTTCTGGAGATTTTGGTGTCTTTCTGCAAAGTTCCTATGCACATAGATACTTTATAAAATTATGAACATACTGTACATACAGTTTTGGAATATGCCTTTTTCCTTCTGTCATGAAAAAGTCTTCAAATGCCTTTTAACAGCTACACAATAGTTCACTACATGAACCAACTCAAATGTAACTATTTTTGGCCTTTTGTTATAAATAACACAAGAACCCTCAGTCTTTGTTACATAATGTCCTAACAGAGTAGGGGAAATGCTCCCCAATCCGGTGCAATGTCCTGTGCCCAGGGAAACCAATTTTTTAAAATTTTTATTTTAAGACGGAGTTTCACTCTTGTCGCCCAGGCTGGAGTGCAGTGGCGCAATCTCAGCTTACTGCAACCTCCGCCTCCTGGGTTCAAGCGAGTCTCCTGCCTCAGCCTCCCGGGTAGCTGGGATGTAATTTGATGCTACATTCTGAAACAATACACATATTTTAGACGCATGAATATTTTTTAACAATATTTTTATTAAATGATAAATTGCCAGGGAGGCAAGGGGGCCAGGATCAAGCCCTGGTCTCAGTATGCCAGAGTCTAAGGTGACTATGTTTGGTTTCTGCAGGGGCCTGCCATGGAGGCAGGCATGGGAGGGAGGAGTCAGTGGTTCTAATCATTGGAGGGTGTTGGGGGTGGAGTCAGGGTAACCCATCTGTAGTAGGCCTGGAGAAAAAAACCTGGCAGCTGGGGCGTGACTGGGAAAGCACTTGGGGACCTGGGTGGGGGCCAACATTCATTTGCACTGCGGCTGGGAGGGTGGTCTGCCTTCTGTGGGTGGTGCTCAGGTTAAAGCTCCTCCCTGGGACCACTACCGTCACCATATCTCTAGTTTCCTGCTTGGCCTGGAAAAAAGAAATCAAACCAGAGAGAGAGAAGGGCACAGGAAAAGAGAAAAAGAGAACAGTGTGAAAGTGAGAAAAAAGAGACAGAAGGTAAAAGAAGTCAGTGCAGGGAGGCAGGTGCTTTGACAAGTGGAATCTTTTTGGTGGATATTTAAGCAGCAAGAGACACTTTTGGTCCTGGACAAGCTTATTGCACATCCACAGTTGATGAGCTCTCAAGGGCCAATGACAAGTATTCAGATACCCAGTGGGTCAGGGAAATGGCATTTGCCAACTCTACTGACTACAGACCCTGACTCTAAACTGATTTGGTGCCCTCTTTCTGCAAATCAATTTCTCAAACTTTCTGGTAGCTGGTTATTTCTCAGTGGAGCAGACGATGAACTAGTGCTAGGGAACAGGTCTTCTTTCAGGCCCCCGGAAATTCTCAGGCGGGAGTGAAAAGTGGAAAAAATTTCGCTGGCCTGGGCTAGAGTCAGGAGGTGGGAGGAGGGAAGGGCTGGGGAGAAAGAATATGGGGAAAAGGAAAGGAGAGAGGAGGAGGCGTGGGTATGAGTGAAAGAGTTCCGCCCTCCTTACCCATGCTCACCTCTTGCTGCCAAACAATTATACTGTCTTCTTTTCAGGCTGCAGGAAATGGTGTTCTGGTATTCATTGGAAAAGCCCAACAGTCATTGTCAGCTTCTGAGGCATATGAATGGGGTACAGGGGGGAGGCCCTGGTGTTAGTTGGGAAAACCGAGGGCAGCAAATGCAGGGGCCTCACTCTTACTATGGGAACACATCTCCGTTCAACTTGGTGAGAAGAGAATCAAAGTTTCCAAAGGACCTTTTATCAGGAAACTACAGGAAAGAATCAAAACAACCAGTAAGTGGGGTTAAAGGGCATTCTTCAGTCTCAGTAGCTTTTTCCTCTCCGCCTAACCCTGTGTGAGTGGACAGTGGACCAAAACGCTTCCTCTATTATTATTATTTTTTTAAGACAGGGTCTCACTGTGTCGCCCAGGCTGGAGTGCAGTGGTGCAATCTCGGCTCACTGCAGCTCCACCTCCCAGGTTCAAGTGATTCTCATGCCTCAGCCTCCCAAGTAGCCAAGTAGCTGGGATTACAGGTGCCTGCTATGACGCCTGACTAATTTTTGTATTTTTAGTAGAGATGGGGTCTCGTCATATTGGCCAGGCTGGTCTCGAACTCCTGTCCTCAAGTGATCTGCCCGCCTCGGCCTCCCAAAGTGCTGAAATTACAGGCATGAGCCTCCACGCTCGGCCATCCTCTATCTTTTGAGTTCACACTCCGAGGCCCTTCTGGTAAGCAACCACTTCCCCTCACCCTCCAAGCTCTCCCTTTGGCCGAAGGGCATCTCTCCTCCCTTCCTTTTGAGCATCCTCCTGGCTCTGGATCCTGGAAGTGCTTCTCTACTCTGGTGCTTTCCCTGACGTTCACAATTAACTAGCCCGTGACGCAGGGCGTCTTCCAAAATATCCAAAAGCAAAGGAGTCAACAGATCATGGGGAATCAACCCTTTCTTTATGAAAAGGCAACTGAGCACCAGGATGAGGAAGAGACTCGCCCAGGGTCACAGAGTGAGGGAATGATAGGCATGGGGGCAGAATACAGCCAGTGCAGCCTACCTAACACTACTACTATTAATAGAACCCATTAGTAGCTGCTAAGCCTTTTCCGCTTCCCCGTCCAAGGCTCTAACCTGCGTGTGGGTGTAGGCTGACGCTACCGTCCCCTCCCCATTCCCCCTGCCTGTGATGCCCAGGCCCTAGCGGTGAGACCAGCAGGTGTGGGCATCAGGAACTTCTCCATTGGCTCAAATAGCTGGGAGCGATTGGCCTGTCCTCCAACCTCCGTTTGTGTCAGGGGGTGCTGCTCATTGGCCTAGCAGAAGTGATTGACAGGTCAGTAGCCCAGTGAATGATGAGCCTTGGAAGCGTGATGGCAGTTACCAGTCAATTCTCGCTTTGCGAGATCCTGGGGTAACGGTTTTATTCTTTTCCGAAGTAGATTCAGCCATTTTTCACACTCAAAATCCAGGGTCTTCTCAGTAAAGGGTGTAAAGAAATTTCCAAAGAAGGAATGCGTTTGGGGCTCTAAAAGTACAAACGAACCCTTCAGGAGAAATGAGAGTGTCATATTGAATGAATCATTTTATAAAGGGGGTTTTGCTTTGCTAAACAGTTGGTGGGCAAGTGAGTGGGCAGGAGGGAGGGGAAAGGTGGCCGGGAATGGGGACAGAGGAGTCACGCAGCAGAAGGCTGGAGTCAAAAATGCTTATTGCAGCTTTTGTAACCTGTGTGAAATGCCGTGGCCATTCTTGGGGTCTGGATAGGTTCTGGGACCTGGGGGAAAGGATGGGGTCACTTCAGGGGACTCTTAAGGTCCAGGAATCGGGGGCTAACTGGCAGTGGGGTGATGAGGCAGTGGTTGTGGTAAGAGCTGGCTTGGATGGTGAAAAGGGTAGCCTGGACCATGAGACAATTCCTGAGAGTAGCTAGTGATGGTCCGAGCATAGAGATGGGGTGGCCTATCCTTGAAGGGTCTAGTCACATAAGATGGGGCCTCTGGAAGAATGACAGTGGATTACCCCATAACTGGTTAGAAGATGGAGTTGGAGATAAAGAGAGATGAGACAGGGAGTTGAGAGATGGAAAGTTTGACAAAGGAAAGAGAGAGTGCCACAGGGACTGAGAGCTGGAGTCCCAGAAAAGCTGAGCAAACCACGCTTGGTACATAGTTGTCACTCAGTAAGTGCTAGCTATTATTATTGCTCCCTTTGGAAGGGTAGGGGAGGGGTCGTTCAAGTCTAGTAGTTCAAAGGCAGTTGGAGGAAGTGAGTGGAGAAGTAAAAGAGTGCCAGGAAAATAGTCCATTCTACTTGTCCGCTTCTCTCCCCCCGTGATTATGAGAGCTGCAGAAACCACTCCTCCATTGGGTGAATGAGAGGGAAGAATTGAACTAAAGAGAGAGGGTGCTGGTATGTTCTGCAGCTGGAAACCCAAAGGATGGGAAGTAGGCATGGGGAGAGGCTGCCCTTCCAAGTGTCTTCAATAGAGCCTGTTAGAAGTGAGGTGAAAGAGAGGGGAACAGGTGAGAAGTAGAATGGGTTGTGGCATGGTTAGGCCCTGGGTGAACCATGTATGATATACATAACAGTTGTCATGATTGCTGGGGTGGGGTCATGGGGAGGAGCCCCCCTAGTTGTCTCTCCTAAGAAAAGGGAATGGTGGTGAGATTCAAGACTCCATTGGAAATTCCCAACAATCATTGTCACAAATGTCAACCGACTCAGGCACCACAAATTTCTGAGGGAAGAGAGGAAAAGACTCTTCTAAATTTTCTATTTGGCAAGCAGGGTGTGTATCAGCTGAGGCTCCTAAACAGAGAGTGCATAGTACAGTGCGTCAAGGTTCTGAACAGAAAAAATGAAACTCCTGATGTCAATACTCCATTTCCCTTGGCCTTCCTACCCTCACTAATGTGTGCTCTCTTTTTAGCAAGTCATCGAATGATTGGCATTTGTTGGGAGGGGTGCAGACTGGGCAGCTCTGAGGTAGCTAAGAGAAGGTGATGTTGAAGGAAGAGCAAAGAGTGCTTTTGAGACCCCAAATTCCACTTAAATATGTATCTGTAGGGGAACCAACAAGCTCTCTTTGAGCAACAGTTGAAATGCAAAGCCACCTGGACTAGCCTACTACCTAAGGAACTCTCTTCTATAATGTCTGGGGGAAAAGCAAGTAGGGAGAGGGGAAGATAAGGTAGGCCAGAGAGAGGAGAGACACAGAGAAGAAGGCAGAGACAAGATGGAGAGATTAGTGACAGCAGAGGCTGAGGCTGGACTGAGAGGGTTACGAGAGACAGCCCTGGAATGACCCAGTTAACTTACCTGCCAAATCTTCAAAGTCTTTTCTATTTCTATTTCCACTGAATATGGTTCTCCTAATTTACAAAGAAAATTTATATAGTCTTCTATGGTTCCAGAAAGCCTTGCATTTACTCACTTCTACCCACTTTATGGAAACTGTTCAGAATTTTGTTAAGGCTCCCAGGAAACTCCTGATGATCTTGCTCATGGTGTTCAGATCTGGGTGGGGCAGATGAGCTAGGCAGTGGGGTGCTTGTGGAAGCCAAAGCTTGGAAGTTGGTTTCTAGAAGGTGCTCTCATTTCTTATCTCCATGGATCAAGGGCTGAACAAGTCATTGGATAGGAGTGGAGTAAGTCTCCTTGTTAGCATGCTGGGATGTGGCATGGACAGTGGCATCACAGTTGAGGTGCTAATGTGGAGATAATTAGCATCATGATAGAGGCTGTTGGCCTTGCAGTGGAGAAAACCTGATGGAGCATGGTAGTGGGGAGTGAGGATAAACTGGCCCTCAATGAGAGCTAGTTTCTGATGATTGTGGATGTTTTACTCATAGTCAATGACTAGAAGTGTTTCTGATAATCTGACTAAGGTTGTAGGCAAGGGGCTGGGAGGAAAGTAGGGCCTGGGTAAGGAGGGCACAGGTACTGAGCAGGGCCCTGAAGCCAATTGTTGCTAGTCTGGAAAGGTACTCTCCCCTCCCACCAGAAGGAAATCAAACAGGCCTGAGAGGGTCATGGGCAGAGTCAGAGATGGAGAAGAGGAAATAAGCAGATGACGGCAAGAGAGGCAAATGAGTGTGATGGAGAATCATGAGAGATGGCAGGCCATTTAGCTGACTCTTCAGGTCATCTAAGGATGTCTCTTTTTGCTCCTACTTCTCCCTGAGATGATTCTAATAAAACACCAAGGGTGATTAAAATGGATCCGGGGTTTGGGGCTTCAGAAAATGGCCTTTGTCATTTAAGGTACTGACTTCCACTAAACCATCTCCATGCATGGGAAGCTTGTATGCAACAGAACATGGGTTTTCAGCTTGGAAGGGTAGATGATTCTCCTGTGTGGTGGCCTTGTCTTGGTGACTCCAAATATGGGAAATGTCCAAGAGGAGGCAGTAACCGGCACACTGGGAGCTAGTTATCCCCTGATTTCATGGACTTTTTCTCCAAGTTCTTCCCTCTGCCAGTGGGAAGTGGTGACAGGGTCTGATGGTCACCAGGAGGCTTTGAGGAGGTGGGGGAGAAGGCAGGCAGGCAGAGAAACCCAGCCGGTGGCAGGAGAGCAGGTGGGCGCATGAGTCCTCTACCTCCCTCTGCTACTCCCGGGTAGTGTTCTGTAGCTGGACTTTCTGTGAGATTAAACTTCCCGTCCTTCCCAGCCTCCTAGGCCTGTCACCTGTCATATGTCTTGCAGTAAAGTGAGGAGTGGGGAGCAGGAGGGTAGGAAAGAAGAAGAGAGACAGGGATGGGGAGAAACTGAACCAAGGTGATATATGCAGAGACAGAAAGACAGAGTCACTGAACAGTGATGCCGCCTCTACATCTCTTCTGTTGCTTTTCTTCATAAATGATTATGCTCATTTTCAGGGGATCTTTATGCCCTCCATCAAGGATTTAGAGCCCAACCATCATACTTTCTGAGCTAAACTTTCCCAACTTGCATTTGGTGTCCCTACTTGCTAAAAAATAGATCCCTCAGCTTATGAAGAGTTTAAGTGATTCAGAGACAAGGGGTTTGCGCTAATTCCTAGATAATGTGAGGGCACTCCTGAGAGGTAAACATTGCCAGCTGCCCCCTTTCCCTTCCACATGGGCGTATACAGGGAAAGGAGGGGAGGGGAGAAAATGAGGAGTAGAAGGAGGCAGGAAGGAGTTGTGAGTCCTTACTCTCTCCAAGTCTGCTGCAGTAGCCTGGTTGAGAGAGGGGAAAAGAGCATGGATGAAGGTGGACAGGCCTGGATGGAAAAGGTGATGAAAATAAAATGGGAATGCCTGAGGGTGAGGTTGAAGAGGTGTCTCTGTGTCACTTTGCTCCTTGGGTAGTTGTGTTATGTAATGGTTAAGGCTGCCTCTAGGCCACCAGAAATGAGATGAGACTCCTGATCCCCATCTGAGTACCCTGAATTATTTCTTCTGCTTGTGGCATATTTGGAACTTGATGCTTTTAAGATTCAGGAGTGAGGTTTTGGGTGAATTGTTTTCCTACTTAGGGATGGGAGGAATACCTTCTAATGTGTTATAAGATTCAAAGGAAGCAGAAACTCCCCATCCTATACTATTGCCCTTCCCTAAGCCCAGACCTCTGTTTTTCCTCCAAAGCCCCCTCTGATGAGATGCATGTAACAGGCAGGAGGGAAGAGTCTGCAAAGTTGTCTGCCAGCATTATTGCCATGGGAGTGAGCATAGTCCTTTGCACCGCGGCAGCCTAGGACAAGACTGGAATTTTTCAAAACGAACTTTTACAGGGAAACAAAGGTTAAAAGAAAATAAAATAAGATGATGTGAAAACATTAGAGCCAACAGGGCTTTTGACTGGCTGGCAACCTGCCATGATCCTAAACCTTGCCGTTAGCCGTTTGGCTCTATTGGATTCCCCCACCCGTTCTCATCTTGGTCTTGTGGAAATGGATACTTTGCAGAGCCCTGGGGTCGCCTCCTCCACTCTTTGGTCACCATGGGTGGAGCAGAGCTTTCTCCATCTCACCTCCTGTCCCGTTCCTCTGTTTTTGTGGTCCTGCACTCTAGCCCAGATCTCTTCTCTTGGTTGACTAGTTGGGGTGCAAAACCTTGTTATTCTCTAGTTTTAACCTGTGTAGGAGCCATTTTAGGGGTGGCATAAGGAGTTAGGCTGTGCACAGAGATGTCAGGTCATTAGCAAGAGAAATAAAATGCTGTTCGAGGCTCACGTTTCATCTCTGTTCCTGTTTTGAAAACTCCTAAGATGTCCCCTCCCCTGTCTTTCCTGTCCTCCCAGTGGTTACGGAATCCAGTCTTTGCAGTTTTACAAAATTAATACTAAAAACACATTACTGTTGAAAGGAATTTTTCTCAAAGGAAAATAAGGGTCATTTCTTCACAGAGAAGACAAGGCTGGAGCCTAATAATATAAACTAAACCTCAGAGAAAATGTGAACACATTGAATATTTAATCTAGAAGTATATGTTAGGTATGTTAATATGATATACAAATAAAAGAGTGAATTCATGCAAATGCTAAAATGGTAGGCAGGCCGGTGGGAGGAGAGTGGGCAGGGTGGGGCTACCTTAGCCAGCTCTGGAGTCTAGTGGTCTCAGCAGGCATCTCCTTGGATGTTGGCAGGCTTATGGACGTATGGCCTTGGCCTCAGGGGGCCTTCCAGGGCAATAGGTGAGGGATGTGGGTGGCAGAGCCTGAAGTCTGAGTGACCCCAGGATGGCTAAGATACTCTGTGATGGGGTGCCTGATGGGGGTCAGTGAGCCTGAGGAAGGCTTCAGGGTGACACTGAGAACTGGGTCTTAGGGGATAGGAGCAAAAGAAGAAGGCTGGGGAATGATGCAGCTCTTGAAGTAAACTGTCTGTGTCTTGGCTGGAGGCCGGAGTCTTGGGGGAACCATGGCCCCCCTAGAAGGCCCCGCTAGAGGTCCCATTATAACAGGCCTGTGGTGCACACCTCAGAGGCCAAGGCAGTTTCTTGTCAGGTCACTTGAGTCGTTGATGGAATCGGAGTCATGGTGGTGGCATGGGGGTAATTTACTAAAGAAATACATTATGTTCCTGGGTATGCGTACCTTTTTAGGGAGGACGAGCGAGGAAGAGGACTCGTGTCTGTGTCTGATCCCGTGGGGTGCTGGAGGAAAGGGCACTTTTGCACCACATCCTCTTACTTTCTCTAGTTCTCCAGGGGGCCAAGCTCTTCCCCCCACCAGCTGGCTCCTCTCTGATATTGGGTTAGATGAGGTTAATTGACCAGCAAGGGAAGGCAGTGAGGAAAAAGACTGCTTCATTGAGGAACAATAGAAGAAGAAATCTTCCAGTCTGGAATTGTAAATGGGACCACTGAGGAGAAACAGCAGCTTCAACAGACAAGATAACGCATTAAGGAGGCAGGTCAGGGAGTGGGCCGGGTGCAAGGTCACAGGGGCCTGGGCCTTCGGCAGGCTGGAGTCTAAGGTGCCTATGTTTGGCTGCTGCAAGAGACCTGATAGGCCTCTTGAGTTTGTCAGGGAAGTATGGGAAGCATCCATGAACTAGGGCCCACAGGGTGATGTGTCTGGTCTTCCTGTGGATGTAGGTAGAGAAGCATGTGGGCAGCTAGAACAATGCAATGGTAGGAAGTACTAGGGACCATCTTCTTTCCACGCCTCCTGTGTGGCTTTATGTGGCTACCTGAGGCTAAGGGGTTGGTAAAATGCTTCTGAATCCCTAATGTCAGTTCCACTTTCTCTGGAGAGCCTGCATTGGGGGAGAAGAGGAGAGCATGTCTGCAGGAAGCAGGGGAGGCATGGAAAAAAGTTCAAGTAGATAAAGGTGGACAGACAGCCTGGAGAAGGAGGCAACTAAGCCTTTTAAGTTGCTCTTGTATTCCATTGAAAATAGTTCAGCCAATTCACAGAGCATGGTCATAGTGTTTTTAGAACCCTGCAGGCCTCAGGAAAAACTGTTTATTTACACTATGCATTTCACATAAATCCTCTCAGCTGGAAGAGGTGTGCACTTTCACAGAAGCAGGCTGGAACTTGGTTGGTATTCCTTCCTTCCGGTTTCCTGGTTTGCTGGGGGAAGGTGGGAGGGGCAGTGGGCCACAGGAGGGACGGCCCTGCCAGATGTCTTCTTTTCCTCTTTCTTGGGGTGTAACAGAACAAAGAGAATGTCTCCATTTTTTTTTGGGTGATCCAGAAAAGAGAGCTGTGAAAGGCAGCGGGCTAGAGTGTGGGAAGGGGTAGGGTTAGGAGTCAAAAAACGAGAAGAAAGAAAAGGAAGAGTAGGCCTCCCTGAAGGGTCCCTAATCACTCTAGCAGTTGGGGAGTCTGGGACTGGAGGGGAGAAAACAGGGAATGAGAGGTGGGAGTAGGAGAGAGAGTGAGGTTTCTCCTACTCCCTTAAAACTCATTCTTTTTTTTTTTTTTTCTTTTTGAGACAGAGTCTCTCTCCGTTGCCTAGGCTGGAGTGCAGTTGTGCGATCTTGGCTCACTGCAACCTCTGCCTCCCGGGTTCAAGCAATTCTCCTGCCTCAGCCTCCCAAGTAGCTGGGACTACAGGTGCACGCCACCATGCCTGGCTAATTTTTGTCTTTTTAGTAGAGATGGGGTTTCACCATGTTGGCCAGGCTTGTCTTGAACTCTTGATTTCGGGTGATGGTACTTCATTAGCTGCCCAAAGTGTTGGGATTACACAACTCGTGAGCCTCCATGCCCAGCCAAAGTGAAACTCATTCCTTATATGAGGTTTCTCCACTGTGCCTTAATCAGATAGAAATGTCCCAGTGTGGTATCTGGAGCACTGGGTGGCATCATTACAAGAGAGTTGCCTGGGCCAGTGCCCAGGTAGAGGGTGGCTGCCTCTTTTTCATCTCTGAGAGAAGGGAGGCACAGCCATCCCTCCTTTTCTCGCACCTTCCTGATGTCTTTGCCATCCCAGCTCTGTTCTCCTCTCTTTAGCCCTCTCATCACATGATTGATGTTAGCAGAATGTGGAGTTTAGCGAAACAAATGCAGGGTGGAAGCAAAAGGCTGAGGTGGCTTTTTGTCAAGAGAAAAGAGCTTTTGGGGGAGTGAATCTTCTCATTTGACTTGAGTTTGTAGCCAATAATTTTATCAGTGAACAATAATAAATATGCCAGAGAGTGGCTGGGAGGATGAAGGGCTAATACTTTTCTGTGGCAGGCCAGAATCTAAGGTGAGCTTATCAGAACATGGGAGGCCTTTGGGTTAGTTAAGTGAGATCATGGGTGAGGATACTGTGGCAGATCAGGTGACATAGACAAGCCTGGGTCATCCCTGTGAAGACGGTAAATGGTGGGTTTCTGATGAATGAGGAAAGCCTCTTCTGAAAGACATCGACTCAGAAGCAGGGTCTCCAGATGGAAGTATCACATGGCCAGGGTGATCCTCACTTTGCCTCTGAAGTCTGTTCTTGTGGTTGGCAGGTGGAAGATGCCCTCTCCCCCTTTACCTACATCTTTCATAACTTTCCAAGATTCGTTTCCATCTTGAATGGGGGTGGGAGGAGAAGGAGGATAAAGAATCAGATGAGCTGAAGGACAGACACAGAAAAAGAAAATCAGGTAATCACTGAAAGGCAGAAACCCAGAAAAAGACTACATCAGCCCAGGTGACAAGTCCACCAAGTCACTCCTCCTATACCAGCTGCCCCTCAAAAAGATTCTGCTGATTTCAAAGTTACATTTGCCATGTCTTCAGAGCCTTTCAAAGGTGTAAAAAGAAAAAAAAGGAAACTATACAAAGCCACTTTTGCTAAACTTTCCAGCTTGCAAGATGTACCTTCTGGGTGAAGATCTATTACTCATCTTGTTAATTACTCATGGGACTTGGGTTTGTGTGGGAAAAGAGAGAAAGTGGAGAGAATTTGAGTCAGAGCCAGGTAGAAGACAGCTTCTTCCCTTGTTTCCTTGAGCTCCCTGAGGGCAGGGAACAGGCTCTTTCATCTCTATGTCCCACGTGTCTAGCATATATTAAGAGCTCAATAAATCGGCACTTACTGAATTGAACTAAATTATTTGTTGAATTTCCATGTGGGTAAAGACACAAAATCTGTTCCTGTTGTGGAACAAGGGACCATAAAGGTGCAGGGTGGAGTAGGAGAAGTATGAATTTGGAAATCCAAAGGAAAGAAACAGAATCTCTCCCAAATAACCACTACTAGAAGTGGCAGTGCAATGGATGGGGGAAAAAGGAAGAGGGCAAAAGGAGGTGGGAGGGAGAGTAAAAGTGAGGGTCTGTGTTGCCTTCGAACCTGTGCATACTTCTTCCTCAGAAAGTTCTTAAGGCTTTGGTCATCCTTCAAAACCTAGCTCAAGTGCCATGTCCTCTGAAGTCTATCCTGAGAACCCTCCCTATGCCACACCTCAGTGGTTCTTTACATTCCAATTTCTCATTTATATAAAGTATTAGTTGTGTGATCAGTTGCAAATATGAAGACTTCTCTGCTAGACTGGGAGCTCTTTGGGGGCAAGTACTGTTCCTTTTTTTTTTATCCTCAGTGCCTGATATATAGTGAGGGCTGAGGGCAGGGAGTTTTGTCAGTTGCCCTAAAATTGATAGGCAGGCCTGGCGTCAGGGCTCCTGGCAGCAGGCAGTAGGCAATGATCCAGGCTGACAACTGTTTGATGCCTTGGGGGCTTGACAGCCTTACCCCTTCGGGGTAGTTCCAGAGACCTACCTGTAGAGACTGGGGCTCAGAGAGAGATAAGACTCCAGTTTAAGAAATAATGAAATAGTGAACAGAATGAAAAGCAAGATATCAGCTTGCTCTTGAGGACCAAAGAACAAAACAGTGGCTTCACCTATTGAAACTGGTGTTTGAGGAAACGACTTGTTCATTGGGAAGAATGCCAAGGGCCCACATGCTAGAGCCCAGGTTCCTGGGTCACCAGAATCCCCAGCCAGGACTTGATCTAGCTGCCCTGAATGGTTCTTCAAGTTCTGTGAGAAAGCTGGCCGCTTGGTCTCTGAGCTGTGGATGGGGACTGGCCTACTTCCCGGGAGGGAGCAGGTCATAACAGATGGGCTCCACATGTAACTGAGAGCTTTCTACTTCATAGGGTAGTTTATTTTACTGTAGGGTGGTTGTGATTAATTTAAAAAGTTATTTTTATTGATCTGAAATCCGTCTGTCTTATAACTAGCACCCATGGGTTCTAGTTCAGCCTTTAGTAGTCTGTTAAATTGCAAAATCTCTCCTGTGCATAAATATAAGACGCAAGCAAGCAAATATCCCCATGAACTATTGTGAGCCTTCTTGGCTACTTCAATCATTTCCCCATCCCCAACCATTCTTCATAAAATATGTTTTCAAGTCCTTTCATAATTTTGCTCACTCTTCTGTGGACTTGCTCTAAGTCATTTTGTCCCCCTGAAATATAGTACCACAGTGGTACTCAGCTAGGCACAGAGGATACTGTTAAATCCTTACCTGGGGACTGTAGTTGAGTTGATGCAGACTGAGGAGGTCATAGTAAGAAAAACCTGAATCCCTGTTATTTTTTCCATTTTTCTTAAAACTCATACTGTTACTAGATGAGGCTCTTCATTTTATACTTAATGATATTGATTTCTTTTAAGTGCAAGATTTACGAACCCTTCTTAGTAAATTTCATTTTTAAAAACAATATCTATCTCTTGAGACAGTTCTGAGTCTTAATTCACTCAGGCAGTACTAGCTATACCTCTCTATTTTGTAGTATTGACACATATTGAGGGACACTACTTTTATGTCTTTGTTTTCATTATTTAAAAAAACATTGAATGGGGTGGAGCCAAGCAGAGTGTGACTCTAGTTGGTCATGCAGTGATGGGTTTACCTAGTCATCCTATCATCCTGTGCACATTTTCTGTCTGGTTGATGTGGACATTATGACACTTTGTCAAGTACTTTACTGGTCAAGGTGTATGATATGCCATTCTTTCCTCCTGTTCTTACTCTTGGTCACCCTATCAAAATAGAAAATTTGCTTAGTTTAGCATGACTTCGTTGTCAGTGACTCTATGATGGGATAGTTCTATCCTGTTAGTTATTCTAGACTAGAGGCAGATAACATCAAGATCTATCTATCTATCTATCTATCTATCTATCTATCTATCTATCTATCTATCTATCTGCCTGCCTTGGTGTTATCCTCCTCTAGTCCTGCCCTTATATATATACAATATCCTTTGGGTAAGACAATATTTTCTCTTTTCTGATTCTGTGTTTCCCAAGGTCTGTTCTATTCTGGTCTCTGTTGTGTTGTATGGCCAAGAAGAGCAAGTCCCACATAGATAACTTGGGCTGGCAAATTGATTATTGCAAAGGCATTAAGTAGCAGTTGAGCTTTAAAATCTGTTTCTTGGGAACTTGGTGGGTATGCATCTATTCCTTGGAGTCTGACTGAGGAAGTGATAAAATCAAATGTGCAATACATGTCCTGCAAATCTTGGAATGTAAAGATTCTATCAAAGGGTAGCTGTCCAGGGAATTTCAGCCTAAAGCAGCCAACCAGAGTTTAGATGAGAGAGGAATGACTGTCACGTTGTAGGTTAGGGATCGGGAAAACTATCTGGAGGGGTGAGAAAAAACTGTCTGGAGGTGTGCCAGTCCTGGCACAGTTAATTTGCTAGCTTGCTCTACCATAGGCAGACAGTCTATGAAGTCCATGAGGCTTTTAATAAAGGTCAAGGCTGGTTGTAAAACCCAAAACTTTTTCTATTCATGATGCCTCTAACTTGTTGCTTAGGTCATGTGGTAGTAGGCTACGCCAGTGTGTTTACTTTTGAGCTTCAACTTTGGTCACCCTGGCAGCTCCTTACTGCTGCCTGGTTCCAATGTCTTAGTTGGCCAAGGCATTGAGAAGGTTTTTCTAGCTCATCAGTCACAAGTCTGCCTGGATTAGGACCAGTGGTATTTCTTCATTTCATGGTTGGGCAGGAAAGGGAATGAGATCTCTTGTTCCTTTCTTAACTTTTGCCACTTTCCTAGTGTCTTGCCAGAGAGCAGGGCCTGGTACCTATTTGCTTGAGAGGACATTGGCCCTTGTCCCCTTCCTAGACTTGGGAAATCTCCTTTCTCACTTGTCTGCTTCTCATAGGCACCTTCCTCCTCCCCCTACACAGCTGGAATGATCAACTAAATGGATTTTAGATAGCTTCAGTTTTCTGCCACGACAGTGTCAGAAAGCTGAAGCAAGGATTTAAAAGCCTAAGGTTACCTGGTTGAAATTGGAGGGAGAGAGAGAAATATAAAAAGTCACAACACAAAATTAATATCTAAAAACAAATTCTCCTGGTACAAGTATGTTCCTAATGCAACAGCTTGTCCCTGTACCTTCCCCTCTTCTTCTCTGCACCCTTGATACGCATTTCCTCTGTCCATCTCCTCTTCCCTGGTCCCTGATGGCTTGTGGCTTTGTCCTTCTGGTTAACACATCCAAAATGGCTACAGTAGGGAAAATGCCACTTACCAGCCTCCCACCTCCCATGCTTGTTGTTCAAATGATTACCTCACTTCTACCTTGGCGAGATGCTACTTTTAGATTGAGAGAACCTCAGAAAGCTCTAGCTCTAAATGTGTACAGAATCTATTATAAGCTTTTAATGTATGCCTCTGCGCCAGAGGCAGTGTTTGTATAGAGAGTTTGGTTGTTTCTTTAGAACGTTAGTCTTCCTCTTGTTGCGATGACTGATGTGGCTTCTGCTATAGCTCAGGGGCAGGGAATTGGGACAGAAAATCTATTGCCCAAACTCCTGCCACCCCATGGCTATTGTTAAGAAAATTCAGTGGTAGTTGCCTCGATCCAATTTCAGTGAACCTCCAGGTATTGCTTCTTTGAGATGACACGTTGTCTTTGGGCTGTTCCTGTCATTATTCTAACAGGATTTAACTCGTGCACTTGTGTTGAGGGATAATGGTAAGATCAAGTGTGACTTGCCGTGTGATCTCGTTCTCTCTCTACTCTCACCATTCAGGCTGATTTGCTGGGGACACGAAATGCCACTGGGTGGCTGATAGTCCCTCTGTTGCAAGGCTTCCTTGCTAGACTTGAAGCCTCTTAGAGGTTGTGAATAGGATACAAGTTCAGCAACCTGTAGGTTGTGACACAGCCTGTGTTTAATACATCTAAAAATCTGCTGATCTATACATAAAGCAGAAGGATTGCAACTATTATCTTGTAGCTGTAACTTTCCTTTTCAATTGGTTCGTGTTTTGTTTTTTTCTGGTGTTGCTGTAGTTGAATCAGAATCTGTACTGCCAAGAAACTCCACTTAAATTTCCCATTTCCTAAGTGTTACCTCTTATTCCTCTAGACTGTGAATTCTTTGAAGGTAAGGGCTGTGCCTTGTTCGTTTCTGTAATCCCAGTGCCTAACTGGGTGCCTTCAGTGTTGATAGTGTGGAGAGTTGGATGTTCATTAAATATGTGAGGATGCCTTCCCCTCCTTGGCTTCGTTGACACTACCCTCCTCTGGTTTTCTTTCCGTCTCATGAGTCACTTTTCAGTGGCCTCTGCTGGACTAGCCTAGGTCCTGGGGCAATTGCTTTTCCATACTCCTCTAATCTCAGCCAGATTCATGATTTTAGATTATATGCTAATGGCTCTCCACTCCCATGAGAGCCAGATTGAGCTTTTAACTGCTTGTGTCCTGTCTAAAACAGAATCCTTGATTTCCTTTTCTAGTTCAACTCCCAAATTGTTTCTGCAGCAGTCTCCCCCACTTTAATAATAGGACCTACATTTGTTCACAGCCCTCAAATTGGGATCACCCTTGATTTATCTACTGTCTTTACATCTCCACATCCAATTTGTCATCAAGTCCTGTTAGTGCTACCTGCAAAATACATTCTAGACTTGTCTATGTGTTCGTTAGCACTACCGTTACTACCTGTAAGCAAGGCCACCATCATCGTGAGCCTAGACATTGGATGCCTCCTAAATGCTTTTGCTCTTGCTCTATACTATAGCAGAGGGGTCTTTTAAAAATGTAAATCGAATTCCATTGGGTTCCTTGCTTAAAAGCCTTCTCTGATTGTCCTTTACACCTAGACTCACGTGTGTCCTTACATGTATCCTACATTCATAGGCATCTCTCTGCACTCATACATCCCCCCTTTGCACCAATTGGAAAGAACCTAAATCTCCACTACAAATGTTATTTAAATCTTGTTTTGTATGTTCTGTATGAGGAAGGAAGGAAAGCAAGCATTTATCAACTATTCTTTATGTGTTAAGTAATGTTTTCATATAATGTCACATAAAGGATATAGAACCTTTAGTAAAATAATTATAAAGAAATCTGTTAATTTCATATGTCTGATGGCATCACTGGGCAATAGGCTGTCATGGAAGTAGACAGGTATTGCATTCAAATAATGTTGCCTCTAGTTCTAACTTTAAGAAGTCAAATAGCAGATGAAAAGGGGCTGAACGTTCTAGTCAGTAAAAAAGACTTAATGCCAGAAATCTGATCCTAGTCAAGGGGGATGCAAGATCCTAGGTGATAAGCAGTAATGCAAAAATCACGAACAATCCTAGGAAATCCTAGCCTATAGACAGTATTTGTTAAATATGTATTAACTGAGTGCCCACACATTGGGGATATCTGTGAATAAGACACAAAGGTCCTTGTCCTTATGGGATTTGCTTCCAGGGAAGGGTCCTTCTTAGGGGAATGCTCAGCTTTGAATACGAGAAATCTGCAAAAGATGTAAGCCTTGTCCTTTTAAGATTGATCCTAGAGAGAGAAGCCGAACTTCCTTCAGATTAGACATAGGTCCTGCCTTCAAGGGGCTTACAGTCTGGAAGAAAGGAAAGAAAAGTAACAACTGTACTTACTGCAAGTCAAAAGTGCTAAAAGATTCTGGAAATGGCAAAGTAATTCAGGGGAAGAAGAGGTTCTTCAGATTTGGAGTGGAGGTCTTAGGAGATCCGGGAAAATGTTATGAACAAGGTGGATCTCAGTCATACATCAGGGATAACATTTGGGTGTGGAGATTGACTGGGGGTGGAGAGGCCCTACCTGGCATAGTGCTGGTTATACAGGCAAAGACTGAGCCAGGAGAGGGATTGTCTCTAGAGAGCCAAACAGAGGCAAACTGGCAGATAAACCCTCATGGCGGGAGGGGTTGGATACAGATGGCTCTGCACCCTTGCTGCTCTGTTTTGCTTTGTGAAGGGAAAGAATGCAGGAGCTCTGAAAATACAGATTTAAAGGCAAATTAAGGCTTTCCTTCTGATTGACTTAAACAGGCCCAGCAGGGGAATCTAAACAGTTGGTGGGAGAAAGACAGAGAGAGAGAGAGAGAGAGAGAGAGAGAGAGAATAATTGCCACTAAGCGAGAAGGAGTTGATGGGTGCCTTAAGCAAGGTTAAGGTCAAGGTCAATTCAATGGCACAAGGCTCTGATGCCAAATCAAAATTCAGGGTGAGCTGATGAAAAGTTTAGGATTCTTGAGAAAGGTCTTGAATTTTGTAACCTAGGCATTTATTCTTTTACAAACATGTGCTTAATGAAGTGTTAAAAATAAGGGTTATGTGACATTTGCGTTTGCATTTAACTGTTTTAATAAGAGTATGTCTTTTTTACAAACAAGAATCAGAAAGTTCACAGATAAAAGGAAAGGGCTGAAGTAGGAAATCAGGAACTGAAACAACAGGGAAAAACCCCACAATGGATCATGTAGCCATGGAATTTTTTCTTCATCAGGTGTCGGTATCTAAACATCAACATTTTCATTGTTGTTTTGTTTAAAAGTGAATGGAGAATTAAAAAAGGAAAGTTAACAGAGCACGTTACTCAGTGGCCCAAAGTCCCATTGTCTTCATCTCTGAGATGGTGGTAATAATTTACTGCTCTAGCCAGGATGTTTGGAGGATAGATAGGATAATGTCTATCACCATCCCAGCATGCTGTCCAGCATAAAGCTGGGGCTTAAGAAACACTACTTTCTTTCCTTTCCTGTTTGCCTTTCCGTACACAAGCAGGAACACATTTTCCCTTCTGTTCTGACACCTGTTGCTTTTCCCTTTTACTATCTCTGTTTTCTCTCTGATGTTCCATCCACTAAAACTGTTCAGTCAGTCTATCCCAGTCCTTCCCCTCTTCCCTTTCTTCTTTACTTCTTTTCATTGTAAAGTTTCACCTGGAGACCCCCTTCCGGAGTGATCTAAAGCTAGTTCTCTGCTGAAGCTATTGCTGTCATTTCCTAGCTGTCCCACTGGGGTGGACCTCCTTCCAGGTCATGGTGACCATTTCTTAGGGATTACCGGGGTCACCCTTCCAAACTTGGAAATCCATGAGTGTGATGCTTCCAGTCTTAGAAATGCCACATCTGAGTTTGTTGAGTGTTTAATGTTTGGCTGGAAAGGAGTGTTCAACAGGCTCATAGAACTTGCCTGCAGGGACACCACCAGGCAGAAGCTATTGGCTTTTGGGACCTGGACAATAGCTTCCCTACTGCTCTTCCTCCCTCTACCTCATTTTCTAACCTGCCAGCCCCATCACCAGCGTGGGAACTCCACAGACATCCTGTCTTTCCTAGTTAGAGCCTCATTAGCATTCAAGTAGACACATAAGTATTCTTGCTCAATTTCATGCTTAGTGAGCTTATTGAGGGCCCAGTAGCTGCCTATTGTTTAAGGTGGGTTGTGGATTTCTCATCAATAGCCATTCAGTGCTGCCTCCTTACCTTTAGGGATGAGACAGCAGCAAAGGGGAAATTATTGTTATCATCACTATTATAGGAACAACTACCATTTGTGCCAGGCACATGGCATAAATTATTTAACATAATCTTTAAAAATTTGCAAAAACCCTATAAGTGAGATATCTTCTTCCCATTTTCCAGATGAGGAAACAGAGGCTCAGGTAAGTCAGTGACATAGCTTGGACTCTAAGTCTTTGTCTTTAGTACTCATATTCTTTCAAGTCCTGCTACCTATTCATCTAGTAGTGAGGGGTGGGCTAGCTCTGTGTGCACATAACCTCACCAATGTCTAAGCATGCAATTTGAAGCCCCATTGCCCCACACTGGCACTTCTGCCTTAAAGCACAGCAAGTACTGTGTGTGTTTTCAGAATGAATACTACCTGGCAGATTGGAGGGACACCACATGGTCTTGCTTGAGCCCTTTCGACTTATATATATAAGTTCCTTTCCTCCTTTCCATTTTCCTCTCCCAGTAGCCAAAGCACCTTTGCATCCAAGATCTCACTGGATTTTCAAAATAACCCTCTCCTGTAGGCAGGGCTGAGATTATTATTTTGAGTGTACAGATGAGGAATTTAAGGCTCAGCTAACCTGAACGAGCTGCCCCAATTTCTACTACAGCATATTGGGTGCAGTGCCTCTACTGGGTGGCCAAGCCAAGTTATTCATCATCCAAGGGGCTGACTTGCTTGGGGTTATCAGCTGGGGGCCAGCTCTCTATAGGAGAGGTTGCTTTTTAATCAGCTGGCTCGCCTCCCTCTGGCAATGGGGGCCCTAATGATGGGGACTTGGGGAGACTTCTAGACCAGTTTCCTCTCTTGTCTTCCCTCTTTTGGTAACCCTCTATATTTCTTTTGAGTTTAAAGGTGATGATGTGCATTTCTTATTTCAGTCTGATTCTTGCTATTGGGTGACAGTCTTTCTCTCTATTGCTAGGGTGAGAGTTATGTTGCAAGAGAGAATTGTAGACAGGATCTCTTGTGGGAATTCCAGTGTAAGAGGAGAATCAGGGTTCTGCTGGGGTGTGTTATGTAGCTTGATTGGGGCCTGGAGCAGAAGCTATGGGAGATAAGATGGACTTCCTTTTTTTTTTTTTTTGTGGCCAGTTGTACAGTCAGGAGTGGTAGATGGCGTGGGATGGGGTGGGCAGGTGGTTCTCAAGTTTGGTTGAAGGAACAGGGTAGATTTGAGAAAACAGACTTTCAGGAACCCAGTCAGGGGTGGGAGAAGAAAGAGGAGGTGGGACCTGGGTCTGAAACGAGCTGAACTCTAAAGCTGGACACAGGCAGCTGGGATGGAAGGATCTAAGATCAAACAATGCATATCAAAAGACTAGAACAATGTTTTGATAACGGTAGCTACTAGAGAAAAGCTGATTATCTTTTTGGTGGGGCAAAACCATAGCCAATTCAAAATGGACTTTATAATTTTCACCCAGAATAGAATTTGGGCTACAGTTGCTACTTATACCTAAACTAAGGTAGATAGGACCACTCAAAGACACCCTGTATCTGACTGTGGAGTCAGCCAGAGCTGGGTTTGGACACTGAGTGCCACCACGTGACACTGAGCAAAGTCATTTCACTTCTCCGAGCCTGATTCTTCATTTGAAAAATGGAGAGAATGCTTTTCTGTCGAGGTTAGAGCTAGATATCTGTAAGATAAAGCTTTAGACACTCAGTAATGGAGCTATAAGACAGTTAAGCTGCGTTCAAATGTACTGGCCTAAGTTGCTTTTGAAGCTAGAGGAAGACTGATTTATGAGAGGCCATAACCCTGATCCCAAAGACCTGTGTTGAAGGCTGCCTCCCTAACTAGATATTCTGGGTTGAGAATACCACGGGGTCTTAGTGTCAAAGGTCCTTATATTCAGGTCTTGTGTGTCCAGTCTTAAAGGGGTGACAGCAGTCATCTGATGGGGTTCTTATTTATCCGGCCCTTCAAGCTGGGAAGAGGCTTTTTGGATCCAGAGAAACTGGTCAGATAGGGCAGGCCTGACCTACTCTGGCTTCCAAAGCATCAGAACCCCGCTGCAAAAACTCCTTGGAGGACATACCCTAGATATTATGTCTCCAGGCCTCGGAGCCATCCATCCTGAAATGCTTAGTCCTTAGGCCTTATTGCTACCTTCCAGATTTCCCACACACTTCCTTGTTCTCAAGACACTCTTCTTCATCTGAGTCCAGTTGCCTGAAGCTAGTCTGCTGGATTACTCCTCTCGTCTTTCTTTAATTTACTGTGATTAGGATTAGAGAATTCCAACTGTGTCTTCCCCAGAAGGCAATTGTCTTGGCCCTTGGGGGATCCCACTCCCCTTTTTATGCTTTCCTGAGACAAAGCAGCAGAGGTGAGGAATCTGGACATTTGGGGGCCCTTTTTGATAGTGTCACGGGGCTTCTCTTCTGGTCCTTTTTCCAGATTCTTTCCCAAATCCATTCCAGGCATCCTCTCCCTACCCAGAGGATCTCTACTTGGGTCTTTGTACCTTTGCCCCACCTGCCTCTGGAAATGTTGCTGTAGCTTCCTTAGACCTCAGCCTCCATCTGCTGCCATGCGTTCTCCACATTGCTGTCAGAAGTTGTTGATTCAAGCAGTTACCTAATCATCAAATGCCCTTTGAGCATAGGCTGCGCTGCCGCCCCTGCTTTCCTGGAGCTTACAGTCTAATTAATTACCCTCCCTATTTCTGACTCAGTGTTTCTTTTTGTTCCCAGCTAAATATCAGCAAGGACTGCTAAACATGGCCAGATGCCTGGAGGGTGCTCCTGAGCCTCTCTTGAAAGGAATGTAGTAGGAGAAACCAGTGCTAGACCCCTTTCCACTTCCAGCCTGAGTCTCTTTGCACGACCAGCTGCACCCCCATGCTCTTAGACTTTGCTTCGTCTCTCCTGATCCCCAGATATTTGCTTCTGGAACTCACCTCCTGGGCCTGGCCCAGAATCTGATTGGGGCTTCCTTCAGCTCTTTCTTGGCTTCCCAGGCACTGGTGGGCTAACAGCCCCTCCCACTTTGGCCCCATTTCCCTGCCCAGCCTTCTCACTCCTCATTCCCCTTTTTGGATCGTTTGCTCTTCAGTCACTTTCTCTTGTATCTTAGGGCTTCTGCCTGGAATGCCCTTTCCCCTGCTTGCCCACCTGGAAAACTGCTGCCCATCGTTCCAGGCCCAGCTCAAATGCTACCTCCTCTAGAAGCCCTCCTGGGCCCTCTCAGGCAGAGTCAAGTGCTTCTTCTCCTGAGCCGCCACTGCAGTTTCTGTTTACTCCCATCCCTGCCATTAATTACCTGAGAAGCGTGCTTTCCACTAGATTATAAGCTCCCTGAGAATAGGAACTGTGCTGCTCTTTGTCTTTTTAAAGCCCCATTCAGGACCTGGAACATAGGTGCTTGCTACACACGTATGGAATGAAGAAAGTTTTAGCTGCGCTCTTCTTCTCCAGCTCAGACCTGGAAATAGGAGGTGGGGGTGGAGATGTGGGAGGTGAGGTGGGGGAGAGCAGAGCGTAAAATGAAAATAAATAGTTAATTCCTCCTAATAATGCCTGATTTCCTGATTTGATATTCTGCATTAATTATAATTACTTGCTAGGAGATAGGGTATTAATCACTGTGTGTGTGGCACTTCTGCAGAGTTGCGACACAATGCTTGGCTGCCTGGCAGCTGCGATGCTCAGAGACTCCGATGAAGATGAGCAAGACTTGGTCAGAATTCCTGGGCAGTCACCTTACGCCCCTCTGGGGTGGTAAGTGTCAGTAAATCCAGTCAGGCAGATTGTTCTCTGGATCAAGGGACCCAGAACGTGCTAAGAAAGGCATTGTGCCGAATGCACGGGTGTGGTTAGAGGAAAGTAAGGGTGTTTGGCCCTGTGGGGGACGTGCGAGTTCAAGTCAAAACAAGAACTGGTCATAGCCTCCTACTGTGTCTAGTGTCATGGTAGGCTCTGGGAGTAATGAGGTTGGCAAGGAATGGGCTTCTGACCCCAGATAGCTTGCAGTCTCTCCAGGGAGCTGACTTACATATATTTTGAATAATAAGGACTCATCCAGTTAGAAAGCTTTTGACTGGGCTTCAGGAGGACAGATTCATGTTCTGACTTCCCTAATTGGTGGTGTGACTTTCGCAAGCCCTTCTTTGGGGGAGAGTGAGCTAGATCCCAAAAACATGAGGGCTGCAGTGCTCTCTTTGGGATTCTTTCTGTCCCTCTTCTAAGCCTATTAAAATACTACCCATTCTTGAAGGTCAATTTCAACACCTTGGTCTCTATGAGCCTTTCATGATTCTTCCTGATGGGTAGGGGTGCTCCTTCTTATGAGCTAAACCCATCAGTAGTTGGTGTCTGCATCTCTCACTGGGGCTTGCTATCACTGTGGGACTTTGCACTCTCTGTCCCCCCATGGAATGCTTTCCCCCAGATAACCCCACACAGCTGGCCGTTCACTTCTGCAGGTATCCGTAAATGACACCTCTCTGGAGATGTCTTTCCCAACCGTTCTGTGTAAAACAATTATTCTCTCTCCCCATGCTTGCTTTATGTTTTTATAGCATTTATCACTGCTTGGTATTTTGCATATTCTCCCATTTATTGTCTGTGTTAAGGATGAGAGCAGGTACCTCATTTTGTCCAGTTACATTCCTATGGCGTGACATATAAGGAAACACTCAATGAACAATTGTTGAATGAATGAATGAATGAGTGAATAAGTGGGCTGTCCTCATATAACCGGTGTGTCCTTCAGGAGACCTTTGTTCCCATTAAAGGGGAGCAGGTGGCTAAATAGCTCTGAGGCCTGAGAAGATCTGATATTTCATGTGATTTAAAGGAGAACTGCCTACTTTGATCCAACATTTGTTACAGGCCAGGAATTGTTTCAGGGCTTTCATTTATCCCATTTAGCTCTTACAAAACACTTTGAGGTATCAGTGACTCCCATTTATAGGTGGCAAAACTCCGAGGCTCAGAGACCTTAAGTAATATGCTCAAGATCACATAGCTCAGAAGCAACGGAATGAGGATTGGAGCCTCAGTCTGTCCTGCTCTAAAGCATTTCTAGTTTTCCATTCTGCTGCCTCCCTGGATGAGGAGAGAAGAAGCTGGAACTCTCTGAGCCCTGGGATGGGCTGGATATTCTGCCACCAGATTCGACATCCTGCCTGGCTGCCCTGTCCAGGGAGCTGCCCATCCCTAGCTTCTATCTTGCCAATCTCCCACTTCTTTATCCTCCTAGTTAATTTTCCTTGCCTCTAAGCCTGGAGCTCCTTTAAACTCCTTGTTTTCTAGGATAGACATTTCAAATTCCAGCCAACCCACTGGAGTTCCATAAGCCTGTTCTTCTCAGTCATTAATCTTAAACTCCTGGCTGGCTGGGTGGCCAAGAGAGATGGCAGGACCTGAGTTAAACTTTTATCTCTCAGCAATCCCCAATGCAGTCCCTCCTTGCAGCTGAGACAGCCAGGTGGGAGGGGGTCCCTGGAGAACTTCAACCAGCCTGCCCACTGAGGTGAAGTTTCAGGAAGTTCATGACGTTTGCAGCAGGGAGGAGACTGGCCTCTCCTCTTCCTGTATGGAAACAGATTTGAAAAGGCCAGGTGGGAAGCCGTGTAGCAGGGACTCTGTCCTGGTGAGAGTCCTTGTTTCCCCCTTTTCTTCCTTTTCACCCAATAAAACCCTGTCTTACTCATCACTCAAATTGTCTGCAAACCTAAATTTTCATGGCTGTGGGACAAAGAACCCCGTCTTTAGCTGAACTAAGGAAAAGTTCTGCAACAGCCATGTGAAGTCAGATTGGGAAATATGAAAGTGTCTCCTCATTATCTTATTGTTCCGGTTGAACTAAGGAGCAATGACATCCCTCCTCTGGGGCCTAATGAGAATGAAACACAGGGATGGCTGAGAGGAGCCACATGTCCTTATGGGGAGAGAGGAATGGAAGAGGCGGTGGTGGAAAGACACTATGTGTCCTTGTCCCCTCTGGAACATCTCTCATCTCTTGGGACTACTCCTGGGCTGGGACTCTAGGTGGTCTTCTGAGCAAAAGCATGTAAGGGGCAGGCAATATCTTTCTGGCAGTTGTACCATTTGGGTTCTGAATTTGAGGATTTTCTAGGACCCTCAGTGGAGCATGTGTGGTCCAATATCCTGTTCAGCCAGTGAAGAGAGTCTGAGTTAAGCTCTCTTATTCCTTTGGGAAGGACGATGGGCTTCAAAGGGGAGTCATGGGAGAGGAAAAGACCCTCTGGTTGGCCCTGGTGTCTCAGGGATGGGGAGAGGTCCTGGGTTGTGTGTGTGCGGAGGTGTCTTATGGGCTACACTGGCTACTTGAGTCTCATCCTGGGCTCTGGGGCATCTTTGAACTTTCTGTGGCACTCCTTATGACACACCTGTGCAGAGTGATGGTCTCACCCATCTCCCCTGTGCATTTCTGCAGGACCATGGATCCTGTGGAAGCTGGAGGGCATTTGGGAGAAGACCTGGGGTTGCTGTGTTTGATTCTGGATCTTTGGAAGCAGAACTGGGGGCAGGTGCAGGCAAAGGGGGCTGACCTCAATGGCTGCTGAAGTCTCTTCCAGTTCTAACATGTTGTGGTTTTTCTCAGAAGAGGCTGGCGATAAGGGCAATGTCTGCACACTCTAGCTCTTCAGTCCTTACTTTGCAAAGACACACACTGGACTGTGTAATAAGGAGCCAGCCCCATAGGGCCCTAGGAATTGAAAGGGGAGAGTGGTGGAGGCTAGAATGGGCAGCAGTAGCACTGAGAGGCAGATCTACCAGGTGAAGTCTCAGGCATGGCCGGCAGGGACCTGGAGAAGTGAGCTGGAGAAGGTGGGGCACCTGCAAGCCACCCCAGAGGAGCTGGGTAGAAGCAGAAAGAAGCCAGACCCAAGGCCCTGGGGGTGGCAAGCTGTGGGAAGTGGAGGGAGGGAGAGGTGCAGGTGGGAGCTTTCCGGACTAGGGCAAACTGCCTTAGGTGCCAGGCATCCTTCCCTTTTGCAGCCTGAAGGGGAGGAACTAGAGATGGGGTGACTGGGCTGGGAGATTCACGTGTGTGTGTGCGTGCATGCGTGTCCGTGTGTGTGTGTGCATGAAGAGCCCAGGCTGCTCCTCAGGGACACACGCTGCTAAGCTGTCCTAGCATGTGGCCAAGCGGAGTAGGTGCCAGCACAAAGGCTGTTGAAGTGGGGTGCCAAAGTCTCCTCCCTTTGTTCTCTCTCTTCACTTCTGCTCCAGCCTTTGAATGGAGCCTGGACCACCGTTTCCTTGCCCTGCCATGGTTTGGCACAGACCCTGCTTCCCAGTGGCAGGGTTCTGAGGTGACACCAATCTAGTCCCTCCAGGGCTCAGTGGGACAAAGAAGGTCTCACCCTTCCTCATCGCAGGTACCCTGCCTGCCTCCCTTTTTCTTCTCTGTCTTCTAACAGTCACTCCTCCCTACTTTTCTTCTTTGTTTCCTTTTATATGATCTTAGATTATGAAAGAAATATGAGTTCATTATAGAAAACTTGGAAATGTATACACAGAAATAAATACATAAGAGAAGATCTCAGAATGTCACTGTGCTTTGATGTGGCCTCCACTATTCTTCCCTTTCAATTTCTAGGGGTCCCCTGGGCCTGCCTTCTTATCACGCTGAGTTTGACCACTGTTTTTTTTTCCTGGTTTGGTGCAGCCTGCATATACTGTAGGTATAGTATTGCAGCAAGTTTTTTCTCTTTATGGCTTATGCATTTCTCTGTGTCATGAAAATTCTTCAAGAAATTTAATATATTAATAAAAATCTATCCCAAGGAGCTGTCCTTATTCATCTGACTATTCAACTTTTACCAGACATTTTGGTCAGTTTTTTACCATTACAAACTAGACTCAGCCTCTTTGTGCATAACACTTTGTCTGTGTTTCAGATGATTACATTTTCCAGTTGTTTGTACATAAGGGGTGGAGCCTAATCCAGAGACCCACCTGCAACGCTAGCTCTGGACAAAACTGCAAAAAGTCCTCACCCTTCATTCTTTTCTGAAGTGTCCAGTGCTTTCCTGTGGCCTATCCTTCCTTTCACAAGTAGCCAGGGAGACACTTTTGAGAGATTTCTCTATTCCTTGCCTCCCCGCCCCCCAAAAAACAATGCAACAAAACCAAAGGCCACTCCAGCAAGGAGACCGCCTCTTTGACTTTTGCATGAGGTACCTTCTCTTGGCCACCTTCTGTTAAACGTGGATTTGTTAATATGCCCTGTGACCCATCCATTTTAGGCCCTGCCTGGGCAAAACCTCTCAGCTCAAGCTGAGAAGATGGATCACAGCCAAGGGCACAATCTTCATACTCCATCCTAGGCTGCCATGGGAGCCTCTTTCCCAGTTCTCCCAAGAAGCAGCTGCTGAGGAAGCAAAGCCTCACACTGGCCTCAAAGCAGACTAAAAATCAGCAGAGGCCAGTTGTCTACTAGGCAGGGAGAGCCACATTTTTAGAAAGAGGTTGAGGTCCAGATCTAAAGGGGAGAGAAGGACACAGCATTGTTGGGAAGATTCTACATGGGCCCAGGAGCCCATGGTGTAGAGAAACACCCCAATCCAGGTTCTTCAGGGAAATCAACCTTTGCTGTTTGCTAACTTTTGTGTTGGACCAGAGCACACCACTGTGTTTATTCTCCTGTTCCATATTGTTTATCAAGCATGGATGGTATGACTACCACATATCCAGGACCCAGGCTGGTGATGAGCAGGTTCAGGAAAAGAGCATGACATGGGGTCTCTTCAAGAAGCACATTGTCTCACTTAGAGGCTGGCGGGCACACAGAATCCTAGGACAGGGGCATGAGAGCTCAGGAAGCAGGCAGTTCACTTCAGCCCGGGGAAATTCTTCACTTGAAAATAGTGTAATTCCAGTGGGGCCTGGAAGGCAGGGCAAGGTTTTGAGTTGAAGAGATATGAGAGTCGGCCTTCTGAGCAGCATGGGCAGGGATGGAGAAGTGGTGTCAGAGGGGAGGAGGCCCCGTGGCTTTCGGGATACTTTGTCCCAGGGTGTGGTTTGCAGTTGCTTCGAGGAGGCATTTTGCCTTCCTACAGGGATCTGAAGGTGATCTGGAATCCTAAGGGTGAGGAAGGAAGATGACAGAAATGTGGAAAATGGATGTCAGCCTTAGTGAGAAATTCCCCAGACAGCTGGCAGTTGGTCCCGGGCCACCTGAGAGCTGCTCATGAAGTGCTTTCCCAGGCTGGGCCCCGTGTGACATTCAGCTCTGAATCTCCTCGGGGGAGGTGGCTTCATCCACAGTGTGAAATGAGGCCATGCTCCCAAGAGCACTGAATCGACTTCTGAACATGGAGGTAATGTGCTGACTTTGGTGCTAGACTCTCTCCCAAGCACTTCCCACGCATTGCCCTGAATCCCCCGGGTAGCCCAGCACAGCCCCATTTCACACGCTGGCAGGCGGGGGCCTGACAGTGTCTGCCACAGTGGCAGTTGAGCTTCGGTGGCTTTCCTAAGCTCAGACACCAGCCACTAGATGATGTTGCTCCTAGGCCCAGAAGCCAGCCAGATGTGAGGAAATGGAGGCTCAGAGAGGCTGGGAGAATGAATAGGACTCAAACTGAAGTCCAGTTCTTCTCTACACCCAGCACAGAAGGCAGCAGTGGTGGTGGTGGTGGGGTTGTCGTGAAGAGATGAACAGGATGCCAGGAAGAAAGATGGAGTGAAGAAAGAAGGGGACACCAAAGATCTTTTTTCCCAACCTGGCCATGTTGCCCAGGGCTAGGCCTTAGGTACCCATTCTTGAAATGTACAAATCTATGTGTGGTCTCTTGTCAAATATAGGCCATTTGACTTGAGACCTCAAAGACTTTACGCTTCTGGTGGTAGCTTACACGAAAATAGTGTTGCATGGCTCCGCTCCCCTGTGAGGTAGGCAGGATGGGCTGAAGGACACTGTCAGAGAGGGTATGTCTTCCTTGAGTGACAGGAGAACAGATTGTGGTGGAGAGTGTCGACTCACCGACTTGGCCTGTGTTCGAATTCTGTCTCTGCCACCTGCTAGTTCTGTGGCCTTAGGCAAATTATTTGCCTTTCCTGTGCCCGTTTCCTCATCCTCATTATTAGATGGGATAATCATCACGCCTTCCTTATGGGATGTGTTGCAGATTAAATGAGTTCAGGTGCTAGACGTTGCCTGCCTCAGAGTCACTGTGATGTGAGCATTTGCTCTGATTGCCTCACTCGGGCCCAGTACTTGCTTCTCCTGGAAAATGCCCCCTGGCTTCTCCCAGGGTAGCATCCGCTAAAATGTGAAGTTGAGTCCTGACCACCACCATCAGGGCAACTTCTCCGGGCTTTGGGGCTCTGTCCTCGTGGCTGGAGCTCTTTCCTTCTGGTCTTCTCACCCTGCAGCCCTTAGTCCTGGAGTAATAACTTAGAGAATTCCAGTACTCTAGCATTAGATCCCTCTTCAAAAGGAAATCCAAATTTTCCCTGGGCTCACCTGGTTCAAATTCTTTCTTCTTCAGAGACTGAGGTGTGGGATATGATGAGGTTTTTTTCTTCAAATAGCCTGATCAATCCTTTAGTCTTTAATTCATAGTACCCCCGACCCCTTTTTCCTTTTTCTCTTTTTTTCTTCCTTTCTGCCTTTGTTACATGCCCAGACACACCACAGTACCAGGCATTATCAGTACCAGTTGACATTCCTTTCCTTATTTGGAAAGAAGACCAGCTCTCTAGCTCATTGCAGACACCCCTTCCCCTTTCCCCTCTCTCCCTTATGTGCCCACCTTATCTAAAAAAAAAAAAAGCTGAAATGTTTAGCCAACCGGGATTAGTTCAGATTGTGCGACCTGACCCTGGCCAACGGGGAAAGGGTACAGGGGCAGGACTTGCGTCAGGATTAAAGGCTCTCGTGCCCCTTTGTTCAGGTGTGCTCTCATGGCGACTGGCCAAGGAGAAGCACCCTCTGCACAGAAGCAAAATTGCTTTGCTAAGCATCCTTTGTTTGAGTGTTCAATTTCCTTAGGATTTTGAACGTTATTCCCAACAGAGGGGCGCAAGAGTTCCCCAGAGCCACGTGGTCCACCTGGAGCTGGTCCTCACCTGGGCACTTGTATTTCCAGTCCTGTGATGGTGCCCAGCACACCACTGACACTTGACTTGAGAGGTCTGTGAGGGCCCTGTGGGTCTGAAGCCCCAGGGGATGGGAGGAAAGTCTGTCTGGACAGCCAGCAGAGGTTTAGTTAGGTGGGATATAAAGTGTGTGACTGAAAACGCTTCTCACATTGGTTTTAGAAAACACCCTAGCAGGCTGGTGGGCAGTGGAAAGAGTAGGAGGAAAAGAATCCCTTTTTTTCTTTGCCTTGGGGAAGAAGAAGCTGTTTAAATTCAGTGGAAGAAGAGCTATGAGGCCTTAGGTGGAGGGAGAGGCTGACTGAAGATGAGAGTCAGTTCCAGCCCTGTTGGGTTGATGGGACGGGGAAGGAAGGCAGCAATAAGAGAACTGCTAGCTGCTGGTGATGGGCAGGAAGGTGGTGCCTTTGCTGTCATAACTTGGTTAGAGAAAGGCAAGTATCAGGGACTTGCAATGATGGTTAGCAGATGCAGAATCTCAGTCCTGTCCCCTGCCTCAATCCCCTGCCATCTATACCCTGGGCTGCTTATGGGACATTGTCTATCCCCTTCCTGCAGAAGGGCCTAGCTTTAGAGTCCACTGGAGCTCTGGGCCAGACCTGGGGAGGCTCTTGGAGTCAGCACACCCCAGAGATTCTTATTTCATAGGTGTGGGGTGGAGCTGAGGAACCTGAATCTTTAACAAGCTCACTAGGTATTTCAGCTGCCGGTCATCCATGCAGCACATTTGAGAAGCCTGATTCTGGGATCTGTGGAGTCAACAGACTTTTTTGAGGAGGGAGGCAGGCAGCTGCTTGGGAGGGCTGGCTATTTATTCCACAGGTCGTTGACGACCTAGCACTTGCTGAGTGGGCCCTGCTGAGTGAGCCCTGCTCACGCCCAGTGCAGGGCTCTATAGGTGCTTCAGAGGAGCTCTGCCCGCAAGGAGCTTACACATAAGCTGGGAGATGGCCTAGCAACGGATCCCTTGGATGTAACTCGGAGTGAAATGAGTGCTGTCAGACACAAACAGGCAAAAACTGTGGCCTTTGAGTAGAGAACAGGCTGGAGCGGATGGTGGTGCTGGCTTGGGGAAGGCCTGGCCAGCCATGCTGAGGAGTTTGGACTTTCTTTTCTAGGAGCCTCAGATAAGCAAACCTTGGGCCCATGAGGTCAAAGACTTGCCCCAAATCACAAAGCTAGTTAGCAGTAAGAGCATACTCCAAACCTGCTCAAGAGAAGTCACTCCAGGCGTGTGGCGTGATCTCAAGTGCCTGGGGACCTTGGACTTGTGTGAAGATGGATCAGGTGTGAGGGGTGATTTGGGTTTTATATTGTAAAGCATGGACAGTACTGGATGAAGGAAGACTCCTTTAAGAAATGATTGTCAATACCCATGCACTGGGGTGAACAGACAATAGCCAAAACAGGAGATGGGCGGGTTCAGGAGGCATTAGACTTCTCTGCATCTTCTTGGTACTTGGTATAGGATGACTGCCCACCAGACCTTTGCCGAATGACTTTATTCACAGACTCTGTGAGATCGTGGTCCCTCTAGTTTATTGGTGGTGAAGAGAACAGGCAACCTGGGGCGGGCGAGGCCCAGTGATTGCCTGTGCCTCTTAGGAAGAGAGCTGTTCAGGTCTGTCTCTGACCTTTCCACCAACCCCCAATTCATCCTCAGCAGCTTACTGGGAACTCTAGAAAATTCTCAAGTCGACCTAGGGGAAATCCACAGTCTTTGAATGGAATATACGTGAGGGAGGAAGGGTGAGAGGCAGTGGTGAGTAGCCTGGGTTGATGACTTCCTCCTTCCTCTGTGAAGTCTAGACAGAGGTACAGGCGCATGGCAGGGGGCGACATAGTTTTGCTTTCTGCTTCTGCCAGTCTTCCAGTCATGCCTCCATCAGTCAATCAGTACCTTATGAGGACAGCAAGGGACAAAAGGTAACAAAGTCCCTGGTTTTAGATCCCTGGAGGCAGCCAGACTCGGCAGGGACAGTTGTGGCAATCCCGGCGGGAGCCTGAGTGTGGGGTACACCCCCACAGCAACCAGAGAAATAAGCTCTTCCTCTAATCTGGGTTGGATGCCAAGAAAGAACCCTCACAGTCAGATGATTTGGGTTTGAAGTCTGGTCTTGGCTGCTAACTGGCAGTATAACCTTGGCAAGTCTCGACCTCTGTGCAGCTTAGTTTCTTCGACGGAAAACATTTGAACACATTATAGCGGTCCTAAGGGGGAAGCCTGGGCTCATTTTGTTCTTCCTGAAGAGGATAAGGCCCCACGTGTCATTCTGGAGATGGGTTTTGGGAACTTGGTTGTGAGGTGCTCTGGCTACTGGCTTGGGTAGGGGTAGAAAGGGTGAGGTGAAGTTTCCTCTAGGAATCTTAACTTCTTCTTTTTAAAAAGTTTTATTTATGATTGACATATAATAATTGTACATACTTATAGGGTACAGTGTGATGTTTCAATGCATGTATACATAGTATAATGATCAAATTGGGTAATTAGCATATCCATCACTGTAAATATTTATAATTTATTTGTGATGAGAATATTCAAAATCCTCTCTTCTAGTTATCGTGAAATATACAATGCATTATTGTTAGCTATAGTCACCATACTGTGTAATAGAACACCAGAACTTATTTTTCCTAACTGTAACTTTATACTTTGTTGATCAATCTCTCTTCGTATACCTCTCTCCCACTTCCCCTAAGGGTTACTCTGGTAACCATCATTCTACTCCCCATTTCTATGAAGTCAAGTTTTTTAGATTCCACATAGGAATGAGATCATGTGGTATTTGTCTTTCTGTGCCTTGCTTATATCACTTAGCATAATGACCTCCAGGATCATCTATGTTACCATAAATGGCAGGATTTCATCCTGTTGTATGGCCAAGTGTAAGGAATCTCACCTCCTGATCAGGGGTCTGAAGAAGAAAAAGAAAAGGAAAAATGTACTTGCAGATTTTAGTTCTGAAATACCAACCTTGAGCAAGAACCCACCAACTTCGGCCTGATACCTACCCTCTCTGCCTTCATGAACTGGGTCTAGCTTGGAGCCTTGGTAGGGAAGCAAGCTGAGGAGATAGGAGGACAAGTTGTGGGATGGGGCTGGGTCACAGGTGGAGTGTCTGCAACACCCTCATTAGGATAGAGAAGAATTTTTTCTTACCTGGAACATGGGTTAGGACAATAGAGAGAGAGAGAGAGAGAGAGAGAGAGAGAGAGAGGGATCAAAAAGAGAATTGCGAATATTTGGAGGCTGGTATCTGTGCACCCAACAAGGTGAGGAGAGGCCACATCCTCAAGGGCACGTCTTTGTCCTGAGAAATTAGGTTCTGAAGGCAGTGGAGCTCCTGAGGCTCTTTCAATTAGGTGGCAGGGTGGGGTAGGGTTGGTCAAGGTTCGCAGGGTTTAGGTGTCTCAGAGGACCCTGCAGCCATCTAGGCAAGATTTGGTTTGCCTAAAGAGGTTAGGGTTTAGAGGGTTTGAACAGCTGGCAGCTATAGGAAAGGGAGGGGGTAATGGACCTGAATGGCAAAAGTCAATCTGATTTTTAAAAATTGGGCTGTCTTCCTCTATTGAGGTGTTCATCTGCCTCTCTTAATCCAAGTCATAGAAGCACAGAGCCAGAAGAGGACCTAGAGATCATGTGGCCCAAACCCCACTCTGTTACACATTTAGGGAAAACTGAGGCCCAGTGGAGGGACCTGCCTCAGCCTCATGAGGCATAGGATGAATCTAGAGGTTAAATCTATCTGCCTGTGGCCCTGTATCTGAGGGGTACCTCCTTTCCAGTTCCTGAAAAAGAGCAAGGGTCCCATAGGTGGGAGTGAGTCCAAGTTAGGCCTGGGCATGGGAAGTGGGGAGTTTGATGCTGACCTAAGTCACTGACCTTGCAATGCTATGAAGGTGTTCCCTTGATGCTTCTGCTAAGAATGAGATCCAGACTCCATTTTAAAAGGTCACTTTTCTAGAAAGCCCCCATAGCACTTTAGCTCTGTATAAGGAATAGCAATGAAAAATATGAGTTTGAACTTGTAAAATGACCACCTAGAAATGCAAACTGAGATCTGTTAGAAACTTCCTGAAAAGCAATCTAGGAATTGAAACATGATGGCTGTCTAACTACCCCAAGCTAGAAAAGCCAAGAATTTCAAAGGGATACCTTAGCACCTGTCATGGCAGACTTAGCTTTGGAAAATAAATTCTGAAAGCTAGGTGACCAATGGCAATTGAAGGTACCTGAAATAGTGCTTGGGATGCAAAAACAAATCCAGGCTAGTGTGTGGTTTGTGATGTTAGAAATACTTGTTTTTCGGTGTTATAAAGAAATAGTACTTGAAAATACATTTAATTTTTTAGTAAGGACATTTTTATTTTTTGTAGAAATGGTATATTTGTCAGTAGTTTTGTCATGAGAGTATACTGAACAAAGGAGACAGGGTCATTTATAACCTGACGTGTCCACCTTACTGCTGTGTCTGGTTTTTATTGGCTGGAACAGGACTTTATATTTTATATTTGTTTTGATTGGTTAGTAACTTAGAACTTTTTAAAAGAGGCAAAGACAGAGGAGAACAAAAGAAGGAGGAAGTAACTTGTAGAATGTCCAGAAGGGTAAAAACATCTTTAAATAAGGAAGAGAAACAGGCTATGATCTAATATTTGTTTGGACTAGTATAAGTATGTCAGGGCAAATATTTAGGCTAAACTGTGGGAGCTAAGAACATAAATTATATTGATTTTTTTATTATGGCTAGCAGATATTTAAGAACATTAGCCAGGTCTTTGAATAAATTTTGTTTCTAAAAGAAGTTACTATTTATTCCTAATTAGATGAGGAGGAAAGTCTTTGAAGAGAAACCTCTATTTTACTTTTTATAGTGAGGATTCCAAATAACTCACAAGGTATAAGGCATGTGCAAACATAACTCTTAGAATCCCTGGAGAAGGGCGCTGGCCCACCCAATGGTTTAGTTTCTTGACTACTGTAATTATGTATCCATAATGCATGTTATAGGAAAGGAAAAGAGGTAACCAGGCCCTGGACTATAATACTCTAGATGCGTGTTCAGCATCTGACATGTTTCTTAATAGCAAAGGCCTTGGACACGCTGTAGACTGCTTACTTCTGCTTTAACCTGTTTTACCCCAGGTGTTCCCACCATGCTAGAACATGTCAAAGAGAAGGGAAGCTGGTCCCAGTCTAGACCATGCAGATTTCAGAAGCTGTGTTTGAGTTGACATTGGTGGGAAAAAAAAGCAGATAATAGATTTGGGGTTAAAGAACCTGGACTGGACACTCCAGTCATCATCAGCTGGGTTATCTTGCTAGCCTTCAGTTTTCTCATTTGTCAAACAAGACATTTTTGAAACAAGAGCTACTTCTGCTTCATGGTCATTTTATAATGAAATGCAAAGGCCCTTCAGTCTGAGATTGGTATGGTGTTTGATAGGGTGAACACGAAGACTCAGAAGAAACGTTAGATAGAGAGGGCTCAGGAAATGAGTCTGGCTAGGGAAGTCCCCGTGTATCCTCCTGTATTTGCCGAATTGTGGTGTTTATCTCTTTGCCAAGAGGGGAGATTTTTGTCTAATTCCTCTGAATATGTTCTTTTGATGCTGTGGAGGGCATTATACTCTCAAGTGTATTAACTATTTTTCTTGTCATCATCATGGGTTTCTTTCTTTTTAAATGGACTCTCCTCTCTGTGCTCCTGCATGGTTTTGGTGGTAACATTTTCCTGCTTAGTGAGTGGGTAGCCCTCCTGGCTCACTCTTAGTCTCCTGCCACCCCTGGGAGTGAGGTGGGGTAGGGGGTTGGAGCATGGGATGGGGGAGTATTTCCCTTCTGGCAGGCTGGCTGCCACAGTCATTTGTAAGGCGTGCCAGCTAGCAGGTACCACCAGGAGACTGATCAGACCTGCAGGAGGGCAGCAGGCAGTGTTGCTTGGGGTGCCAGCCATCCCCGAGCTCCCAGGCAGAACACATTATTTATCTGCCCTCAAGCCCTTCCCCATGGGATCCCAGCCATTGTCTTCTGCACAAACCCCTGCTCGCTGCCCCAGGCACTCTCACTCTGGCGAGTCAACAACATCAGCAGTCTTAATGTCTTTCTCTTTCTCATATTCGGGTCCCTGGTTATCTTGTTGATCAAAATAGTTGTTTTCCTGTCTGGCAAAAAGGCAGAAAACACTTTCCTCCAGCCCTAAACGTGGTCATATCCAGAAATGCTTGCAAGATACCTTTTTCACTTTCAGTGCTAGCCTAATAATTCCTCTCTATATTAATATAATTTCCCACTTGAACAGAGCCACGTCTCATAGCACACTCCAACGTCTGCCTTTTGTCAAGGTGCTTCTGTATCTGTCATTGCATTTAACCCTCCAGCCAAAGGCCACCAGAAACACACTTGAGCTGAACAAAGTTGGTTTATTGGCCATTGCAACAAAGGGTAAACGCACCTCATGAGGAACATGGAGAGTGTTGGCAAAAGGGTGTTAGAAAGGACCTCTTATAGGATTTGAGTTTGGTTAGGTGATTTTGGGACTCAAGGACTCAAGGAAGCAGGCCTTTGCTGTGAATTGCATGCTGTTGGGAAAAGGGAAGAAATGGGTCTTAATATGTTTTATCCGGAAGGCAGGAGGAATGGAGCGAGGCGAAGGCCATAATTGGTAAAGAAGCTGCAGTCACTTGTATTAGCCAGGATCAGAGGATGTCTGGTCATTTTTGTGACTTGGAGAACGCTAAGGACTAACTGAGAGTGCCAAGTCAGTCCCTGGCAGGGGCTGCTTTTCTCTTCCCCAGTGATCCCTTTTGGCCAAGGGCAAAGCCAAGCTGCAAAACATGAATCTGTGATATTCGGGTCTTCACCATTGCCAGCATTTTGCTGATTAGGAGGTTGTTCAGAGACTGCAGTCTGTCGTTGGATGAGTTAGTCTCTCCTGCTCCTTTTGTGGCAGGGTGAGTTTTTTAATCTTCTGATGTGACAAAAGCTGCACAGTAGCATTAAAGACTCTGAATAGAAGACACCAGCCAGCTGCAACACAGGCAGTGACCAGAAACAAAGATTGCTATTGGTTCTTATAATAGGCCCTGAAGATAGGAGCCTGGATTATCAACTCCAGACAATGAAAATGTGTCCCAAATCCAGCTGATCTTTTTCTAGAGATCCAGGTGGCTTTTTCTTTTAGCCTACTTCCAGACTGTTCTACTTGAGTCTGTAGTGTCTACATGGCTGCAGCAAGAAAGGTTTGCTGTTGTGTAAATTCCCCTCAGCTAACTAAGACCAAATTAAGGACCATATGATCACCCCTGACAACTGTGGCTTATGCATATACATTTAAACTGGTTGGTTTGGCTTCCAGAGCCAGAAGTTGCATAATTGATGTTGTCTTAGTAGGGACAGGGAGAAGTTTTGGACCATCCCTTCTGGCTGAAGGATCCCTACTGTGGGAATTGCAGTTTGTACACTGTGCACAAAGAAAGAGTTGGTTGTCCCCTTTGACAGTTCTCAGGTAGCCTCTGCTCACCTCTTTTTGAAAGTTTCTGGACATTCTTTTCAGGGAACATGATCTACTAGAGGGGTGGTAATTTTAAATATCTGAAAGTCTCTAAAAATTGTCCTGAAAACAGGAAAAGTTAGTATATGGTATGTGGGTATAAGCCTGATGGCCACAAAAGAAGTAGATTCCCAGTGGGGCACAGACTATATGACTATATTGGGAATGTCATTTATTGCAACATGAGGGATCCAGTTTTTATTATCCCTTCATGGTGGGAAGCTTTCCTGAGTGGAGTTAAACACTTTGGGCGAAGCAGTCAGAAGGGAAGAAATTGACATTACAGCAAGACTATTTCCAATATGAGTTTCCATTTCTGATGGGCTAAGTTTTACTGATAGGGTTGTAAATAACCTAAACAGAAGTATATTCTTGACGTGGGGCCAAAGTCCAATTTTTTAAAAAAATTTAAGTTTGGGATTAATTATAGGAGGGAAACAGAGGACTTTTAGAAGGAAAGCTCCCTTCTAAAATATTTAAAAGAACAGTTATTAAATGTTTGCTGTCAGTCAAACACAGAGCAGTGGCTATGGGCTGAGACAAACACATTGGAGAATTATTTTTTCTTCAGGGGCAGAAGACCTCAGGAGGTCAAAAATAACAGGATCAAGATGAGGGAGGTAGGGTAAGAAATCCTCTAGTTAGATGATAAGAGAGTGTCAAAGTGCAACAATAGATAGGATTGGTGGCAAAGAGAAAAAGGGTGCTGAAGCATCAAAATTAATCTCATTGCATAGTTTTGGGTAGAGATTGTCCAATTCCGTAGTTGGCGGCTTGTCTGTTGTCTTAGCTAAGCAGAAGCTGTCCTTGTCTGCAGCCAGCTTTTTTGTTTTGTTGTTGAGAATTTGTAAAAATCGTGTTTGAAGTTTTCCAGTGGAATGGAATGTCTGGTAGTTAGGTGATGTCTGTCTGCAGTGGGAAGCCCGAACCCAAGGCTCAGCACCTTGGTGTTTTTCTGCTGTGTTAGTTGTTGACAGTGCCTGGTAAGGGCTTTTGGGTGTCGAAGGCTGTCTTTGTCTAGATATCAAAACACCAGAACACCCAACCTCCAGGCTTTCAGGTGGCACAGAAGCTGCTTAAGTGGAGCCTAGCAGAGGTGATGACACAATAGTCTCAGATGTCTGTACTGTTACTGAGTCCAGGGTCCCGCTTCCAGGCAGCAAGGGCTTTAGCTGTACCTTGCTAAAACTTCTGTCTCTGTTAACGCCCTGTCCCCTACATGCCTGTAGTGGAACAAAGTTGGGATTGTTGACTCATTGCTATGAAAGAGACACACTTCCTGGGAAATGTGGGGCATCTGGACATGCTTTTTCTTTCTCATAGGTCCTCCTTGACTGCATTGGAAGCTCTGTGGGGGCTGAGCCTATGTCTAGTGCTCCTCGTTGAGTTTAGTGTTGCACCTAATTTAGAGTGGGTGGCGGAGGAACTCAGTGAGTGCCCTTGAAATGATCAGCTGGACAAGGCCTGGAGGGATAGTAACCTTTTAAAGTGGAACTGGTTTCCTAGGAGAGCCAAGGCACATGTCACTCCTTTCTCTAGAGGCCAAAGAGGCCGAAGGAAAAAGGCATAGGAAGACATGAACACAGACTCGTCTATAGGAAAAATGAGGCTGAGGACTCCAGAGAGAGCAAATCCCAAACTAGAACCCTGCTTCCTGTGGTTTTCTAAGAATGGGAAGTTGAACTCCTATACCTGGACTGAGTTGGGAACATGCAACTACATGGGGTGGGAGCTCCTAGAGATGCAGCCAAGGCCCTGAGAAGGAAGGAGAGTCATAGTGCTGCCTTTTCCTGAGCAATTGATGTTATAAAAAGAATCATTACAGTTCTCTCACCTGTGTTTCTTGCTCCCCCCTCCCCCCATCTTCCTTTTCTTCCATTAGGGGTGGGCTGGAGACAGGGTGGGAGCAAGGAGGAGAATGGTTAGGCAGGGGAATGAGGCATGGGGCAGGGAGAGGGGTCTCGGGCTAGTGGGAGAGGGCCTCGGCCAATAACCCTGCAAGATCCCTGAACCTGTACTGATCCTCCCTCACCTTCCAAAGATCCAGGCAAGCAGTCCCTTGGCCTGAGAGGACTACATTCCCCCAACCCTGGAAGACACTCACCAGGCCCGCGGGCTCCATTCTCTCCCCAGGCAATAGTCTCTCTCCTCTCCGACTTCTCTCCCTCCAAATCCATCTTCATTATTAACTATAAACGTCAGAATCAGAGCCCTTGGAAGGCTGTGCCTAGATAAATAATGCTTTTCATATTTAATTTACGAGTAGTTCTGCAGCCTCTTTGGGGTGTGCTGGGTTAATTAAGAGCTGAATTAGAAGAAGCCGCTTTTCCCCAAGGAGACTCGATTAAAGTCTTCCTGACAAAAAAAGGAAAAGGAAAAGGTGGTCGAAGAAGGAGGTCCATTGGGGAAAGTGTCCCTTCATTATGACCTTTAACTAGGGCTGGCTGGAGGGGAGCTCAGGGCGCTGTAGTTTAGCTTTTCCTTCCCTTTTTGTTTGGAGCGTCCCCCAGTCTCTGAATCAGGCAGTTCAAGTTAGTGGGAGGTGCAGGATACTGACTGTGATGAGCCAGGGCAGCTTTTCTGGCTGGCAAGGGGTTAACGCTTTCCGCCTCTCACCCCTGTAGCTTGGAAACTAGTCCGGAGCTGCTGGGAGTGGGATGTGGTTCTGGGGAGATGATGCCAGCCTCAGGCCAGGCTCGTGGCTCTGAAATTCCAACCCCCATTCCAAGTGCTTCTATCCCCAAACTCAGCCCCCTTTGCTGGGGCTGAGCAGGTGAGGGCTTCTTGGCTTGTGTATCCTGAGCATTTCATGGGCAGTCAATGAAATTTACCTTCCCATGGGAGAGACTTTTCTCTTCCTCTGCCCTCCACTGGGAAGGCTGGGGCCCTGCTGCCAGGAGAGGCTGCTGTGGCAAGGGGTAGGGGGAGAAGGCTCTGCCCTGTTGGGGCTGCATCCCCTCCTCTTTTTCTTCCACCCCCCAACCCACACACACTTCAGGAGATCAGACTGCAGAACTTGAACAATGTGGTCTGCCCCTCCTGTTTATAGCTGAGGAGGCCAAGATCCTAAAGGGGGAAAGCAACATGGCCAAGGTCCTAGAGTGAGTTGGTTCAGAGATGGGGCCAGAATTCTAGGCTGCTGCCACCAACACACTTAAATGTGCATGTGTGTACAAACACATACATCTCCAATCCAACAGCCCCCATATGCTCCTGTGGGGAGAGACGCACCCACTGCATCACAAGCTGACTCTCTGTTCCTTGTTCATGCTCACCCATAAGGCAAGAGCTTCTCCACACCCTGGAGACCCTGTTGCATACATTGTTGTCACACAGAGTCTGTTGACAGACCTGTTGCAGAGTGATAGATTCTGTCAGCACCTGCTATGTCCCCAGACAGAATCACTAAGTGCCAGACGATCTCAGGTTGTCTCCTGACCTCATTGCCACATGCTTACCCTCCTCACATAAGCCTAGGGCTGGGAAGCAATATCTCTGCTGAACATGAATGTGCACATTTATACACACACACGCACACACACACAGCACAGGCCTCAAGTACTCAAGTCCAGACTGCTCTTTTGTTGTACAGAAAGGATACAGCACTCTTTATGACTGTCCCTCAGCATCCCAAGCAGTAATTGTAGACTGCACCAAGTCTACAGTGAACTTTCTTACTCTTGTGAAAAATAGCGAAAGTGACATGCACGGTGTCAGAGGGAAGCCCTCAGCGGAAGCAGGTGCAGGATGTCCCTCTAATCCGTGGGACTCTCGAGAGGGGGCTGCTTGCTCCCTCATCCATCAGACTAGACTTTATGACATCCTGTACTTTGAGGACCTGTTTCCCTCAAAGGGATCCTATAGCAACCCAGGCTGAAACCTGGCCTCTCCCTCTTTACCCTTGGTCACCTCTGCATCCTGTAGGAAGGGGCTGAGGCCTAAGTTGATGGGGCAGAAACTCTTGTGGGGAAGGAAGCTTTTCCAATTCTCTTTCTGCGTGGACCTCGTTTCTGATTTTTGGCTCATCTCTAGTTTCATAGCCAAATTCATGCCTGTGGACAGATTTGGCTACTTTGGCTAGCCCCATGGAGCTTCTCCTGGAGCAGTTTTGTCCTTTCCCTTTGACACCTTTCAGATATTCACCTGGACAGATCCCCTGTGGGGATGGGCTGCCCAAAGCAGTGTGGGGGCCTTCAGTTCTGACTTTAGGGCTGGGTGGGCCTTGGGGGTCATGTTGCCCAACCCCCTCATGCACGGAAGAAAAGGAGAGACTTGGCTGATGCCACACAGCAGGTCCAGGGCAGACCAGACTCAGACCCAGGGCCCTAGGCACCATCAGCATCTTCTTTCTGTCACTATGCTCCACACATCATAGGGCTTTCTCTGCCATTGCCTTTGCTTTTTTGCCATTGCTTCATCTTTATCTTTCATAGGTGGATCTTGCTTTATACAATGGATAAGTTCTTTTAAAAGTTATTTGTAAAGAGAGCTTTTGTACATCAAATCATGTTGTGGTATACGTTGTCTTTTCAAGGGGAGGTTGCCTTTTATGCCCCTTGGTTTACAGAGCTGTAGTTTAAAAGGGGTCTACGTATTTGCTTTGATCCTCAAAAGAATCCTGGGAGACGGCAGTTGGGCAGCACAGGTTTCATTATTGAGATGAGGACATGGAGGCCCAGAGAGACAAAGTGCCCCCTGAGAGAGTAGAAGAGCTAAGTCTTAGCCCTGTCTACCCCACTAGATCACCGAATCCCACATGAGACTAAAAACTCAGTTTGGAATCTGGATCACCTTGGTCTAGTTCTCTGTTTTCCAAAGCATGTTCCCTAGCACTTTGGTCCTGAGAAATCCACTGTGATGAAAGGGTTCCTTGGTCACATAAGGCTGGGCTGCGCCACATGCTCTGCCTCCCTCTTGGAGATTCGCCATGCGTATTAGCACATTAAAGGCCCTGGGAAGTCTGCTATGGAAATCTGCTTACCTCTGCTTTTCCCAAACTTATTGGACCACAGAACCCTTTATTCCTGGTGACTTGTTCTGTGGAACACACAGTGGGAAATATTGATCTCAGCGGGAAACATTGATCTCAGTGGGAAACATTGATCTAGTTTGTTTTCTGTGTTAGTCTGGATTTTTGCCCTCTTATGTTGAAGTGGGGGCTACTAACACCCATCTTCCTGTCACCCCCAGGCTTCTCCCCTTCTCTCCCCTGGGCATCCACAGTTTCCCTTACACCCCAGGGCACAAGAATCTGTAGTTGTTTTCTCTGGCTCCTTAAGCAGAAGGGACAAGAGTAGGGAGGGCTCATGGTGAGGTCGGGCAGAGTGACCTGGACAAGCTTAGTAGGCTAAGCAACACAAGACCAAGCGATGCTGGAGCATGGAGGAGGAAGTGGAGCTTGTACATACATGGAGGAGAGGCCCAGGTCAAGTCAACTGGCCCTGGGTGTCTGTTTGGGGTCTCTGGTTCCACCCATGGATCCCAGCACCCCCATGGCCCCCTTGCTCCTGCACACCCTCCCAGTGTCCGCCATCATTCTCTTTGGAGCCATTATTCATGTTTCAGGGGATGTCCCCTCATACCACTGCCATTCTTCTGACTGCCTGGATTTTTGTCTTTCACTTCTATCTTGAAGGAACCTGGCTGAGGTTCTGTGAGAAGCCAGGCCTTCCCATCACCTCCTTTCCTTTCGAGTATACTGTCTGCACCCTCCACCTGGGGTGGGGCCCATCTATGTTGTTGGGTTCTTCGAGGCTCAGTTCAGGGTTGATGGCGATGGTACCTTACTCAGAATAGGGCCTTCCAGGCACCTATTGGATGAAGGGGGCAATGCTCACTTTGTGCCCTCTCACAGTGTAGCCCTCAGAAGTGCCCCCAGTACTGACAATGCCATCTGTCCTTAGAGTGGAGGACAGGATGGGTTGCCCATCTTTTTCCACGCACTCTTTATGTGCTACCTAAAGGCCAAAGAGCCCTCTGCTGTAACCCCTCATTGACCTGTCAGCCCTTAAAGTCAACCAGGGCACCGAAGGCTTCTTAAGGCAACGTCTGCCTGGGCCCTTCCCTGGTGGCCCACAGTTGGCTTTTTGAAGCCAAGGGCAGGAGTTTCCTTTCCGCTGATGACTTATGATGGTCTGTTTCCTCCCAGCCTAGTGCCTTCACAGCCCCGTAGCCTGTCTTCTAAACCCTCGGCCAGGCCATTCATTACAATGTGTAAGGGGGCAGCGAAGTGTTCTAGATGTGAGGTCAGACAGTTTGGCCTTGGGGAAGTCATGTTTTGTCTCTCTGAGCCCCAGTTTATGAATCCTCCAAATAAGGGAGACCAGTGCCTTCCTCACAGGGATCTAGTGAGGGTGAAATGCAGTCATAGATCCAAAAATACTTTATAAACTTTAATAAAATGCATGCAGCTTGTCAATTCCCCCACCTGAGAGTGGAGGAACTCACCTTCCAGGGTGTCAATGCAAATGAAATGATGGCACTTAGCCCATAATAGGTGCTTGGTAAAAGAGAACTTCTTTCCATCGTGGTTACAAAATCTTCCTCCCACTTGATGTCAGTTACTAGAAAACCTGGGTCTCAGGCACATTGGCCTCTGACCTGAGTCAACCTCAAGCTTCTGTGCATCTCTGCTTAAAAGCATAATAAGATTCCCTCCCTGTTTCTGTCCTTCCAAAGCAAGAAATGATTACATTACCTCTAGCATGGTGCCTGCCGCATAATCAGTGATTCGTATGCTTCCCTGCCCCCTTGGACAATGGCCTCCATGGAGGAGGGATTGGGACTCTTTGCTGAGTGCTTCCTGTGTGTTGAGTGAATGAGTGATCCAGCGAAAAAACCAGGGTCTGCTTTGTAAACTAAAAGTAAAATCCTGAGCTCCCCCACTGATCGAATGGACCCCTGCCTTGGCCAAGGGGGCCCCTAGAAAAACCTTACCACTTTGTTCCTCACCATGACAGGACAGGAGGTCAGATACATCTGGTTGTATCCCCCACCTTTTCAAACTTTAGACACAACAACTGACAAGCATTAATGTGAAAATAGAGATCGTAAGACTGACAGAATCATTTTGGAAATAATATACCAAATTATAAACAGGACCCCAGGCAAGGGTAAGTCACACACTATCTATACTTAAAGAATAAGCTATGTTCTAATGGCCACGAGGTTTTTTTCTCTAGCAGCTAAACAAGCACTGGCCTCAAGATAAGCAATATTACGACAATTACAGCTCATCACAGTTCACAGATGTTGACTGCCTGAGCCGCTGTTCCACCAGCCATAGCTACAGCTTTGATTGGGCAAGAGGCTGATTTTGGTAGCGTTCTCCTGATAAGTTGGCCACCGACCATGGACCGACTCTGGTCAGTTTACAGAGATTGTGCATTCATGCACCTTTGTGTCCTGAAAAGCCCCTTTGACCTATAGGGCCTAATGGGAATACACTTCCATATTAAATCTCCACCCCAATGCAAACAGAGGTCATTTGTAATATACATGTTTGTTCAATATACATGTGTCAGGGCCACCTTCATGAATACTCACAGCTCTTTCTCTTCCTGTAAACTGATGAATGTTTATGTTCAGCCAACCCTTTCAGCATAAAGCTCCTACCCCAGCCTCTCCTTCTTTGAAATACCTGTCTCTGGTCTTGGCTGGAGGCTGTGCTTCTGAGCCCGTGGGAAGGCCACCTTGCAGTTGTAATCCTTTACAAGAAATAAAGTCACCTTCTCCTTTTCCAAATTTACAGCTGTTATTATTACATATTTTTATATTATTATATATTTTTAATTAACAGTTTTCTACCTGGACACCTTCTCAATTTGTCACTCGTGGGACTCTCAGAGCCATACCTGAGGCTCTTCTCAAGGATGCAGTCTGCGGACCTGCAGGCCCAGTGGGGTTTTTCTTGAGCCTTCTTCCTGCCTCACAGCCAAGTCTCACTGTCTGGGCCCTGTCCTCCCTCCCTCCCCACCGCCTCCTGCTAGAGTCTGTTTCTGTGCAAAGGGTGTGGCTCGAGGTCAGCACAGGGCAGCCAGCCCCCTCTGCAGGCAGCCCTTGGGGGTAAGGGCGAGGCAGTAGACTCACTGTAAGTTGGGGCCTCAGTGGGTTAGGGCCACTCACGTTGGCATTTGGATCTGCACCTTTTCTCTGTCCCTGAAGAGAAGGGGCTGGCGGGCGGCATGGTGAGTAACCAGACAGGCTTTTTTGCAGCCCTGTGTACAAGGTTTTGTCCCTAGGACAGGGAGAGTCTCTCCCCATCCAAGGCTCAGGTTGAGGTCCTCTATACAAAGGACAAAGGCTGGCGTTTGCCTTCCCATCATGCATGGGAGGGTTGGTGGGATGAGGCCAGAGCTCAAGTTCCTGGTGCCCGGCTTCAGGGTCCATTGGAAGAATTCTCTTCCTGGGTCACATTGACCTTGCACTGCATGGTCACCTCTGCGATTCGCTTGGTGGCTGCTTAGTGACCACCTACTATGAGGAGTCCGGCCCTGAACTAGGCCCCGGGCTTAAGAGATGAGTGAACTAGAACTCTGATTTCAAGGAGCTCTCAGTCTAGTGGGAGAGGCAGGTGCGTAAACATATAAAGAAACAAAACGGAGGTGGGCGGGGTGTAAAAAGCGAGGGGATGGATTCCACTTTCACTGGAGGCAAAGCTGGAAAGGCATAACTGGAATGAGACGCCAAAGCTGAGTAGCTGCTCAGCGACAGAGGAGCTTGAGATGGGGAGAGCAGGCCTCAGTGGCTCCTCTAAAATGGATGGCAACAGCCCAGACTGTGGTACCTGGGGTGACATCAGGCAGGGTAGCCCAGGCCATCTTGAGAAAAGCGGTGGCCCAACAGCCCCACAGCAATGACCAAGGGGGAGTCCTGTGGTGGCGTCAGCATTAGCCTAGCAGAAGGACTGGTGCCAGGGCCACCTCTGGAAGCCACAGGCATTGAGTCAGTGTCAAAACGGCAGGTGGAGGGTGGGGCTTACAAAGGGTTTGTGCAGACTGTAGGGCTGCTTAGCATGTTAAATGGCACTTTGCCTGAGTTTGGTCTTCTGGGAAATTGTTGACCCATCAGCAGCCACTGAGGTCACTGTGCTGTCCCAGGGCGTAGGGATGGGGGCAGATCAGAAAGGAGATCACCATGCCCTGCCTCAAAGGCGTGTGCCTCGAGAGCTCCCCCTCCTCCCTGCAGGAAGGGGGCCTAGAGTGAAGGGGCCAGGGGGTTGTTGAGGGAGTGGTGAGAGCTGGCATTAGCTGAAAGGCTCTGGGAAGTTCCCTCCAGCTTGGAGCGGGTCCTGTTCTCTGGCACCATGTGGAGGTGCTGACAATTCCCTCTGCATGCCCTTAACATTTTCCCACTTGTCAGAGTTCACTTATTTTCATTTATTCCTTTTTGTAAGACACATTCGAAACAAGGGCCTGTACTTGTGGGGCTGTAGGATGCTTTTGTGTCCACCCCTGGCTTTAATGAGCCCTCTAATCTCTTTCCAGCCTGTCTGAGCACCCCCTCTGTCTGCTCACTCCTGCTGAGGCCAACCCTATCCCTCGTCTGCTGCCTGCAGCTCTCCCTGGGGGCCAAAGTCTCCCCTCTCCGCCATTGTCCTCCACTCTCCACCTCTGGCTTCAAAGGCTTTGCACATCTACAGACAAGACCTGGAGTGCCCTTGCAGGAACCCAGGATTTTTCTGGTTTTTTTTTGCAAGTTTGAGCAGAGGTATCATTGGTTGGCAGAGGGAGTCAATAATTGTGGGAACATGGGCAGGAGCTGGCAGAGGGACCCTTCACAGGTGGTCTTGAAACCATAATAATAAAATAATAGCTAGTGGCCAGTCGAGGTGGCTCACGCCTGTAATCCCAGCACTTTGGGAGGCCGAGATGGGTGGATCGTTTGAGGTCAGAAGTTCGAGACCAGCCTGGCCACATGGTGAAACCCTGTGTCTACTAAAAATACAAAAGTTAGCCGGGTGTGGTGGTGCACACCTGTAATCCCAGCTACTCAGGAGGCTGAGGAAGGAGAATCGCTTGAACCTGGGAGGCGGAGGTTGCAGTGAGCCGAGATGGTGCCATTGCACTCCAGCCTGGGCAACAGAGCAAAACTCCGTCTAAAAAAATTAAAAAATAAATAAAACATAAATAAAATAAAATAATAGCTAGTGTTTATTTAGTATCTGCCATGTGCGTGTTACTTTGTTAGAGGATTTATTTACACATTTATGTCCCTTGCTCCTGTGAAGTACGTGCTATTACCTCCCCCATACCACCTCATTTAAACCAGGCCCAGAGCGGGGGTGAGAAGAGCCAGTTGCTTCCCACTTCCTTGTTAGGGGCTCTTCTTCCCCAAGGGGAGGGACTCTAAAGGTGAGCTAGGGCGGCCCTCTGCCTCCAACCAGATTGACTTGGAAATCCATGGAGCAGGCCCAGGGGCCTTGGGTAAAAGCTGCTCCTCCTTCAGAAGGCCCTGGGTGCCTTTTTCCAGGTCACAGTCAGAAGGTTGCTCTTGTGGTCTAACTGAAACCCTTCTGTATTAGGGTTCTCTAAAGGGACAGAACTAATAGGACAGATGCAAATATCAAGAGGAGTTTATTAGGAGAGTTGACTCACACAACCACAGGGTGAAGTCCCACAATAGGCCATCTGCAAGCTGAGGAGCAAGGAAGCCAGTCCAAGTCCCAAACCCTCAAAAGTAGGGAAGCCGATGGTGCGGCCTTCAGTCTGTGGTCGAAGGCCTGAGAGGCCCTGGCAAATCACTGGTGTAAGTCCAAGAGTCCAAGAGCTGAAGAGCTTGGAGTCTAATGTTTGAGGGCAGGAAGCATTCAGCACAGGAGAAAGATGGAGGCCGGAAGACTTAGCCAGTCTAGTCTTTCCATGTTCTGTCTGCTTTTATTCTGGACTCGCTGGCAGCTGATTAGATTGTGCCCACCCAGATTGAGGGTGGGTCTGCCTCTCCCAGTGACTCAAATGTTAAAGGGTGTTTGGCAACACCCTCACAGACACACCCAGGAACAATACTTTGCATCCTTCAATCCAATCAAGTTGACACTCAATATTAACCATCACACCTTCCTACCCCCAACATATCCCTGGATTAGAGGGAATGTCAGCCATGCCTGCTCTCCTGAACTTGGGCAGTGGAGGAGGGAGGGGGTAGGGGGCAGCATTTTCTCTGTTATTGGGTCATTGACTTAGGTCCCCACCTGTTCAGTGGGTTGAAGAAGGTATCTGCAACACAAAGATCTCTCTTATTTAAATACTCTTCCTTTGGGTCTTAGGCCCCTGACATTCTCCCTCTGCCCCGGGAGCTAGACCCCAGGCCAGGGGCTCTCCATCCCTCCCTCCACCCTCACTTGCTGGCCAGCAGTCCCCGCTCTTTGACTGTCTTTACCACTATTGCCAGAGAAGTGGGGCAGGAAGCCAGTGAGGCACCCAGCCACCCTGGAATGTGCCTCTTTGCTGTTTCCACAGCCTGGCCCAGGACTCTTCAGGCTGCGGTTGGAAGGCTTTGCCCTTTAAAAAGATGTCTTTCTGTTAGAGGGTGAAAAAGAGTTTATCATTAATGTGAAGAGACCCCATAGGACAGATGTGTTCTGGGACCGCTTGGAAAATAGTTGAGTAATAATAGTTGAATGATTTTGGAGATAGGCAGAGATAACTTGCCCCCAGGGAAGACTTTTCTGGAATGCCTAGGAGATGGGCTGGTTGGTGTCCCCAACCTTCCAGAGTCCTCATTTTCTTCTCAGGCTCTGCAGGATGCTTAGGTCCAGTGAGAACCTGGCAGAGGTGGGGCACTCAGTGGTGCTTGTTGGATGGATGAGTCATTACAGGGGCCTTTTGGAGGCAGCATTTCTGGTTCAGATTTGAGTGGGGGCATGGGTAGGGGTGAGGGACAGGGCTATTTTAGGGTATGCGGAGACTCTAGTCATCCCAGAGAAGGGCCTGTTTATAGTTTGCACCTGCCATGGAAGGACCCTGGGTGGTGAAGAGTTTCTTACCTACACAAAAGGAGCTGGGCCTGGCCAGGTGCAGCCAGTGACCTGGAAAGGTGTCCTGTGGGGTGGGGACGTATTAAGTGGCCAAAGGACTGCTGAAGAGCAGCCGGTCCCAGGCATTGGGACTCTGGGCTTCCATTCTAGCTCTGAGCCAGCTGTCTTCTCTGAGCCTCGGTGTGCTCACCTGCAGAACAGAGATGTTACTGTCTATCTCACCTCCCTGCCTCCTCCCTGGCTGCCCTGTGGTTGACAGGAGCAGTTGATGTGACACTCAAAGTGGACCAGTGCCAGGGGCCTTGGGGTCTGCAGGGGATTCCCTTTATGAGTAGAACAAATCCCTTCCTCTAGGTCCCAGGGTATTTGATTCTTCCTTGGTTCTGGCATTTGTCATGTGGCCTGGTTCCTTACTTTCTGGCCTGTCTGCCCCACCCCTGCCCACCCCCACCTCACTGGCCTGGGAGCTCCTTCACCGCAGGGGCAGCTGCTTGTGTATCGTCACCTCTCCCACATCCACCATAAGACCCAGACACAGAGGTGACCCTTCATATTGGCCGAGTGGGGGCTTCAGAGGGCAATGAGACACCACCCCAGGGAGCGAGGGAGGCAGGTACTGCTGCCACCACCAGAGTCCACAGAGAGTCCACAGAGAGTGCAGGCGTGGACGTCCATGGGATCTGCACAGATACGGCTCAGAGGCTCAGTGATTTGCTCAAAGCAACTCAGTTTCACCCCAGGGAATCTGGTGTGATAAGGAAAGCCAGGTAGGTGATGGTGATATGCTGCACTGAACCCTGGCCCTCCCAAACTCCCGTTATTATTATTATTATTATTATTATTATTATTATTTTCATGGTAACTCTTGGATACCTGGAGATGGCCCCTTGGCCCCATGAGCTTTACGGCCTCTCAGCCCTAAGACCCGCAATCAAATTCCCAAATCCTTCAACATCCTGGGCCCCCCTTGGCCTGTCAACACCCTTCTTGACAACCCACAGTCAGGGAGGAGCCCAGGAGGGACCTGGGGTCCCAGCTGGGGCAGGGCCTTCCTCTCGATCACCTCCTTCTGGAAGGCTGCGCCCAAGCAGCACTTTGTAAACTGCTCTAAAGCTCTGCTTAGATCATGGTTCTCAGTGGTGGTGAGTGTTTCTCTTTCAGATTCACCTACTCTGCTACAGGCTCAGGACTTAGGGTCATCAGCATCTCATTCCCTGGCACAATAATCCCAACAGGTGGGTGTCACTGTTTTCATTTTGTAGATGAGAAAATGGAGGCACAATGAGACGAAGTTACTTGTCTGAGGTCTGGTGGCCAGGAAATGGCAGAACTGGGATTTGAACCCAGGACTGTAAACCAAGCTGGCTCTTTTTGAGAAGCCACAGGCTCAGCTGTGGTCATCTAAAGCCTTGGATTCCTCTAGTAGGCTGCCTCTCGCTGCACTCATTGCCTGACTGTTAACTTTCGGTATGCCTCTGGACCTGGGATCTTCCTCATGACCAGGCCTGGGCTGGGTTTGCCTGCTGACCCATGGAGGGAGCGTGGGAGGCAGTGACAGTAAGGTGGAGACCACTGGGCTGCATGGGGACCTGGGGAGTCACCCTGAGCTGGAAGGTCCCAGTGAGTTGTCAGCCACCCTGTGGCACTCATTGCATTCAGGAGCCAGTGGGGCACTTGGCTCTCGAGGTTAGCAGCTTCTTGAGGGCTCTAGCTCTGGCCCAGCTGCCTGGCTCTCAGACAGCAGTGGGTTCTGGAGGGTCCATTGTGGAGACCAGCCATGAACTTTCCCCAGCTGGACAGCCACAACCAGGTGCAGTTTGGTTGGGTTTGAGGAAGGGAGATGGGCTGGAAAGGAGTGGGAGGAGTGGAGAGGCCATTTGCTTTGGAATTAAGTGCATTGAAGCAATTGATATAATGGCTTTGGAATCAGCAACTCAGGCACTGTTTTATTGTTTGTTTTAATTTCACTTAATTTTTGAATAAGTAATACACTCCCATGGGTTAAGAAAAAGGGTATATCGTGGAAAGTCTTCCTCCTGCCTCTGTCTCAGCCACGTGGCTGCTCTTCCAGAGGAAGCATCGTTTCTCCGTGTCTGTCTGGAGATAATCTACATGCACAAGCAGATTTGTATAGATGGTATTTTAAAATATGCGTTTGCAGGGCTGGGCATGGTGGTTCATGCCTGTAATCACAGCATTTTGGGCAGCTGAGGTAGGAGGATTGCTTGAGCTCAAGAGTTTGAGACCAGCCTGGGCAACATGGCGAAACCACATCTCACCAAAAACAAAAAAGAAAAACAAACAAACAAAAAAGCTCAGCTATTCGGGAGGCTGAAATGGGAGGAATGGGAGGAATAACTTGAATAACTTGAGCCCGGGATGTTGAGGCTTCAGTGAGCCATGATCTCATGACTGCATTCCAGCCTGGGTGACAGAGAGAGACCCTGTCTCAAAATAAATAAATAAATAAATAAATAAATAAATAAATAAATAAATAACAAACATAAAATATGTGTTTGCATACTACCTGCAAAACAATGTTTTGCACATTGCTCTTTTTCATTAAATAGTGTATCTTGGAGATGCATATTAGCATACAAAGAGCTTCCTCATTCTTTAATCAGGGATGGGTAATATTTAATTCAATTGACGCAACATCATTTTTATTTTATTTTTTACTGAAATGCAATTTACAGACAACAAAATGGACAACTCTTCAGTGGACAGCACAATGAATGTTTGCATAAGTATGCACCCATGGGACCACCACCCAAATAAAACTAGAGGATACCACCACCAAGATGTTCCTGTTATTCTGACTTCTATGACCCTACCTCAGTTTCCTTAGCTTGAAAATGGGGCTTCTATTGGGACTGACTCACAGGGCTGTTGTGAAGATAATGCAAGTACCCAGTACAGTGCCTGGCACATAGGATAGATACCGGCATGAATATCATGAAATCCCTGGTTGCTACTCTTTCTCCTGCCTCTGTTTGGGCTCTCTAGTTACCTCCAGTTCCCCTCTGTCTCTTACACACACACACACACACACACACACACACACACTCACACTCACTCTCACTCACACACCGTCTAGCCACGGAGATAGACCAAGAGGGTCATTGTGTGAAGCCCAGGCTGAGTGAATGGCCCCATTGTTCCTGGGCTGAGTTCCCAGAGCCACTGGTGTGGCATTGACCAGGGCTGGGCTGTCTAGTGGGAGGTGCCCATGGGCTCCTGACCAAGGGCTGACCACACCTGATGGGGACACCCACTCCCCCTCCTCCCGCAGAGGGAGGAGGGAAAGAGCACCAGTCGAGGCTGGGGCTGGGCAGGGTGCCTGAGGACACCTCCCATTCTCCAAGCTGTCCACTGGCTCCTGAATGCCAGGGGCTGGGACCGCCTGCAGATGGTGCACTTGGAGCAGAGAGGCTGGGGGCAGATCAGGAATGGGGACTAGGTGAGAGAAAGGAAGTGAAATCAGATTCACTTGTCTCCCCTTCTCTCCCCTCCTGGGATGAATGAGTATGGGCAGCCTGAGGGCCCCGTGGAAGCAGCCTGCAGGGGAACCACCTGGAAGCAGGCCTCCCCTCCCAGGGAACCCAGGCTCCAGAACCACCCCCCAGGAGGCAGGACCTGTGGTGTCCTCTGCAGGCCAAACTCTCCAGATGCGGGAGTTCTGTGTACTGGTATTACACATTATCTGTCCAGCCCACTGAGCTTCTGCAGGATTCCTCAGAGGTGAGGCCTCAGGGACAGCCCTGGCGTCTCTCTCCTGACCTTACCACCTCCGATGTCTGCCTGTGGAGATGTGTACCCACTCTGGCCTGCTCATCCCCACCTGCCAGCAGGGAACACGCCAGAAGGGCCTCCAGCCTTCTTGGCAGTAGCCAGGGCTGCAGAAAGGGCTGCCTTGGGGTCCAGCAGGTGGTGAGCCCGTGTGGGCAAGAGGGAGTGAGGACTAGGGGTGACGATGTGTGAGAGGTGAGTGGGCGGGAGGCAGGATAGGGGGAGCCTTGCCTGGAGGCCAGTGGGGGTACTGAAGGACCCTGGTGATGGGAAGGGTTTATCAGACAAGGAGCACGCTTCCTGAGGGTGGAAGGTTTCTTCCTGACTTTTCCTTCCTGCTACCTGGCTGCTCGAGGGCCAGGGCCCTAGTGGCTTCATATTGTTTTAGGACATGTCACGGAGTGGCTCCCTGGGCACAGACACTGTCCCTCCTTTCCTTCCCTGCCAGTTTGGGCACCTGCCCACAGTGTTTGGGAGCAGGGGCTGTCTCCTGGGCCTCTGCCTGCACCTTGCCACATTCTGAGCTGGATCACAGATGTGGCTCGGAACTGCCCGGCCCATGGCTGAGGCTTTTGTGGGCAGGGGCAGAGGAGGGAGCTCAGCCCTGCACGGAGCCTGCCTTCCCTGGGCCAGCCTCCCTTGCCATGGAAACAGCCCCACGGAGGCCCGGGAATTACCCGGGATGGGAATTTTAATTGCAGCCCACGGTCCTGTTGTGCAGTCCGCCCCCAACTCCCATCACCTCCCCAACCCCAGGCCCTGTGAGATATTCACTGTGTCATATTTGTAGATCAGATTCAGGGTCGGGGGCCTGTCTTTGGCCTTGTTTGCTTTTGGTCAGTCTGTCTCCTCATGGCCCTGTGGCTGGGTGTCTCAGGACGTAGCCTGGTGCCAGGTGTGTTGGGGTGGGCAGTGGGAGGTGGGGACCTTCCTAAGATGAACATGGGCCTATGGCCAGCACTGCACTTCCACTGCAGGAAGGCTCTAGTGGGGAACCGGGGGAAGCACTGGGTGATGAGAGCACTCACTGTGGCTCTCGGGCCACAGGGGAGAGTATGGCAATGGCCAGCAGAGTAGGTTAAGGAAGGTCAGCATCTGTGCTGGATCCCTTCCTCAAAGGCTAGCTGGAGCAGGCTCCTTCCTCAGAAGGAAGGGACATCTGGCTTCCTCTGATCTTTTCTTCCTCCCAAGACCTTTGGTCTTGGAAGAGACTCACCTTGGCAAGCTCTGGACTGGACCCATGAGGCCAGAGGAAGGAAGACGAAACTCCCAGAGTGTGGAGCCTCCTTTGATGAGCTGAGGATCAAATCTCCCCCAGCACAGACCACTCCCTGCCTTCCCACCTACCAGTCCCAGGAGGGCCAAGAACCCTGGGGTGGCTGGGGCAGTTTGGGCAGCAGGTGTATTGTGCAGGGGACGGGGTCACAAGATAGGGGTTCAAATCCTGGCGTGGCTACTTCCAAGCCCTTAGTTTCTGTTTTCCCTCGCCAGGATTTGCTGGAATCCTCTAATTTATCTGGGGGATTTGGTCCTGTAACTGGGAAAGGAGGAGCACTTTCTGTGGCTCCAAGAATAAACAGGGAAGGGTGCCCTTCTCCCTGGCCTCTCAGCCTGGATTTGAGGCTGGGGTTAGAAGTTGCAGCCAAAGCCAGATAGGCTGTTTGCAGAGAGGCCTTGGGACACTGTGGCAATGCTTTTGGGGGCCCTGGAGCCCAAGGGCCTCTGTGTTGGGGAAGATGCCATTCTCCCTGCTTCTGGTGGCCTCAGCCTGGAGCTATGGGAGCATCAGGGCTTGTCCCTTGGCCTGAACATTAGCTCCCCAACAAGGGACATAATGAGGGAAGCCTGGTGAGGCTAGGATGAGGCACTCCTTTAAGTAGCTGCTTTGCCTCTGGCAGTTTCTTAGAGCAGGAACGGAGAACATGCTAGAGGTGAATGCAGGTGACAGGTTGGTCTGGGAGTAACTTAATGTCCCTTTGAGGGATTTACAGAAACCCTTCTAGGTGAAGTAGCTTTTCAAGGGGCTTTGGCTGGAGGACCTGGTGGGGCAGGAAAGGGGTTTCAGTGAGATGCGGTGTTCCGAATCCATGAGCTGGCAAAGCCTGGCAACCTCAGACCCATTGACCCATGGGGATGGTAAGAGGAGGAAATGGGATCATATGCACAGTGGCTGGCAGAAGTAAGGCCCCCACCTTTTTGTTTTATTTCAACAACAAAGAGGTTGATTCATCCAGAAGAGGAATTCATCCAGAACAGGGCAGAAGTGGGGGATAGGAGGCAAGTAAGAGGGCTTTTCCTGAAAAAGGAGACGCAGTTGGAGGCTCAATTCACTTCTGCATGGCCTTGGGTAAGTCACGCAACTTCTCTGGGCCTCAGTTTGCCCAGCTGTGAGATACGGGAGTTGGTTCAGCTCACCTCTGGGGCCCCTCCGGCTCTATTATGAATGGGTTTCCACATCACCTGCGGGAAAGGTCTGCTGGGCCTGTCTGTTTTTGCCCAGGTTTTTCTGGTTGGAACTTTTTCTGCAGGTGCTGTGGGCTCTTGGGCCTGGAGTCTGGGCACAGCTAAGCCGTCTTCCGTGTGCTTGCTGCCTTGTCACTGTCCCCCATGAGACATGGGAAATTGAGGATCGCCGCGGCAGATCTTAAATCAGAGCCTGGGCCATCCATCTCCCAGAACAGACTGAAATAACAAGGTGGGTGGCACAGATCGCCTCCACATGGACAGTTGAAAGATATTAAAAAGCCAGAATCTTGAGCCCCCCAGATCCCTTAACAAATTTCCAAATACCTCAGGGACCTGCATGCAGACGAGAGAAGAGGGAATATCTCATTTTAGAGTTCCCTAGGAAGGCCAGAGGGCTGCATTTCAGGAAATGCCTCTGTCTGAGGGCTTCTGAAGGCCCTGCCACCTGCCATTGGCCTCCCTAGACTGCCTGACCTCCAGCTCCTCCCTGCAGGTGCCCCCACTAGAGTCAGCCTGGCCAGAGTGGCAGAGCAGAGTGCCCAGGTATGTGGAAGCCAGACTGCTGTGGCGCGCTGTTGCTCACCAGCTCTGTAAATTTGGGAAAGTTGCTTAAACTTTTCAGCTCTCAGTTTCCTCATCTGTAAAACGGGAATGACATTGGTTACTTCAAGGGGTTATTTTGAGAGTTAAATAAAATAATTCACACAAAGCCAACAGCACAGTGCCTGGCCCATCTTGAGACCTCAAACATTAGCCACTAATATTAATCTCCCTCCTGTCCCATAAATGAGCCCACCCAGCTGCTGTTTCCTTTCACAGGCTCTCCTGCTCTTCTGCCTTTTTACATTCCAACCATCTCTTAAGCCTCAGTTCAACTCTCTCCTCCTCCAGGAAGCCCTCCCTGAATGGCCCTCCAAGGGTCCACCTCCCTCTGACTTCCAAGGCTAAATTTTTTTGTATTTGATTGTATTTGTAGTGACTTTTCTTTGCTGCTTCATTGTGTAGGATCCAAACTCCTTGAGCACAAGCCCTTTGCTTCTGTTTCCCCCTCCCCCTTTTCCCCACGGCACCTGTCACAGTGCAATCCACACCATAGGCACTCCTAAAACACCCATGTTTGTCAAGTGGGGGATTCCAGGAAATGGGAGACAGAATCCTAGTGTTTCTGAGAGCGGGTCTTTTGTCTATTTTTAGAGTTTAAATGTTCTTCAAAAATTTCCCAAATTCCACTCTGTCTTTACATTACAACCACACCAATCTTTTCATGTCAGCCAGATGTACTTTTCCCTCCTCTCTACCCGAAATACACCAGAATTTGAAAAATGAGGCGCTGGATCTGGTAGTGCAAGATAGAGAAAGCTTTCTCTAAACCCTGACTATTCTCGTCAGCCTGAAAACTTGGGGAGGGATTAACTCTGGGTGAAAAGGAAGGTTCTGATGGCTCAGCCCAAGGCTATTAGAGCTTGGTTTTTTATAGAGGGACAGTCACGATTTGGAAACATGAAGTCTTAGCTTTTGGAAGGTCAGCACCACTCTTGTTAGGCATCTCAGTACGCTGCCACTCCCTGGGTGGGGGTGGGGAGGGGGAAGGCAGGTGGAGAAACAGACTTGGTAGCCTTGGAGTCAGGACTGAGGACTGACTCTGCCATCCCAGGTGCTGTGGCTACAGGAATGCGCACTGGAAGGTGCTGTTAGCCCCTCCAGCTTGATGGGGGTGGAGATGGGGGAGAGGAGTTTATAGTTATGAGTTTGCAATTGTGACCAAGATAAATGACCATTTGGTCTAGTGGGACCCTTGGGGCAAGGGCCTTCATACCATCTGCTCTGGGTGGAGAGAGGGAGACCTTCTTGATGACCCGAGAGCCCAGTCCTCCAGGGAAGTGCAGCTGTCATGTTCTCCTCTTGGCGAGTGAGTGAATGTTTGTTCCTGGCTACCCTGAACGCAACAATGTGCAATTATTAAGTACTCACCCCCTTGCCAGACACTGCTGAATGCTCTACACACATTACCATCCAGTGTTCACAACACCCCTACAGGGTGAGGATCAGTACCTCTGTCTTCTGGATGAGGAAACTGAGCCGCAGAGAGGCTGATCACTCACACAAAGTCACCCAGCAAACACACAGCAGGTTCCTCTGACCCAGGAAACTGCTGTGCTAACCATTCTGCTGTGCTTCACTGTGTGGGATGGAGGCAGCAGCTGCTTGCCCATACATCGGGGACGAGGCTTTCCCAGAATGCCTGGAGTTTTCAAGCCATCCACTGCTCTCTGCGCCCCAGTCCAGGAGTGATGGAGAGCTATAGTCGGGAATCAGAGATTCCAGGTGGAGATGAAGGCTGACTGTTCCTCTGCTTCAGAAATAACCATTTGGTCAGAACTGAGGAGCATCAGAGGTTCAGCCAGACAAAGCACCTTCCTAGTCTCCAGATGAGGAAACAGGCCACTGGGGTGGGCAGCCTCAGTCATGTCAGATGTGGTGGCAGAGCTGGGACTCCTGGCCGTCCTCTCCAGCCCAGGGGCCACTGATCACATGATATTGCTCTGCTCATGCACCCTGCTTCTCCTCCACTCCACTCTGAGAGGTTCATCAACCAGTCCCTGGTGCCCATGAAGGCCAGGCCTGTGGAAGATGCTCAGTCAATATTTGTGCAGAGGATACAGGCCCAAGGTGCTCGGCTGGCCAGCTCTGTCCCCATCCCTCATCCATAAAAGCAGTGGTGGCTCCAGATTGCCACCTAGAAAGCCAGGGGCAGTCTGGTAGGAAGAAGGTGGGCAGTGTGGAGGAGCGGCCTAGAAGACGGTCAGCCAGCAAACCCACTCTAAGGTCCCATTAAGACACCCCCTGACCCTGCCCAAGAGGGACAACTGCAGCGGGGACAAATGATTCATCCCCACACTTGAGAAGCAGAGGGGCGGGGAAGGAGGAAAGGCTAGGGGTGTGTGTCAGGGTATTGCACACAGAGATGGTTGGCTTCAGTTCTGGGTTCTGAAGTCCCTCTGTGCCGCTGGCTGGGCAAGAGGTAAAGGACAGCTGGGCCAGGGGCCAGGCTGGGACTCCAGCAGGACTTCCGCGGCGAGGGGCGCTGGGGGGGCGAAAGGCTTTGGCGGCCCGGCCAGCAGCGCCCTCGGGGGTAAGGGGAAGGGAGGCTACGCGGAGAGGTGCCAGAGACAGCCGGTGCCCTTGCCCGCCGGCCGCCCGAAGTCCGGGTGGTGGGCGTGGCTGCCCCCGGCGGGTGGGTGGGGGCGGGCTCCGGAGCCTGGCTGCGGAGTGGGTGTCCAGGGCGCTCGCGGCTGGGGCGGCGCGGGGGGCGGGAAGGCGCGCGCCGAAGGGGTGGGGAGGAGAAGGGGCGGGCGGCTCGGGGGTGGAGCCGGGACCGCAGCGCCTGCCGCTCGCTCGGAGCTGTAGCCGCCGCTGCCGCCGCTGCTCTTGGCTCGGGGACGCGGGCGGGCGCTCCGAGAGGCTCTGGTGCCTGCGGCTGCTGCTCTCCTCCGGCGCCCGGGGCTGCGGCGCTCCGGGTCCCGGCCCCTGTCCCGGCATCTCTCGGGTCCCTGAGCCCCGGCCCCGGGTCCCGCGTCCGGCCGGAGAGAACGCACTCAGCTGCTCGAGCCGCCCCGGGCTCGCGCCCCCGGGCCATGAAGAGGGGCCCGTGAGGCGCGCGCGGAGTCGGAGGAAGAGGAGGGAGGAGGGAGGCCGAGGAGGAGGGCGCGGGAGGCGGAGGATGCCGCCGCGGCTGCTGCCGCCGCCGCCACCCGCGGGTCCCCGGCGACCCTGACTCCAGACCCGAGGATGGAGCCGGCGCTGGGCGCTGCAGCTGCTCCCGGCGCGTCCCCGACCAGGTATTGGCCGGGCCCCGCGGGCTCCGGGGCGGGCGGGAGCGGACACTCCGCCGCAGCAGCCGGGAGGGGCGCGGGCGCGGTGGGAGACGCCCCTCCGCTCGGGGACAGCAGCTACCGGCGGTGAGCGGAGGGGTGGCGGCGGCGAGGAACGGCGGCGTGTTGGGCGCAGGAAGGGGCTGCCGGGGCTGGTGGCCGGTGAGCGCCGCGATCACCTCAGCCCTCCCTGCCCCCATTCGAGGAGGGCAGCAAACTTGAGACGCGCGGTGGCCCCCGAGGCGCTTGGCTCCCCTCCGCTGCGGAGCGCACTCAGGGGCTGCTCCGGGCTCACCGTCCCACGACCCGCCTGGCTCGGGTCTGCGGAGGCGCCTTGAGACCCTGAGGTCCCCGCGCCCGCACCAACTTTCCAAACCCAGCTGCACCCGGAGGCGGGGGCGCCGCTCCCTGCTTCCTGCTCCCAGCCCTGGCCCGGCCTCCGCACCCAGACCGCTGCGATGAGCTGGGCCCCTGTGGGGCCGGAGCCGCCGGATGGTGCAGAGCCCACCACGGAAAGCCGGAACAACCCTCCCGCTCTTCTCTGGGTAGGACCCGGGGATCAGCCCCTCCCAGGCTCCAGGGACCCAGTGCTGGCTTTCGCGGTAACAGCCCAGAGTAACCCTAGCTGGGATGCTGGGCGTTAAAAGGCCAGGCTGCCTGAGGAAGGTAAGACCCGGGGGTCGTCCTGGAGTGGCACCTTGGCCTGATTTCAGGTGTGCCCCCTCCCCCACCCCGGGCCTGCCCTTTCACAGGACTGCCTTCCTCAGCTCTGGGGCCGGCTTCCTCTTGGTGGACTTAAAACTGCTCTTCGGCAGCGGACTCCCTAGGAAGGGCCACTCCTAGGGTCCAGGTGCCTGAAGACGGGCTTGGGCCGGCCATTGACAGGGAGCTGGAGGCTGGGGCAGGGGAGGTGGCTGTCCAGTCAAGGACAGAAATTCAGTCCAGCAACTTCTGGAGGGGTGGGAGGAGCTGGGGGCAGGCTTGGGCGCAGGAGTCAGGCACCCTGGCTGGGAGGAAGCTGCTTTGACCAGCACAGGGACGTCAGAGGCAAGCAGGTGGGAACGAGTGGGCCAGGTGTCTACCTCCAGAGGTTCCTCAGCCCCTTGCAGTGGGGCCTGCTGTCTCAGGCAGAGACCTTACCTGGGCAGGCAGTTCCCAGGCTCCTGTCCTCAGCAGTGGGGACACTTCCAGGCATCATGATGACCCTGTTTCTTTTTCAAAGTGCTTTCATCGTCATGACTCACACATCACATTCACCAGGGAGGTATCAGGCTTCCAACCTATTCAATTCCCCTCCCTACCGGGTCTTTAGGGAGCTGCTGGGGAAAGGAATGGGTGGATTTGCCCTTGAGCCTTGAACCCCTGCAGGAGGCCAGGAGCCTGGCATGGCACCTTTGATTTTCCTGTTGCCAGTCCCTCATCCTGGCGGTGAGCAGCCCTAGGCCAGGATGCTTCACAGTGATGGGGTGGGGAGGGGAGGGGCACCAGGGAGAGCAAGTCTCTGCTAATCATCCCCCAAACTCTGCTGGGTCTTCAAAATCATGGCCAGGTGCCACCCCCAGCCCCCTTCACTCAACACCCGGCTTCCCCATCTCAAAGCAGAAACGCATTTTCCCTAAAATCCAAATCTCCCTCTTTGCTGAGTAGTTGCAATGCTTTTGGCCAGGGGTTTCCTCCCCAACATCCAAAGTCAAGCTTCCCTCTGTCCTGGCCCCTGAGCCATCTCTGTGAGTCACAGGCCCCTGCTGGGAGAGGGATGTATCCCCCTGACCACTCTCCCCCCAACCCTTGCCGACAGGGCCCTAGCTCCTGGGCAAGGGTGGTGCTGACGACACTGATAGAGGGGTGTGTGTCAGGCCGCATCGGAGGAGGAGTACCTCTGTGTTCCACTGAGTCTGCAGGAGGGGCTCAAGTGCCAGGTCCTCCCTGGGGGCCAGGTTCATGCCCTACTAGATTCCCCTTGCCTACCCCTCTGTCTCCCTCCCTTGCCCGCTGTGGATCTCTCTTTACTTTCCCAACTCCACTCTGCATTGGTGTGGGGAGGGAGCATTTGATATTCATAATCTGGTTCAGAGAAGGTCCCGAAGCCCTGAGTCACTGTATGGTTTCCATGGAAACAGACTTGTTCAGAGGACTCGGTGTAGCGGCTGTGGTGGGGGAGAAGGGAAACATATAGTAAAACCAGGCTCCACAAGTGTGGCGGGACTTGGACCAACTCCCTTCGGTGGGGACTGTGAGGGGTGGGCAAGGCTCTGGCCTCCCTGTCAGAGGGGCTGTCTCTCCCCACCCACTGGGGTCCTGCCATTGGATGCCGCTCAGCTGCTGCTGTGACTCTTGGCAGGCTGCTGCTTCTCCCACGGACCTTCTGGCTAGGTGCCCGGGCTCATGGCTACCTCTCCCTGCCTCAGTTTTCCCCTCTGTAAATGGAGAAAATAACACCGACCTGATAGCATTGTTGTGAAGGTCAAATGCAGTAATATATGAGACACACTTAGAATGGTGCCATAGTAAGTGTTCCAAAGCATCATTCCTAGGAATTAAGTCAGGACATTGGAAGAAACTCCCCAAGCATGCTCACCTAGATCCTTACCCTAGGTCCCAGCAGGTGGTCCTGACATCTTGCTGGGCTGGCCTCCTGCTTTGAAACAGCCTCTCCCCAGCGGCCCCGGCACACCCCCCGCTGGGAAGCAGCCAGCCATTTTTTTCTACGGAGCATTTGTTTCAGGTTCCTGAGGGCCTGGCACAGTGCTAGGCAGCCCTGGGTTTTGTTCAGACCCTACCTGTCTAGGAGCCTTGTGGGAGTAAATCCAGATGGACAGGCAGCTCCCTGCCTCAGCCTTCCCGCTAAAGGCAGGGGTCAGCCCTGGAGCCCCTAGGGGTTGAGGCAGATGGAGAGGAGCAGAAGAGGTCCAGGCAGAGATGGTGGCCCTCTGTGACAGAGTAAAGGGGTTGGGGTGGGGCAGGCCACTGTCCCTGATCCTAGAGAGGCTGGTTCATCTGGCTGGAGAAGCATCTGTCTTCCTCTTGATCAGCCAGAGAGGGACAGGGAGCTCTTCAGAAAGGTAACAGATCCTGCACACTCTCCTAACCCCAAGTTAGAACCTCTAGTGCTCAATTGTTCCCAGCATGCCCTGAGAGTCTGGACAGGCTTGGGGCTCCAGCCTGAGCAGCTGCTGATCTGTTATTGTCCTGCCTGCTGGGGCAGGGTGAGGGGCTCCCCGCCCCAGTGCCTGCCTCAGCAGCATTGAGGAGTGCAGCTAGGGGAGATTCTGAGTGCCACTGATGCCTTACCCGGTCTCCCTTACCGGCCCTTCTCTCTCACTGCAGCCCTCCCCTCCATGGCCCTCAGGTTCCCTGCTCCTTGGCAGGGCTCCCTCCTCCCCTCCTGGAAGATGGGCTTCAGCTCCAGGCTCCTTAAAGACATCCCATGCCCATCACAACCAGCTGTCAGAGCTGCAAAGCCTGCTCTTTAGCTGCCGACCCTTCTCTTTCACAGATGGGAAAACAGATTTCTGGGGTTTGCTTGTATGGCCAGAGCCCAAGCTAGTTGTAGCCTCTCTCAGCTACACACCAGCCCTGGGGATGCCCTTCCCTTCTTGCTGGCTCTCCAAGCAGCCCCAGCTGCTGCCGGCACCCCCATGGACACCCCTTGCCAGCTCTCCGGTTCCTGCCAAGGTTCTACCCCCGGCAGGTCTCTCTGGACTGTTTTGCTGTCCTCATTGGTGTTCACAACACCTTCCAATTTAATATCCTCTGCAAATTTCATTAACGGACTGTTTACTCCCTCTCTCAGGATCATTAATGAAGATGTTAGATAAGATCTGACCCAATGCTGAGGCTTGGCAGCCCTGCCCCCACTCCCAGACTTGCGGCCCTCCAGCCCCTTCCTCTGGGCTTGCCTTCTCCACCCGGGGCCCTTGGGACCTGCCCCCTCCTGCTATTATGCCCCATGACAAGTGCTTAGGGCCAAGTCTGTTTGAATTAATTTTGTAAGATTACTCGAGGCGCTGTATCAAATGCTTTGCTAAAAATCAAGATATATTACCCTGCCTGCGTTTCCTTCATCTACCCGTCTTGTAATTCTATCAAGAAAGCTATCAAGTTTGTCAGGCATGATTTGTTCTTTATAAATCCCCACGGTGCCACATGGGGGCACAGGGTTCCCGCGTTTTCTAAATGTTTAGAGATTCCCTCTTTGTGTTTGCTCCTTGATTAGAGCTGGAAGGCGGTGGGCTGGGAATTGTCAGGAATGCTGTCTCCTTCTCAGGGATGGGGAAGAAGGCGTGGCTTCTTTTCTCCCAAGTTTCTGCCAGTGTCAGTGAGTTGTTTAGGACTCACTGAGTCCCTGCAGTGTGTGGGGGGCCCCAAGCTGGGCACTTGGGGAGGAGGGATAGGATAGAGCTAGGGGAGGAGATGGAGGGGGGCTGGTGCTGTCCTTCAAGGATTCTGCAGGGCAGGTGAAACAGACAGACGAGCCTGCTGCAGACATTCTGAAGGTACCACTGATTGAGAGATTACTGTGTGCCAGTCACTATGCTAACAGCTTTATATGCCAGATGCCATTTAAGCCCCTCTCCTGCCCTGGGAGAGGAGTGTGACCTCCCTTCACCTGAGTACCTGAGAATCAGAAAGTGTTAAGGCTGCCCAGGACTCAAGGTCTGGGTTTCACCCTCTGTTTATGCTGTTATGCTGCTCCTAGCCATTTAAGACACACAAAAAGGGTCAACAAAGCTGAATGGAGTAATTTGGACATTTTAGGAGGTCAGAGTGGGGATGGAAGGGAAGCCTGTAGGGAAAGCTTTGGAGAGGTGAGGACCTCACTCGCATATGAACCTCACATACAACCCCCACAGCCTGAAATCCGTTCGTTCTCTTCCTGCCACTTCTGAGTTGCATGAACAAATCTCTTAACTTCTCTGAGCCTCAGTCCCTCACCTGTGAAATTGATTCAGCTGTAGTTCTTACCCCTAGGCATGTGGAGAGGATTCAATGAGGTGAGGCGTGAAAGGGTCATACCATGGTGCTAGGCCGCCACTGTATATGAGCAGCCGCCATTGTGTTCTACAATGGAGGTCCCTGTTGATGGCAGGCAGAGACACTCATCTGGTTGGCCATATGCCCAGTGGATGGAGCTGTGGCCCCTCCTAATGCTCTTCACCCAGCAGAAGAGGGGTGACAGGGTGAGCCTCACTGGCATCCTGGCCCAGGGGCATCCTTGGGACCAGCTGTGGGCTGGTGATAAGCTTTGGGCTTAGAGCAGGGAAGCCTCAACTGGGCAGAGAGCCCAAACCCGATGCCCCATTCCAGACTGTTTCAGGCCAGATGGTAATAAAGACATTCGTTGGTGTCTTTTTGGTGGCATAGGATTTGGGCATTCCTGGGCTCCCTGGTCATAAAACCACTCAAAGTTCTCACTGCTTGGCTAGCCCAGACCCAGAGTCACTGTGTGGGGAGCACAGTGTGTTTGGACTTCTGCCCATCAGGTGCAGCAGTCCCATGTCCACACCCACTTGGGATCATTTTCATTCTTGTCGTTCAGCTGGGGAGGGAAAACCCTCTGGGAAGCGGTGAGATGGCACACACCTATTGGTATGCCAGGGGAACCAACCAGGAAGGGCAGCATTGGCAGCCCTCAAGCCCCACCAGTGGATGCCCCAGGGACCTGACCCTGGGGGATGGCCAGTAGGTATCAGATGCACCAGTATCTGGGTCGGGGGTGAATGCTGTGATCGAGATCGGCACCAATGTGTCCTGGGACCCTGGCGGCAACCTTGGCCCCGGTGCTCCCTCTCCCTCCCTCTAGCTGGGTGATGCTCTTGGGTGTGGCCTGGGGGTTTTAGCTCTGTGATTAGGGCCAGGGCTTGGGATTCTTTAGAGCCGAGTCTGAATCCTAGCGCCACCACAGACTAGCTGTGCGTGCTTGAACAAGTTCCCACACTTGCTGAGCCTCGCTGCTCCTCGTCTGTGAAAGGTGGCAGTAGCCCCTGGCCTGTGGGATGCATCCCCTGACAGAAGCCAGGTCTGTGATCATCTCTGAGTATCCACGTCGGCAGCCTCCTCCATCCCATGTGACAGTCTCAAGGCTCTGGGTCCTATTCATTCTCCACCCCCAGTCCTCGTCCCCACGGGGCCAGCCAGGCTTAATGTGCAGGTGGCCCAGGCTGGAGACTCCTGGATCCAGAGACAGGCGGGCCCCTCTCCCAGCCTGGCCGGCAGCAGCTGCCTGAGTTCCAGCTCCTGTTGATGTTTCCCATCCTTGAAGCTGGGAGGATGGGCCGGAGCCCCGGTGTCCAGGGGGTGGGGCCTCGGTACTATTCCAACTCTGGCTGTGGCTTCTCGGTGGGGCGGGGGACAGGAAACCGGGGCTTTTCCGCCCAGTGTCGGGGCTGTAGAGTCCCGCCTACCGCAAGCCAGGCTGTACCAGGACTGGCCTGAGACAGGGAACCGGGACCTTCTGACTCATCCCTCCCCCAGAGGAGCTGGGCACACTGGGGCCTTGTGTTGTGGCCAGGAGGTCAGTCACTCTCCCCACTGCTGGGGAAAACTTTCCCCTCAGGTCGGGCCTGGGACCACCCCCCTCCCACTCCCACCCTCCACGGCAGGATGTGAGGTGCCTTCCTTACCCCAGACAAGGTCTCTGCAGCCACAACAGTCAGGGTCTCCAACCACGCAGGCTGCTGGCGCTTCAGTGGAGCAGGCTACGGCATCTGTTTTAACTTTTAAAAACATTTCCAGGCCAATGGTGCCCCTCTGTGCATTTAGTAGTCCATAAAAATCATGGTCATGGCTCTTAATAAGCATTTGCTCTGTGCCTAGCACTGTGTTAAGCTGTGGGCATCCATCGGCCTTCTGTCTCACTGCCCAAATATTAGAAAGATTCTGTGATTGTTTCTCCCATTTCCTACATAAGGACAAGTGAGGCCTATAGAGGTTAAGAGCCTCACGCAAGGCCTCATAGCTATAAGGCAACAGCAGTTGGATTCAAATCCAGGCCTCTGTGGCCCCACAGCTGGGGTGCCTAACTACCCCTCCGACTGCCTCCCTGAATGCTTGTGGGTACCTTCTCCAGGAGGCTTGAGACATCCATGGGTATCATGTGGACATTGGAGTGCTCTGCCCTGGAGACACCAGAGCTCATAAGAGGCAGCTGGGCAGCCCTGCTGATGGTGAAAAATCGGTAGACCAATTGCTCTCCAGGTGCTTGTCTTGGAAACCATGACTGTGAGAGCTTGTCCCTACTGGAGGTGCTCAGAAAATGTAGTGGTTCTGCCTGTGGGGCCCAGGGATTCTAGGGATTGTTCGCAAGTACCATGTTTGTGGTGGTCCAGGTTCTGGAGAGAGGGTCCATAGACCTCACAGTGTTTCAAGTTGAGGTGGGCATGACCCCAAAGAGAAGGGGTCCCTTGGGCTGACCTAGACCACAGAGGCCGAGTCTGGACCCCAGCAGCTCACCCCTCTGGAAGGTTGCACTGGTTGGATTGTGTGTTGGCATACTGCTCACATGGAAGGATGCTCTAGGACACTGTCCCATGAAACTCGTCTTTGGATTTCTTAGGTACAAAGTCTTGAGGACGAGTTCATGGTGGCACACGCACAGAGCTCTGTAAGAGCTCCCTTGGGAGAAATCTTGCACTGGATTCAGTGTCAGGAATAGCTGGACATCTCTTGAGTGGATGCTTTAATCTTTATCTCATGGGTCCTGTGAAACAAGTAAATGAAATATTTCCCTTTTCCTATTGGCTAGCTCAGTAGCCCACACATGGTGTGACTCTTGTACACTGACTTGGCCTCTGGTTGTTTCAGACTCTTATACCCTTGTTTTCCCCTTGCCTTGCCTTCATTTTCATCACCTCATTTTCCTTAGGAAGAAAAACGCCTTGCTGTTTTATGCATTTTAGCCTTAACTAAAACATTCATGGGGGATTAGTGCTGGCTACGTCAGAGTCAGGGAGTAAGCATTTCCCCTCTGCAGTCTCCATCCTAGAGGCCTGTTCGCCAGCTCCTCCCTCCCTGTCCCATTCCCTTGTCCCTTGCTCCAGTTCTTGGGACCCCAGAGCCTTGGGACCCCATTCATCATGGCTCCTGAGTTTGTCCGGAAAGACGATGTTCAGGTTCTTGCCCTGCCCTCACTGTGCTGCTTCTTCATCCCCCAGGGCTTCACAGTAGTTTTTTAGGGAGAAATGTCTGGGAGAAGAGTCATTTCCCCATCCCAGGGCTCAGCTGCTCCCATAGCCACAGGCCCCCTCTGAAATCCAGCTTTATTTCAGCTCCGTCCCTGTATCTCAGCAGTCCCCAGCTGCCTACTGTCCTTAGTGGCCCACCTGAGCAGACAAAGCCCATTTCTGGCGGAAAAGCAGTGCCTTTGACCCTGGTGCCTTGGAAATGGGGGTGGGGAGAGCTGGCTGGCAGTGCCTGGGGGGGGAGGGTGGGAGGCACAGTGAGATGCCAGGGCTGATTTTCAGTACCGCACCCTGTCATCAATCACCCCTCTACTTCCTACATGGAGTGGCTTCACTGTGTCCCCCAAAATTAATAAACTCAAACTGAATCAAAAAGCTCAGTGTAAACGGTGTCTCCTCCCACCCTAGTCTCCTCGAGGCCCCCTCCCTCTGGGACATCTCCCGTTACTAGCTCAGAGCAAGCTCTTTCAGTGATTGTTTATGCATATATACAAATATACATGTCCACCTCCTTAAACAAATCTGAAAAGGTGGTGTACTATTACACACATGTTTTCTGGCTCTAGCTTTTGAAACTTATATATGCTGGGTGACTGTTTCTATCAGTACGTTCATGTCTGAGGAGGCTTCTCTGATATAGTCGGTTGGAAAGACAATTCCCTGGACATGTTAATAATGAAGGGGTTAAGCTTCTAGGAAAGAGTGGGGTGCCCAAGCTTGGGCTTTCAGAGGTTCGGGAAACTTCTCAATTGTGTGTGTAAAATTGTGGGCACTAATGGCATTTCTAAGGGGAGGGATTGTGGTTCGAAAGGTCTGTGGCCCAGAAAAGGTGAAACAAGGCCTCAGCCCTGGGTTTCATGGGATTTCTGTACAGCAAGAGGTGGGGGCTAACTTGGCAGAAGGCAGCACCGCTAGGTTCTAGGGCCGCCACCCCCTGGCGCTGCCACAGATCAGGCCGAGGTGGGGGACAGAAATGCCCAGCCCTAGAATCCTCCTGGAAGATGACTGGGTTTTTCCCACTCCCAATGGAGGGTCCCCCTGTCTGCTGTGTGGGTGGCCCCAACTGTCCCTGAGAATGAAGTCTGGGGCCTTCCTGGGATTATAGAGAACACCAGGGTTAGAACTGGGAGGCCCTTCAGTCATCACTGGATCTATGGTGTAACTGAGGCACAGAGAGGCCAGGGGGTGAGTCCAAGGTCACCCATCCGGAGGCCATGTGGGCCAGTCCTGCCTGTGACATTCAGGTCTGTGCTCCTTCCCTGCCAGAGCACCATGAGATGAGCGGGAGAGGCCCTGGGAGAAGGCGAGGCTGCCTGTTGCAGCTGGGCTCTCCCGGTGCGGCTAGGGTGGGGGTGCACGGAGCAGAGGCCGCAGCCCGGGTGGGCGTGCCATCCTCACACCTCACTGCATCTTGCAACATCACCTCCCGCTGGCTGCATCCTCACATCAGGTTGTAGCCAACAGCCCCAGAATTCTGAATACAGCAGCGATGACGGGACTACGAGGCTGCACCGCAGGATGTGGTCACTAGAGGGCAGCAGGAAAGCCACTGCGGTGGCTCAGCAGGAAGAAGTTCCCAGGCCGGGAGAGGAGCTGCAGGAAGAAGGGGCGGTGGGCAGAGCCAGACCCCGTGGGCTGCAGGATGATTTGTTCTAGGCCCTTTCCTGAGACAAAAAGCAAACCAGACATTTGGTGATGATGATATTAATTGACATTTAGTGAGTGCTTACGCTGCACCAGGCACTGTACTCACTAATTAGTCCTCACAACAGCCTTGTTATAATTATCCCCATTTTTGCATATGCGAACATAGAGGCCCAGAGAGGTGAAGAAAGCTAGCCAAGATCTCTCAGCCAGTAAGTGGCTGAGCTGGGATCAGCAGGGCTGGTGTCAGAGGCTGGGTTGGGTCTATATGCCTGGCATTGACTAAATGCTTTAAGACCTTCAATTCTTACCAGCACTACTGTAGCTATGACCACTTTATGGATGGGGAAACTGAGGCTCAGGGACAGCTGGTGAATCACCCACGCCCACACACCTGCTGAGTGACAGATCCAGGTAGGCATGGTTCAGGGGGTGAGCTCTGTGAATTACAGTTTTCCAATATAGAGCTGTTCACTGCTCCCAGTCTGTGCCCTCATCTCAAGTTCACTGATAATGAAATCTGAGCTTTCTCCTGGGAGTGAAAGCTCACCAACTTGCCTGCTTTCTAACAGAAATGATAGATCGTGGTCTCCTGTGTCCAAGGTTTGCTTGGATTTTTACTAAGCAGAGGTAGAGGGAGGCCAGGCCAGAGGTTGCTAGAAGCCTAGGGATGGGCTCTGGGGGCCACAGTCTGGCTTGGAGGATGAGGGCATTGAGGAGTCTTTTGTAGTGGCTAAGGCTTCCTTGGGAACAACAGGACCTGGCCCCAGGGCCTCTGGTTTCCAGGGCAGATGCCTTTAGCATACCAAGGACACTTGGCCAGCCCCAGGCCCAGCTCTGCCAGGCTGGGAGAGCGGGGACATTTCCAGGAGGGCTGGACTTCCCCCATCTTCCCGTTCCCATTCCCTGGCTTTGCCCTCCCCGGGGGTACAAGGGAATGGCCTGTGGCTGGGCCTTCAAACACATGCCCCTCCTCGGTGTCCAGGCCACACCTTGTGAGGCCGAGTCTCGCTGTCTTAGGGATTTATAACATCCAGCTGCTTCAGTGACTTCTGATTTATTAGCAAAGCAGCAGCTTCCAGTCCTGGCCTTAAGTTTCTCTGGGTGGATGAAGAGTTGGGGGAAGAAACTTAAACGGCCCCCTCCCCAGCAAGATGGCAAGATGTTTCTCTTTAAATAAAACCCTAGGGTGAGTTCTGCTTTTGGAATTGGAACCCCAGAATTAAGTGAAGACTCCTTAAGGATTCTGTTTCCTGTCTTGATGAGGACCAAGGAGGGTGTAATATGAGTGGAATTAGGGAAAAGGATTTGAACGTGGACTTCCTAGCACGTTGCCTGGGCTGGAATCCTGGCTCCTTATTATGGGTGTGAGCTTGGGGAAGTTATCTAACCTTGAAGGGCCTCAGCTTCCTTATCTGTAAAACGGGGTTGTGACAGTATCAACTTCATAGAGCTGGCATGAGGGTGCGATGAGCTGATGGCTGTGAAAGAAGCATGTGCCTGGGAGGAACATTGTGAATGCCCAGCAAGTGCTTGCCTTCCTTGGTGTTATTTGACCCATAGCATCTAGAACAGTGCCTGGCACATACAGGAGTTCTGATAGATGTCTGTGAATAAATACAAAGGAAGCGTATCCAAATGAAATGATGCTGCAGCCAAAGAACAGACTCCTAAATGACTTAAAAATATGACCTGGCACTATTATTGATGACATTCCCTGTCTGTTTCTTGAAAGCCATTCACATTCACCATGGGGCACTGGGGCAGAGCAGGCCTGCACTTGCAGGGGTCAGGTTTAAAGTAGAGGGGCCTTTCTCCCTGGATACCTGGCCCAGCCCCATGATGGAGGCCAGCATCCTCTGCCACTATGGGATGAGGTCGGGGTGGGATGCAGTGTGGTTGGGATTGTGGTTTTTCTCTGATCACGTTGAGAAGTTCCTAAGACTCTAAACTGCCCCTTTCCCTCTTGACTGCTACTTGGTGATCTGGTACTGATTCCTAAAGAAGTGAAATTTCATATTTAAAACACGACTTGATTTCTCCATCTGAACAGTGGGAGTGAGGACCCTGACCTCCGAGAGTGCTTATAGGGAATAACACAGTGCTAGAAGTTGGGTGAGCTGAGCCAGGCAGAACTGCAGGTTTGGGAAAAGAGGATCCACTCACCCGCTCCCAAAGGAGTCACGTCAAATAGTGGGGTGTGGGAAGAATCTTCACAAAGCACGTGAGTTCACCCTATCAGCTGTGAACCAACAGATCCACAGGACCAGACAGCAAAGGGGAGGAACATGCTCTAAGTCTCAGAAGCATCTGCCTGCCCAGTCCCCGTCATGCTGATTCACAAATGGGCTGGGGCCAGTAATGGCATGCATGTTTGCAGGCCAAATATGTTTAAGCTGGAGGAACAGGAAGCCAAATCTCCTTAGAGGGAAAGAGCTGGACTCTGGGGAACCTACCAGATGGGGGTTAAAGCAGGCCTGTGAGCTCAGGCCGGTTCCTCTACCTCTGTGCCTTGGCTTTCTCGCCTGTGAAGTGGGCAGATATTGGCTTCCACATCTGGTTCTTGCTAGAAGGACACGAGCTGATGCAGGGAAGGGGCTTGGCGCAAAACTGTCAACTGAGATAATGTGGCGATCTTGGTGTTTTAATTCAGACTCTATGAGGTGCATCGAGGTCAGGAATGCTCCCTGGTCCACTTTCGCTTTGAGTTTCAGGTAGCTGGTGTCACTTCGGTGTGGTTGGAAGAAGACTTTCTCCCCAGCTGCATTCCCGGAGGCGCCCTTTCGACCTGGAGGCCGGGGTAAGCCCCCCTGCCCTTGCTGACTTCTGCTAACCCACTTCCTGGGGAATCGCTGCACAAGTTGAATTTTAAAGGGTTAGGATTATTTCATGGATTTAAATTGCAGAACCCTGCCAGTCTCCCTGCCTGCTGGGTTCTGGTGTGAGCAGAGGGACTGCGGTTTATTAGAAGAATGTGGTGGGGTGGGCGAGGAAGGTGACAGGAGTGGGATACAGTCCAGGACTCAGAGGGCCACACTCAGGGGATCAGAGATGGCACTGGGTTGGTTGGGGCGCTGAGTCAGGGATGGATCTGGAGAGCAGGCAGAGCCCTTATTGCCTGGCCCTCGGGGCAGACTGTGAGGCACAGGACACAGAAGGGAAGGAGTGGGGAGGGGGCACTGAGACCCCAGCTCCACCTTCTGAGCCCTTCCCCTCCCTGTCTTTTGCAGTCTGCTGGCCACAGGGCTGCCGCACTGGCTGGGACTGCCAGCTGGGCCTGGAGACGCTGGTGGCTGTGGACTCCCCAGCTTGGAGCAGTCCCTCTTTGGTAAGTGGTTGAACCCTCCTGTGTTCTCCCCAGGAGCAGCCCCAGCCCCCACTCAGGTCTGGTAGCTGAGCCAGCCTCCAGAGAGGGTGCCTACAGGATGCTCAGGTGGGCTCCTGGCCCCGGACTCTCAGCGGCCCCATTCGCTCTTTCTGCTTCTCCATGGTCCCTCCCCAGTCCCCCTTCTGTGGGCAGAGGGGACACAGGAGGTAAGAGGGGAGGCCCCTGACTCCCTAAGATCTTCTTTGCAGGCCAGTTCACTCTGTGTCAGTGGGGATTATGTCACCTCCATGGCCTGGACCCTTGTCCCTAGAGACCAGGAACAGACCCTGGGTGCTGGGAAGGGTTGCCTCTCAGCAGACCCTGGACATCTGTCTCTGCTCCAGAGACTCTTAGAGACTCCACAAGCCCCAGAAGTCTACATCTGGAGTAAGTGGTCACCTGCATCCATGAGTTGGAAGGGGCTTGACACAGTTGTCCACCTTGCCTGGCCGTGCTGGCAGCTCACCGACCATGGTCTGCAGGGGTCCTTCATGCTCAGGGGATTGGGGTCAGATGGAGGCATCTGATAGGGACTCTTCTTTCCCCTAGGGATGGGCAGAGGACAGAGGAAAGAGGACCACCTGGAGAACTGGGCGCCAGCTCGTGGGGGTGGGAGACGCTGGCAGTGAGGAGGGGCAGTGTTTGAGGCAGGCCCTCGTCATTTCCTCAGTGTGGGAGTAGGGGGAGTCAGGCTCTTGCCCCGTGAGGCCCCTCTAAGGAACTCAGAGCTCAGGATAAGAGGCTTCCGCAGCTGTCCGCAGGTTAAATCCTGGGGTGCAAGGAATGTTTGTTCAGCTCCCCAAAGCTCCCAGGAGTCCCCCAGAGAACGGTAGTCTAGTGTAGAAGCTGCTTAGGTCTTCAGGGTGTGTGGTGAGCACTGGACAGGAGCCGGGCCTTTCCCTGGGCCCCTTGGAGACCGGCTCTTCCAAGGGACAAGCCAGTGCCCCCGCCGTGGAGGCACCTGACCGCTGGCCGCCTTTGCCCACAGACCTCACCCCTTGGAGAAGCAGCCCCATGAAGGTGCCCAGCCATGCAATGTTCCTGGAAGGCCGTCCTCCTCCTTGCCCTGGCCTCCATTGCCATCCAGTACACGGCCATCCGCACCTTCACCGCCAAGTCCTTTCACACCTGCCCCGGGCTGGCAGAGGCCGGGCTGGCCGAGCGACTGTGCGAGGAGAGCCCCACCTTCGCCTACAACCTCTCCCGCAAGACCCACATCCTCATCCTGGCCACCACGCGCAGTGGCTCCTCCTTCGTGGGCCAGCTCTTCAACCAGCACCTGGACGTCTTCTACCTGTTTGAGCCCCTCTACCACGTCCAGAACACGCTCATCCCCCGCTTCACCCAGGGCAAGAGCCCGGCCGACCGGCGGGTCATGCTAGGCGCCAGCCGCGACCTCCTGCGGAGCCTCTACGACTGCGACCTCTACTTCCTGGAGAACTACATCAAGCCGCCGCCGGTCAACCACACCACCGACAGGATCTTCCGCCGCGGGGCCAGCCGGGTCCTCTGCTCCCGGCCTGTGTGCGACCCTCCGGGGCCAGCCGACCTGGTCCTGGAGGAGGGGGACTGTGTGCGCAAGTGCGGGCTACTCAACCTGACCGTGGCGGCCGAGGCGTGCCGCGAGCGCAGCCACGTGGCCATCAAGACGGTGCGCGTGCCCGAGGTGAACGACCTGCGCGCCCTGGTGGAAGACCCGCGATTAAACCTCAAGGTCATCCAGCTGGTCCGAGACCCCCGCGGCATTCTGGCTTCGCGCAGCGAGACCTTCCGCGACACGTACCGGCTCTGGCGGCTCTGGTACGGCACCGGGAGGAAACCCTACAACCTGGACGTGACGCAGCTGACCACGGTGTGCGAGGACTTCTCCAACTCCGTGTCCACCGGCCTCATGCGGCCCCCGTGGCTCAAGGGCAAGTACATGTTGGTGCGCTACGAGGACCTGGCTCGGAACCCTATGAAGAAGACCGAGGAGATCTACGGGTTCCTGGGCATCCCGCTGGACAGCCACGTGGCCCGCTGGATCCAGAACAACACGCGGGGCGACCCCACCCTGGGCAAGCACAAATACGGCACCGTGCGAAACTCGGCGGCCACGGCCGAGAAGTGGCGCTTCCGCCTCTCCTACGACATCGTGGCCTTTGCCCAGAACGCCTGCCAGCAGGTGCTGGCCCAGCTGGGCTACAAGATCGCCGCCTCGGAGGAGGAGCTGAAGAACCCCTCGGTCAGCCTGGTGGAGGAGCGGGACTTCCGCCCCTTCTCGTGACCCGGGCGGTGCGGGTGGGGGCGGGAGGCGCAAGGTGTCGGTTTTGATAAAATGGACCGTTTTTAACTGTTGCCTTATTAACCCCTCCCTCTCCCACCTCATCTTCGTGTCCTTCCTGCCCCCAGCTCACCCCACTCCCTTCTGCCCCTTTTTTGTCTCTGAAATTTGCACTACGTCTTGGACGGGAATCACTGGGGCAGAGGGCGCCTGAAGTAGGGTCCCGCCCCCCCCCCCCCCATTCAGACACATGGATGTTGGGTCTCTGTGCGGACGGTGACAATGTTTACAAGCACCACATTTACACATCCACACACGCACACGGGCACTCGCGAGGCGACTTCTCAAGCTTTTGAATGGGTGAGTGGTCGGGTATCTAGTTTTTGCACTGTCTTACTATTCAAGGTAAGAGGATACAAACAAGAGGACCACTTGTCTCTAATTTATGAATGGTGTCCATCCTTTCCCCATCCCTGCCTCCTGCCCCTGACGCCCATTTCCCCCCTTAGAGCAGCGAAACTGCCCCCTCCTGCCCGCCCTTGCCTGTCGGTGAGGCAGGTTTTTACTGTGAGGTGAACGTGGACCTGTTTCTGTTTCCAGTCTGTGGTGATGCTGTCTGTCTGTCTGAGTCTCGTGGCCGCCCCTGGACCAGTGATGACTGATGAATCTTATGAGCTTCTGATTGATCTCGGGGTCCATCTGTGATATTTCTTTGTGCCAAAAAGAAAAAAAAAGAGTGGATCAGTTTGCTAAATGAACATTGAAATTGAAATGCTTTATCTGTGTTTTCTGTAAATAAAAGAGTGCAATAATCTCTGTGTGTGATTGCAGGACATTCTGAATGGGTACGAGAGGGCCTCAGCCGGGTCTGGGTGTTCCTAGCTTTGGGGAGGACAGCGAGAGAGAGGTGGAGGTGGGAATTAAATGACAAGTCTGCCTTTCAGAACTCTTGTCACCCTCAACACTGAGTTTAGTTTAGGTTTTTGTTTTGTTTTGTTTTGAGACAGAGTCTCGCTCTGTCACCCAGGCTGGAGTGCAATGGCGCCATCTCGGCTCACTGCAACCTCTGCCTCCCAGGTTCAAGCAGTTCTCCCGCCTCAGCCTCCCGAGTGACTGGGACTACAGGTGCACACTGCCACACCTGGCTATTTTTTTTTTTTTTTGGATTTTAGTAGAGACGGGGTTTCACCGTGTTGTCCAGGCTGGTCGCGAACTCCTGAGCTCTGGGCATTCCTCCTGCCTCAGCCTCCCAAAGTGCTGGGATTGCAGACTTGAGCCACCTCACCCAGCCGTTTTTTTTTTCCTTCAGTCAGTTGAGACCGGGTAACTTATAGCCAGGGATAATGTTCAAAGTCTTTAACAAGTGGTATGGCTTGCTGAATCAGAGTAGCTGGAGGTAAGAATGACATCCTGGAATCCCTTCTTGTGCTAAATGTTACCCATTTAGTTGGTGGGTCTGGGTCTAGGATAGCCAGGGAGGGGGAAACTTCAAGGGGTGGGGTGCCTCAGGGCAGTGGCTGCTGACCCACAGACCTGGAAGTATTTGACTATTTGAATAACTGGTACAGGTTTACTGGTGTCTACACTGGCAGAGAATCTGCTGTGCTTCCTCCCCTTCCCTTCGTGGCAATCTAGCAGGTTGCTCCAGGCAGCTTCCCCAGCTCTTATTCCAAGAAAACCTGCCCCTGGGGTGGCTGCAGGTCACAGCTTTGTTGTCCTGGGACAAAGGAGTGTCTGGTGATTAGGCAGCCCCAGGGGTCCTAGCCAACTGGAAGAAGGGCTTCCTGAGGAAACACAGTCCTGGGCTATTTTATATGTGTCAGGAGGATGTAGACAGTTCAACAGCTCTAGCAAATGCCTTAACTAATAGTGGCTTAATCAAGATAGGTGATTTTCTTTTGTAAAAAATTTTACTGGGGTAAAATAACAGAATGTAAAATTTACCATCTTAACCTTTTTAAGGTGTACCATTCATTAAATACATTCACAACGTGTGCCACCATCCAGCTCTGTAATTTTGCTCATTTTGTAAAACTGAAACTCTGTACCCATTAAACAAAAACTCCCCACCTACCCACCCACTTCCAGTGCCTGGAAACCACCATTCTGCTTTCTGTCTCTAGGAATTTGACTACTCTAGTACCTCATGTAAGTGGAACCATACAGTATTTGTCCTTTTATGACTGGCTCATCTCACTTAGCGTGATGTCCTCAAGGTTCATCCATGTTGCAGCATATGTCAAAATCTCCTTTCTTCTTAAGGCTGAGTAATATTCTACTGTATGGACATACCATATTTTGCTTATCCGTTCATCCCTAGATGAACACTTGGGTTGCTTCCATGTCTTAGCTACTGTCAGTAATGCTGCTGTGAACATGGGTGTACAACTGTCTCTTGAGACCCTTCTTTCCATTTTTGGGCATATCCCCAGAAATTGAATTGCTGGATCATGTGGCAGTTTTATTTTTAATCATTTGAGGAACTGCCATACTATTTTCCACAGTAGGTGAACCATTGTACATTCCCACCAACACGGCCCAAGGGTTTCAATTTTTCCACAACCTCACCAATTCTTGTTATTTTCTTTCTCTTTTTGAAAGTTAGCCATCCTAATGGGTGTGAGGTGGTCAGATAGTTTATTTTCCTTCACTCTCATTTAAAAGGCATAAGCTGTTCAGGTCTGGTATGGTGGCTCCCAGGTCATGTGCCCAGATTTCAGGGTCCTGCCTCTTTCTATGTTGTTGCTCCATCTTTCTAAGGTGTTCCCCATGGCTATGTGGTCCTAGATGGCTTGCTAGGCAGCAGGAAGGAGAAAAACAGGAAAGGATGCTACACCTCTGCCATGTATGAGCACAACCTTAAAATTATAGACATCACTTTCACTCATGTCTAATTGGCTACAGCCTGGCCACATGGCCATTCTTAGCTGCAATGGAGGCTGGGAAATGTAGTCTTTTATCTGGGTGGCCATAACTGTTAAGGTGGCTGATGAGTCCAAAGCTGATCTCCCTGAGATTCAGTTTCTCTTCTGCACAAGACAGGCAGGCTAATTTACACTGTCATTCTTTAAGACCAGGCAGCTGACTTGGAAAAGCCTCTGTCAGGACTGGTGGCCAGGTCCTGGGTCTCTTCTCAGCCTGTGATCCACAGGAGCTGCTTCTCCAGGGTGCGATGAGGAAGTTGACTCATCAGTTGGCTTCATGGCATCAGTGCCCAGATAGGCCTCACTCAGTGCCCCTGGCTGGCTGTTCCAATACCCAGGGAAAGCCTGCTCCAATGGCCACAGCTGGCTGACCCTTCCCCTCTTATAGTAAGTGATGCTGGGACAATTGTCTTCACCTCTGACTGCTCTGTGGTGGATTGTCCCTGAGCCAGAGACTTCTTTCCTCTGGGTAGGTGGCTTCAGGTTGGAAGTGGGAGACACTGGAGATCTTGGCCTTGCTGGAGAGAAACTCTCCCCTCAACTGCCGTAACAGAAGACTTTAATAAAGCTGGCTGGAGCTTTCAGAGGAAAGCCCTGTCTAGTGATGGATTCATTCATTCATTCATTCATTCATTCATTCATTCATTCAAGTATGTGCAGGCACTGGAATTATGGGCATTCCTTCAAGAAACACAGTCTAGTGGAAGGCAAACAGGCAAAAAGATGGGGAGAGCCTGGGTGAAGTGTTCTGCCCACGAGGGCAGGGCTGGGCCCCATACCAACTTGGTCCTGGAAAACACAAGGCCACTGTAATGAGACACATGTTGGTTTTCTAGGCCTTATGGTTCATTCTACCTGTCTTCCCGCTTAGAGAAATCAGGGAAGTCTTCCCTAAGGAGGTGGTGCCTGAATTGATTCCTGGGGATGTAGGAGCTGGCCCTGTGGAGAAGCTGAGGGAGAAGTGGTGAAAAGGCACAGAGTGGGGAAGGCCTGGGGCATTGATAGCTGCACAGGCTTCGGGCAGGGGTGTGTGGGGCCAGACCGTGTACCAGATCCCGCCCTCCGCTCCTCAGGCCTGGAAAGCTTGCCAGTTCACCAAGGGCAGTTCAGCCTTCAAGGGATTTAGTTTTTATGACCACACCCACAGGACAAATTCAGGAACCAGAGAGCTTGCCTGCTTTCAGGATAATGACCAGACTCTCCCAGCACTGTTTGAAGCCTGCACATTCTAGCCCCTGTACCACGGTTCATCCAGTACCACGGTTCATCCAGTACCACGGTTCCCTCCACTCTTCACTCTCCAGCCTTCCTGCTTTCTGGTGATTTCATGAACACACAGTGGTAGATTGTTGCAGTTACAGCCTCCAGTTTGTTCATGCCTCCCTGTCCCCTCACTGTTTAGTAGTGTCTTCCCACGTGGACTCTGGGCTCCGCCACATGCCTTGCTCTGGTCAGCGGAACAGTAGCAAGTGCAGAGATGTGAAAATACTTGAGCTTTGGAGTGTGCTATTTCTTGCTGCCTCTTGGAAGCCTTCAACTGCCATGTGCAGGAAGCCCAGGTTAGCTTGCTGAAGAAGAAAAGCCCACCAAGAGGAGCCCCAGCCATTGATCAGCCAGTTCCTCACTGACTTGGCAACTGTTGAAGATGCATGAGTGAGCCCCAGCTGAGATCAGCCACAACCTAACCCAGAGGATTGGAGCCATCTGGCTGAGCCCAGCCAAATTTCTGACCTACAACATTGCCTGGATGAGGCCAGGCATGGTGGCTTATGCCTGCAATCCCAACACTTTGGGAGGTGGAGAAGGGTGGATCACCTGAGGTCAGGAGTTTGAGACCAGCCTGACCAACATGGTGAAACCCTGTCTCTACTAAAAATATAAAAATTAGCTGGGTGTGCTGGTGCACACCTGTAATCCCAGTGGGAGGCTGATACAGGAGAATCTCTTGAACTGGGGAGGTGGAGGCTGCAGTGAGCTGAGGTTGCATCACTGCACTACAGCCTGGGCAGCAGAGTGTGACTCTGTTTCAAAAAAAATAAAATAAAATAAAATAAAAGGATGTCGTTTTAAGCCACTAAGTTTTGGAGTGACTTGGTACAGAATAAAAGCTAACTGATACACATCTTTCTCTATCCCATTGCAGGTCTTTGCATAGACTGTTCCTTATACCTGGGTTGTTCCTGGTCTCCTCTTTACCCAGTTGATATCTCCCTACTCTTTGGATTTCAGCTTCATTATCAACACTTCCTTGGTTTTACAAGACTAGTTCAATTATCCCGATGATAGGCCCTTATATAGCAGACTATATACCTTACATGTCTGGATTATAGACCCTTATGGCACCTTGTATATCTCTTTTATAGTGTTTACTACAGTTGTAATCATACTTTTTATTACAGGAACTAGCACAAAATAGGTGTCCAGTAAACAGCGATTGAATGGATAAAAGAATAAATAAAACAGGTGTTCCCCCTTTGATAAAAGAGCTGTCTTGTCCAAGGCCTTCACTTGGGAGTGGGTAACGCCTCCAAGGAATCTGAATGAGACCTGCAGCAGCACATGCCCTCACAGGCTGTTTCACACAATTTAGAGGAGGCTGAGCTCAGTTTTGTTCCAAGAGTCCACATCCTTCCCCCACAGCCAGCAACTCTAACTCTACAGACCAGCATTGGCTCTCCTGTTTCTTTGTCACGATGCCATCACCTGCCTTGCTGCTTGTTACAGTTTCCAAGGCTAACACTCTGAAGGAGAATAACAGCCAACAAACATGTGTATAGAATTTGACAGTTTACGAAGCACACTTCCCCCTCCTGTTAGTCACACCTCCACAGTGACTGTCCCTGCTGATGCCAAGGCACCTCTTTCTCGCCAGGAAATGGTGGTCAGAGCCCCATGTCGGCAGGACAGGCTTTGCCCCCACCGCCTCTGTGTTTCATGTCTTGATGACTTAGATCCTAAGGAGTAACTTCCTGCTCTTGTCTCCAGACTCAGGGCCCCTTTCACCCCATGGGTCTGGGGTTGTGTCCTGTTATTTCTTTTCATCACGGACTTCCTCTGTTTGTGTGTTCCCACCTGCTCACCCTTGTTCCTCTCCTTGCCAGCAACAAACACTGGCCTCCTAGCCACACTTCCCTGGGATTCTGGGGCACTCACTGGGCCCCACTTCCTATCATCCTAGAGGGTATTGTGCAGGAACAAACCTGCCCTTCCTGAATCATCCTGTTCCCAGGAAAAGCACTTGCTGGGTAAGGATTTCTCCCTGCGGGAATGTCTTTACTTCTGGGGAAGGAAAAGATGTTGGGGAAGCACCTTCACACACCAAAACACACGCTTCTGCCTCCTGAGCACTGGAAAGCAGGTTGGAATCAAGTCCTCATGGGCAAGTAGCCAGGGTTTGGGCTCACCAGGGAGTCGAGCTGCAGTCATCAGCAGGGTGGGCTTTGTGTCTGTGTGTGGTGCAGCCAGGAGACTAATGCCCATGTTAGAGATCTGGCTGGCCTGGGAGCCTACAGTCTTCCTGAGCAGGGGACACATGGGACAATCCCCAAGCGTCACAGAGCTTTGAAGCACTCCCTAGAAACATCTACCTACCCTGCCTGCCTGTAGTTGCGTCTTCTGCTCCTTGGAGATGCCACCTGCTGATGACTTCTGATTGAATGGGGTCTTATTCATCTTGGGAAACTCTGTGATGTAAAGCGTGATTCTGATTCCAGTTTCATCTCTGCCACTCGCTGTGTGATGTTGGGCGCAGCACTTAAGCTTTCTGAGCCTGCCTCAGAGGGCTACTATGAAGACTGAGTAAAGTAATGCATTTACATGCATAGAATGGTGCTTGGCACATAGTGAGTGCTCAATAAATGCTAGCAATCATCATCATCATTATCATCATCATTTTATCCACAGTGCCTAGCAAGATGCCAGGAATTTGATAGCAACTTAATGAATGTTTGTTGAATGAATGCATTTTTTAGTGAGCTCTCCTAATTTGAACGGCTACCAATGCCCAGAGTTACACCTGAATAAAATGCACAGCAGACAGTGTCACCTCCTTATTAGTCAAGGCCTAGAGCCAACAGCTAACTAGGGAAGAGAAGTGAGGGACAGCCAGAAATGCCCACAGAATGACCACTAAGCGTAGGGATAAGCTGGCCCACCTACAGGAAGATTCCTGCAGGTTCCAGGCACTGTTGGATCAGCAACCCTCAGGGAGAAGTTGGCTGAGTTAACTTGCCATTTTCTGACCACATTCCCAAGATCATCTAGCTTCCTGGAAAAATGGCCTCCTGGGGTAGCCCAAGCCAGCTGCCAGCTATCACCACTAAGTCGAATGAACTTGGCCTTTCTGCCTCTTTGAGGCATCTGTATTTGTGGTGCTCCTTTTCCATCCACAAAGGACTGTTTTTAGCATGGGGAATTCAGAATGTTTTCCTCCTAAGGCCCAGGGAGCCCACTGTCTAAGGTATGCAGTGATGGAGATTCTAGAGCTGTCTTAAGCTTGGATCTTCCAGCTTCCTTGACTGGGTCTGGGAACAGCCAGCCAACCACACCGAAAGTCTGTGGACATCCTCCTCGGGCAAACCCTAGCAGCTGGGCTGTGGGCAACAATGCCTTTGTCCTGCATTGCTTCCTGCCTTCTTCCTTCCTTATAACACCTCAGCCTTCAGCAATGTCATGCTGGCTTTGGGCTGGCTTTGAGATGCTGGGTGTGGCTTTGGGGACAGGAACATTTGCACTAAGGGTTGCAGGAGACATTTAGAGCTATCCAGAAAAAGTGGAAAATCAGTGATTCAGGTGAGAGGAGACTCAAATTGAGATCTTGTTTCACTGCATCTTGCTGCACCAAGCAGTAATCTTCCTAGAGCCTCAATGTCCCAGCTAAAGCTGGGGGACAATGATTGAAAAGAAAGTGTCTTCTGTAGCCATTGGATATAGAGGACTACTCATGTCCATCCAGTAAAGTTTAACAAATTGACTGAATATCTGTCTCTCCTGTCTTAAAAAATCTGTTTATTCCTTTGATTACTGAGAAAATGTGTTAAAGATTTCATACCATGACTGTGGATTTATTTATTTCTCCATGTTTCCCTGCCATGTTTTGCTGTATCATGTTGAGGCTGTAATTTTAGGTGCATGCAAATCTAAAGTTATTGTATATTTCTTGTGAACAGAACCTTTTATCATTATAAAGTGTTCCTGCTGACCATAGTATGTGTTTGCCTCAAAATCTATTTTGTCTAATGTCAGTATAGCAACACCAGCCTCCTTTGGTTTCTTATTTGTGTGGTTTCTTATTCTTTCAGTTTACACATGTCTTGCAATTACTAATGTATTTGCATTTATATCTGCCATCTCATTTTTGCGTCCTACTTTTCTCATCCATTGTATGCTTTTTCATCTCTCATTTTCATTCAGTATTTCTTATTATATTTTCTTCCCTCCACTAATTAGAATATTATATATCTGTTTCTATTCCTTTAGTAGGCAACCTTAGAAACTGCAGATTCCTTTCTCAGTTTATCCGAGTGTAAAGTTAATCAATATCTTTATCCTTTTATTGGGAAACACACTTAATACCTTAAAACACTTTAATTACATTCCCTTCTTTTTTTTTGAGATGGAGTCTCGTTCTGTTGCCCAGGCTGGAGTGCGGTGGCACGATCTTGGCTCACTGCAAACCTCCGCCTCCTGGGTTCAAGCTATTCTCCTGCCTCAGCCTCACGAGTAGCTGGGACTACAGGCACCCGCCACCACACCCGGCTAATTTTTTGCATGTTTAGTACAGACGGGGTTTCACTGTGTTAGCCAGGATGGTCTCGATCTCCTGACCTCGTGAGTGGGTCGTGAGCCACAGGCCTTGGCCTCCCAAAGTGCTGGGATTACAGGCGTGAGCCACCACACCCGGCCACTGTTCCTTCTTTTAAACTTCTATGTTGTTGTGATGCATTTTGATTTTTTAAAGAGACGAGGTCTTGCTGTATTGCCCAGGCTGATCTTGAACTCCTAGCCTCAAGCAGTCCTCCTGCCTCAGCTTCCTAAGTAGCTGGGATTATAGGCACAAGCCATTGTGACCAGCTGTGATGAATTTTTAAAACAAATGCATTATATGTGGTCTTTTATTTTATTTTTTCCAAAATAATCAATTTTGGGGGGACATCATCTGCACACAATAAAATTAATTAATTTGAAGTATACTGTTTGATGAGTTTTTCACAAATGTATAGTTATGTAATCACTGCCACACTAAAAAGATAAAATATCTGTATCAAGCCAAATAATTCCCTCGTGCCGTTTCCTTTCCCCATTCCCAGCCCTTGGCAACCATTGAACTGCTTTCTGTCACTTTAGTTTTACCTTTTCTAAAATTTTGTATAAATGCAATCATACACTATGTAGTCTTTTGTGTCTGGCTTCTTTCACTTAGGATGGCTCTTGAGATTCATGGTGTTGAATGTTTCAGTGATCTGTTTCTTTTTATTGTTGAGTGCTCTTCATTCCTTTGTGTGGATCCAAATTTCCACCTGGTATCACTTTCCTTCTGCCTGAAGAACTTTATTTAATATTTCTTGGAGTGTGGGGTGGCTGATAATAAAGTCTCCCAGGTTTTGTCTGAAAATCTTTGTATTTGCCTTCAATTTTAAGAAGATATTTTCCCTGGATTTAGAATTTCAAGTTGATAGTTTTTCTTTCAGTGCCTTAAAGATTTTTTGCTTCAGTGTCTTCTGACTTGTATTGTTTTTGATGAGGTATCTATCATAATTCTCATCTTGTTTTTTTATCTACACATTATATATGTTTTCACTGGCTGCTCCTGAGATTTTCTCTGCAGCTGGGCACAGTGGCTCACACCTGTAATCCCAGCACTTTAAGAGGCCTAGGTGGGCAGATCACCTGAGGTCGGGAGTTTGAGACCAGCCTGACCAACTCGGAAAAACCTCGTCGCTACTAAAAAATACAAAAATTAGACGGGCATGGTGGGGCATACCTGTAATCCCAGCTACTCGGGAGGCTCAGGCAGGAGAATCGTTTGAACCTGGGAGGAGGAGGTTGAGGTGAGCTGAGATCGTGCCATTGCACTCCAGCCTGGGCAACAAGAGTGAAACTGCATCTCAAAAAAAAAAAAAAAAAAAAGATATTTTCTGTATCACTAATTTTCAGCAGTTTTAATTATCATGTGCCTTGGTGTGTTTTTCCTTTATTTTTATCCTGTTTGGGGTTTGTTGAGCTTTTTGTATTTGTGAATTTATAGTTTTCTTCAACTGTAGAAAAGTTGGCTGGGCATGGTGGCTCTTGCCCGTCATCTTAGCACTTTGGGAGGCTGAGGTGGGCAGATCACTTGAGGTTAAGATTTCAAGACCAGCCTGGCCCACATGATGAAACCCCGTCTCTACTAAAAATACACACACAAAAAAAGCTGGGTATGGTGGCATGCACCTGTAGTTCCAGCTACTCATGAGATTGAGACAGGATAATCGCTTGAACCTGGGAGGTGGAGTTTGTGGTGAGCTGGGATAGGGCTACTGCACTACACAGCGAGCCTCTGTCTCAGAAAAAAAACAGCAATAAAATAAAATAAAAAATAATTTAGAAAAGTTTTAGCCATTTTTTCTTCAAATATGTTTTTCTGTCCCTACCCCCATCCCCTGGCTGAGACTCTAATTACCTATGTTAGGTACCATGACATTGTTCCACAGGAGACTGAGGCTCTGTTCATTTTTTCCATTCTTTTTCCTCTTTGTGCTAAATTTGGATAGTGTCTAATGCTTTGTTTTTAAGTTGACTGATCTTTTCTTCTGTAATGTCTAATCTGTTGTTAATCCCACTCAGTGTACTTTTCATTTTAGTTTGTATTTTTCATCTCTATATGGTCTTTGGGTCTTTTTGTGTTTTATATCTTCCATTTTATCCTCATTGTGTTCATGTTTTCCTTTACATCTTTGAGTATTTATAATGTTTTGAAGTCTTTGACGACTAATTCTATCAGCTCTGTAATTTCTGGTTTTTATTAATTAGTTTTTTTCCTGCTGGTTATGAGTCATATATAACTACTTTTTTCTCCATGCCTGGTAATTTTTGATTGGATGCTAGATGTATCAGTTAAGGGAGAGGCAAAGAAAGAAACCACATTAGTAATTTGAATAGGGACAATTTAATATAAAGAACTATTAGCTAGAAAATGTGATTAGTTACTATGAAAAAGGTAAAAGTACTCTGAGGAATATAGGAATAACAAATGTAGGAAGCCCTACTTTCTGCAAGGCTGAGGAGAGAGAATATCAAGAAGGAATTAAAAACTTGGAAGAGGCATCCCTCCTCATATCCCCTCCTTTAGGGCTTAGATTCAGACCTTGTTGGAGATGGCATGGCTGCCATGAGAACCCTCAGCCTGCCATTGGAAAAGAAACTTGCCAGAAGACATAGGCCAAAGCTTTTCATATCAGCAGTTCACTGGATGGCTGAAAAATTCATTGGAGGATGCAGGTGGGCCATAGCTGGTCTATAGAACCTGCTTGTCAAGAGGCCAATAAACTGGGGTGCCAGTGGGCCAGTGCTGGTCTTCCGAAAGTGGTTTTAAAGGGGATAAAGGGGAGGCTTTATCATCAGCTGCTCCACACTCTGGTTGGGTTTCTGGAGAACTTGTTGGAGAATGAGTGTCATTAGGTCTCCTAAACACCACTCATAGCTGTGGAGATAAAACACACCAGAATACGGGAAGAGAAGATTCTTCCTGGGCAATAGCCATGCAGCGACACCTTTCCCAACCCATGCACCCTTTGAAGATAAAATCTAACATAGTACCAAGTGGCAAAGGAGATATGTTTACAGAGTCCAGCCCCAGTATCACAAAGCTTGCATTTAGAGTTAAGAGACAATAAAGTGACATATGGATATTATGCTTCTCTGCTGTTGAATGCTGGATTTTGTTATTTTTTTTAAATAGAGTGTTAGACTTCATTCTATCACAGAGTTAAGTTATGTGGGATTCTTCAGATCCATTCAAAGACTAATCTTAAGATTTGTTGTGATGGGTCAAAAGAAGAGCTAATTTACTGCTACTACTAAATTGTGAACCTTCTAAGAACTCTATTTAATGTCCTGTGTATTATGAGGTGTTGCCATTCTGGATGGTGGGAACATAAGCTATTGCCCTTTCTCTGTGGGCTCCTGAAATTGTTTAGCCTATTGCTTTCCAGTGATTCTTTCTGACCTTGTGGAATTTTACCCCATGCATATATAGATCTATATTCATCTAAAGACTCAATGGGACCCCTCTGAAGCTCTCTGTATATCTCTCTGTACATCCCCCTCTTCTCTGATAATTTGCCTCACAAATTTTACTCATGTTGTTTTCCCTAAACTTTGATATTGTCTATTCAACTCAATGAGACCACTGGGCTCTGTTTGCATTGCCCCTCCCTGAAATGCAGTTTGAAAAGTTAGCCAGGACATTCATAAGGCTCATACCATTTGTTTCTCTTCCTTCAGAGATCACAGTCCTAGCTTTCTGTTGTCAAGTGTCTGCAAACTTTTTTTTTTTTTTTTGAGAAAGGGTCTCACTCTGTCACCCAGGCTGGAAAGCAGTGGTGTGAACATGGCTCACTGCAGCCTCAACCTCCTGGGCTCAAACAATCTTCCTACTTCAGCCCCCTGAGTAGCTGGGACTGCAGGCACCCATGCCTGGCTAATTTTTTGTAGAGATGGGATTTTGCCATGTTGTCCAGGCTGGTCTCGAGCTCCTGGGCTCAGCCAATCTGCCTGCCTTGGTATATTAGTCTGTTTTCATGCTACTATGAAGAAATATCCAAGACTGTGTAATAAAGGAAAGAGGTTCACAGTTCCACATTGCTGGGGAGGCCTCAGGAAACTTGCAATCATGGTAGAAGGCAAAGGAGAAGCAGGCACCTTCTTAACAGGGTGGAAGGATGGAGTGGGTGCAGGCAGGGGAAATGCCAGATGCTTATAAAACCATCCGATCTCATGAGACTCACTCATTATCATGAGAACAGCATGGGGGAAACCACTCTCATGATCCAATTACCTCTACATGGTCCCACCCTTGACACTTGGGTATTATGGGGATTACAATTCAAGATGAGATTTTGGGTGGGAACACAACCAAACCATATCATTCCACACTTGGCCCCTCCCAAATCTTATGTCCTCACATTTCAAAATGCAATCATGCCTTTCCAATAGTCCCCCAAAATCTTCACTAATTCCAGCGTTAGCCCAAAAGTTCAAGTCCAAAGTCTCATCTGAGACAAGGCAAGTCCCTTCCACCTATAAGCCTGTAAAATCAAAAGCAAGTTAGTTGCTTCCTAGATACAAAGGGGGTACAGGCATTGGGTAAATACATCCATTCCAAATGGGAGAAATTGGCCAAAACAAAGGGGCTACAGGTCCCATGAAAGTCTGAAATCCAGTATGGTAGTTAGTAAACCTTAAAGTTCCAAAATGACATCCTTTGACTCCATGTCTCACATCCAGGTCACACTGATGCAAAAGGTGGGCTCCCATGGCCTTGGGCAGCTCCACTCCTCTGACTTTGCAGGGTACAGCCCCCTCCTGGCTGGTTTCATGGGCTGGCATTGAGTGTAGCTTTTCCAGGTACACAGTGCAAGCTGTTGGTGGATCTACCTTTCTGGGGTCTGGAGGACAGTGGTCCACTTCTCACAGCTCCAGTAGGCAATGCCCCAGTGGAGACTCTGCGGGGGCTCCAACCCTACAATTCCCTTCCATGCTGCCCTAGCACAGGTTCTCCATGAGGTCTCTGTCCCTGCAGCAAACCTCTGCCTGGACATCCAGGAGTTTCCATACATCCTCTGACATCTAGGCAGAGGTTCCCAAACCTCAGTTCTTGACTTCTGTGCACCCACAGGCTCAACATCACTTGGAAGTCGTCAAGGCTTGGGGCTTGCATCCTCTGAAGCAATGGCCCGAGCTGTACTTTGGCTCCTTTTAGTTACAGCTAGAGCTGAAGCATCTGTGACACAGGGCACCATGTCCTGAAACTGTACAGAGAAGGGGGGCCCTTGGCCCAGACCACAAAACCATTTTCCATCCTAGGCCTCCTGGACTATGATGGGAGGGGCTGCTGCCAATGTCTCTGACATGCTCTGGGGACATTTTCCCCATTGCCTTGGTGATTAACATTCAGCTCCTCATTACTTATGCAAATTTCTGCAGTCGGCATGAATTTCCTCCCAGAAAATGTTTTTTTTCTTTTGCATAGTCAGGCTGCAAATTTTTCAAACTTTTATGCGCAGTTTCCCCTTGGACATGTCGCTGCTTAGAAATTTCTTCTGCCAGATACTCTAAATCATCTGTCTCAAGTTAAAAGTTCCACAGATCTCTAGGGTAGGGGCAAAATGCCACCAGTCTCTTTGCTAAGGCATAGCAAGAGTCACCTTTGCTCCAGTGGCAAACAAGTTCTTCATCTCCATCTGAGACCACCTCAGCTTGGACTTCATTGTGCACATCACTATCAGCTTTTCTGTTAAAACCATTCAACAAGTCTCAGGAAGTTCCAAATTTCTTCCTGTCTTCTTCTGAGTCCTCCAAACTGTTCCAACCTCTGCCTGTTGCCCAGTTCCAAAGTTGCTTCCACATTTTCAGGTATCTTTACAGCAGTGCCCCACTACTTTGGTACCAATTTATTGCATTAGTCTGTTCTCATACTGCTATGAAGAAATACCCGAGACTGGGTAATTCGTAAAGGAAAGAGGTTTAATTGACTCACAGTTCCACATTGCTGGGGAGGCCTCAGGAAACTTACAATCATGGTGGAAGGCAAAGGAGAAGAAGGCACCTTCTTCACAGGGCAGCAGGACAGAATGAGTGCAAGCAGGGGAAATGCCAGATGCTTATACAACCGTCAGATCTTGTGAGATTCACTCACTATCACAAGAACAGCATAGGGGAACCACATCCATGATCCACTTACCTCCACCTGGTCCCACTCTTGACACATGGGTATTATGGGGATTACAATTCAAAATGAAATTTTGGGTGAGGACATGGCCAAACCAAATCACTTGGCCTCCCAAAGTGCTAGGATTACAGGCATGAGCCACCACACCTAGCCAACGTTTCTTTCTTAATTTTTTGTTTTGAATTGTTTACTGTGGTAGAGCAAATCCTGTAGCAGTTTAAAGCTTTGAGAGCAAAAGTGTAAGTCCCTTTTCATGCCTTTTAATTCTATATTTAAAAAGATATTACTTTTCATATAATATATATACTTTTGATATATTGCTTTTTAAATAATTTAATGCAGTTAATGTTTGATTAGATTTACCCATATACCACTTTATTTATTCTTCCACCTCAGACTTTCTTTCTGGGATTTCTTTTTATTTTATTTATTTTTCTACCCTGGAGTATAACTTTCAGTGAGATTTCGTAGTGGTAAACTTCCAATTTTTGGATATCTGAAAATGCCTTTTTCTTACCTTTGTTCTTTCAATGTATCTTCTCTGTGTGTAGAATTTGGGGGTGATATTTATTTTTTCAGTATTTTGAAAATACCATTCTATTTTCTTCATGGTTTCCATGACTGCTGATGAGAATAAGCCATTATTCTAGTAGTTTTCCTAAAATAATATTTTCTCTTTGGTTGGTTTAAAAATCTTGTTATTGACATTGGAATTTGCAGTTTTACCATGATGGGAGTAAGTATAAATTTTTAATGTAATGTTTGTATTCACTGGCCTTTTGAATCTGTGGGTTGATGTCTTTTATTAGTTCTGAAGTTCTCAGTTATTAGTTTTTAAAGTATTGCCTCTGCTTCATTCTCTTGCACTTTTTTTCCTGGAATTCTAATTAGACATGTATTAGACTGTCATACTTTATCCTTCATTAAAAAAACTTAATTTTTCTTTTTCTTTGCCTTTTTCTGCTCAATTCTAGATAATTTCCTTGTAATTATCTTTCAGTTTACCAGTTCTCTCTTTAGCGTATCTAGTCTGTAGTTAAGTATGCCTATCCAGTATTTAATTTTAGTTATGACGTTTTTCATTCTTAGAAGTTATCTTTTTTTCTTTTTTTTATTACACTTTAAGTTCTAGGGTACATGTGCACAATGTGCAGGTTTGTTACATATGTATACATGTGCCACGTTGGTTTGCTGCACCCATTAATTCATCATTTACATTAGATATTTCTCCTAATGCTATCCCTCCCCCATCCCCCCACCCCACGACAGGCCCCAGTGTGTGATGTTCCCTGCCCTGTGTCCAAATGTTCTCATTGACCAATTCCCACCTATGAGTGAGAACATGTGGTATTTGGTTTTCTGTCCTTGTGATAGTTTGCTCAGAATGATGGTTTCCAGCTTCATCCATGCCCCTACAAATGATATGAATTCATCCTTTTTTTATGGCTGCGTAGTATTCCATGGTGTACATGTGCCACATTTTCTTAATCCAGTCTATCATTGATGGATATTTGGGTTGTTTCCAAGTCTTTGCTATTGTGAATAGTGCCATAATAAACATACATGTGCATGTGTCTTTATAACAGCATGATTTATAATCCTTTGGGTATATATCCAGTAATGGGATCGCTGGGTCAAATTGTATTCCTAGTTCTAGATCCTTGAGGAATCACCACACTGTCTTCCACAATGGTTGAACTAGTTTGCGGTCCCACCAATAGTGTAAAAGCGTTCCTGTTTCTCCACATCATCTCCAGCACCTGTTGTTTCCTGACTTTTTAATGATCACCATTCTAACTGGTGTGAGATTGTGTCTCACTGTGGTTTTGATTTGCATTTCTCTTATGATCAGTGATGATGAGCATTTTTTCATGTGTCTGTTGGTGGCAAAAATGTCTTCTTTTGAAAAGTGTCTGTTCATATCCTTTGCCCCCTTTTTGATGGGGTTGTTTGATTTTTTCTTGTAAATTTGTTTAAGTTCTTTGTAGATTCTGGATATTAGCCCTTTGTCAGATGGGTAGATTGCAGAAATTTTCTCCCATTCTGTAGGTTGCCTGTTCACTCTGATGGCAGTTTCTTTTTCCATGCAGAAGCTCTTTAGTTTAATTAGATCCCATTTGTCTATTTTGGCTTTTGTTGCCATTGCTTTTGGTGTTTTAGTCATGAAGTCCTTGCCCAAGCCTATGTCCTGAATGGTATTGCTTAGGTTTTCTTCTAGGGTTTTTATGGTTTTAGGTATAACATTTAAGTCTTTAATCCATCTTGAATTAATTTTTGTATAAGGTGTAAGGAAGGGATCCAGTTTCAGCTTTCTACATATGGCTAGCCAGTTTTCCCAACACCATTTATTATATAGGGAATCCTTTCCCCATTTCTTGTTTCTGTCAGGTTTGTCAAAGATCCAGATAGTTGTAGATGTGTGGTTTTATTTCTGAGGCCTCTGTTCTGTTCCATTGGTCTATATCTCTGTTTTGGTACTAGTACCATGCTGTTTTGGTTACTGTAGCCTTTTAGTATAGTTTGAAGTCAGGTGGTGTGATGCCTCCAGCTTTGTTCTTTTGGCTTAGGATTGTCTTGGCAATGCAGGCTCTTTTTTGGCTCCATATGAACTTTAAAGTAGTTTTTTCCAATTCTGTGAAGAAAGTCATTGGTAGCTTGATGGGGATGGCATTGAATCTATAAATTACCTTGGGCAGTATGGCCATTTTCACAATATTAATTCTTCCTATCCATGAGCATGGAATGTTCTTCCATTTGTTTGTGTCCTCTTTTATTTCATTGAGCAGTGGTTTGTAGTTCTCCTTGAAAAGGTCCTTCACATCCCTTGTAAGTTGGATTCCTAGGTATTTTACTCTGTTTGTAGCAATTGTGAATGGGAGTTCTCATGATTTGGCTCTCTGTTTGTCTGTTATTGGTGTATAGGAATGCTTGTGATTTTTGCACATTGATTTTGTATCCTGAGACTTTGCTGAAGTTGCTTATCAGCTTCAGGAGATTTTGGGCTGAGACGATGGGGCTTTCTAAATATACAGTCATGTCATCTTCAAACAGGGACAATTTGACTTCTTTTTCTAATTGAATACTCTTTATTTCTTTCTCTTGCCTGATTGCCCTGGCCAGAACTTCCAACACTATGTTTAGTAGGAGTGGTGAGAGAGGGCATCCCCATCTTGTGCCAGTTTTCAAAGGGAAAGTTTCCAGTTTTTGCCCATTCAGTATGATATTAGCTGTGGGTTTGTCATGAATAGCTCTTATTATTTTGAGATACGTCCCATCAATACCTAGTTTATTGAGAGTTTTTAGCGTGAAGGGCTGTAGAATTTTGTCAAAGGCCTTTTCTGCATCTATTGAGATAATCATGTGGTTTTTGTCTTTGGTTCTGTTTATGTGATGGATTATGTTTATTGATTTGCGTATGTTGAACTAGCCTTGGATCCCAGGGATGAAGCCAACATGACCTTGGTGGATAAGCTTTTTGATGTGCTGCTGGATTCGGTTTGCCAGTATTTTATTGAGGATTTTTGCATCAGTGTTCATCAGGGATATTGGTGTAAAATTCTCTTTTTTTGTTGTGTCTCTGCCAGTCATTGGTATCAGGATGGTGCTGGCCTCATAAAATGAGTTAGGGAGGATTCCCTCTTTTTCTATTGATGGGAATAGTTTCCGAAGGAATGGTACCAGCTCCTCTTTGAACCTCTGGTAGTATTCGGCTGTGAATCCATCTGGTCTTGGACTTTTTTTGGTTGGTAGGCTATTAATTACTGCCTGAATTTCAGAGCCTGTTATTGGTCTATTCAGGGATTCAACATCTTCCTGCTTTAGTCTTGGGAGGGTGTATGTGTCCAGGAATTTATCCATTTCTTCTAGACTTTCTAGTTTATTTGTGTAGAGGTGTTTGTAGTATTCTCTGATGGTAGTTTGTATTTCTGTGGGATCAGTGATGATAGCCCCTTTATCATTTTTTATTGCGTCTATTTGATTCTTCTCTCTTTTCTTCTTTATTAGTCTTGCTAGTGGTCTATTTTGTTGATCTTTTCAAAAAACCAGCTCCTGGATTCATTGATTTTTTGAAGACTTTTTTGTGTCTTTATCTCCTTCAGTTTTGCTCTAATCTTCATTATTTCTTGCCTTCTGCTGGCTTTTGAATTTGTTTGCTCTTGCTTCTCTAGTTCTTTTAATTGTGATGTTAGGGTGTCAATTTTAGATTTTTCCTGCTTTCTCTTGTGTGCATTTAGCATTATAAATTTCCCTCTACACACTACTTTAAATGTGTCCCAGAGATTCTGTACGTTGTGTCTTTGTTCTCATTGGTTTCAAATAACATCTTTATTTCTGCCTTAATTTCATTATGTACCCAGTAGTCATTCAGGAGCAGGTTGTTCAGTTTCCATGTAGTTGTGTGGTTTTGAGTCAGTTTCTTAATCCTGAGTTCTAATTTGATTGCACTGTGGTCTCAGAGACAGTTTGTTGTGATTTCTGTTCTTTTACATTTGCTGAGGAGTGCTTTACTTCCAACTCTGTGGTCAATTTTGGAATAAGTGCAATGTGGTGCTGAGAAGAATGTATATTCTCTTGATTTGGGGTGGAGAATTCTGTAGATGTCTATTAGGTCTGCTTGGTGCAGCGCTGAGTTCAGGTCCTGGATATCCTTGTTAACCTTCTATCTCATTGATCTGTCTAATATTGACAGTGAGGTGTTAAAGTCTCCCATTATTATTGTGTGGGAGCCTAAGTCTCTTTGTAGGTCTCTAAGGACTTGTTTTGTGAATCTGGGTGCTCCTGTATTGGGTGCATATATATTTAGGATAGTTAGCTCTTCTTGTTGAATTGTTCCCTTTACCATTACGTAATGGCCTTCTTTATTGCTTTTTATCTTTGTTGGTTTAAAAGTCTGTTTTATCAGAGACTAGGATTGCAATCCCTGCTTTTTTTTGCTTTCCATTTGCTTGGTAGATCTTCCTCCATCCCTTTATTTTGAGCCTATGTCTATCTCTGCACATGAGATGGGTCTCCTGAATACAGCACACTGATGGGTCTTGACTATCCAATTTGCCAGTCTGTGTCTTTTAATTGGGGCAGTTAGCCCAATTACATTTAGGGTTAATATTGTTATGTGTGAATTTGATCCTATCGCTATGATGTTAGCTGGTTATTTTGCCCATTACTTGATGGAGTTTCTTCCTAGCATTGATGGTCTTTACAATTTGGCATATTTTTGCAGTGGCTGGTACCAGTTGTTCCTTTCCATGTTTAGTGCTTCCTTCAGGAGCTCTTGTAAGGCAGGCCTGGTGGTGACAAAATCTCTCAGCATTTGCTTGTCTGTAAAGGATTTTATTTCTCCTTCACTTATGAAGCTTAGTTTGGCTGGATATGAAATTCTGGGTTGAAAATTATTTTCTTTAAGAATGTTGAATATTGGCCCCCACTCTCTTCTGGCTTGTAGAGTTTCTGCTGAGAGATCCACTGTTAGTCTGATGGGCTTCCCTTTGTGGGTAACCTGACCTTTCTTTCTAGCTGCCCTTAATATTTTTTCCTTCATTTCAACCTTGAGGAATCTGACAATTATGTGGCTTGGGGTTGCTCTTCTCGAGGAGTATCTTCGTGGTCTCTGTATTTCCTGAATTTGAATGTTGGCCTGCCTTGCTAGGTTGGGGAAGTTCTCCTGGGTAATATACTGAAGAGTGTTTTCCAACTTGGTTCCATTCTCCCCATCACTTTCAGGTAAACCAATCAAACGTAGACTTGTTTTTTTCACATAGTCCCATATTTCTTGGAAGCTTTGTTTGTGTCTTTTTACTCTTTTTTCTCTAAACTTCTCTTCTCACTTCATTTCATTAATTTGATCTTCAATCACGGATACCCTTTCTTCCACTTGATTGAATGGGCTACTGAAGCTTGTGCATGCATCACGTAGTTCTCATGCTATGGTTTTCAGCTCCATCAGGTCATTTAAGGTCTTCTCTACACTGATTATTCTAGTTAGTCATTCGTCTAATCTTTTTTCAAGGTTTTTGTCTTCCTTGCGATGGGTTCCATCATCCTCCTTTAGCTCGGAGAAGTTTGTTATTACCAATCTTCTGAAGCCTACTTCTGTCAACTCGTCAAAGTCATTCTCCATCCAGCTTTGTTCCATTGCTGGTGAGGAGCCGCGATTCTTTACAGGAGAAGAGGTGCTCTGGTTTTTAGAATTTTCAGCTTTTCTGCTCTGGTTTCTCCCCAACTTTGTGGTTTTATCTACCTTTGGTCTTTGATGACGGTGATCTACAGATGGGGTTTTGGTGTGGATGTCCTTTTTGTTGATGTTGATGCTATGCCTTTCTGTTTGTTAGTTTTCCTTCTAATGGTCAGGTCCCTCAGCTGCAGGTCTGTTGGAGTTTGCTGGAGGTCCACTCCAGACCCTGGTTTCCTGGGTATCACCAGCGGAGGCTGCAGAACAGCAAATATTGCAGAACAGCAAATATTGCTGCCTGATTCTTCCTCTGGAAGCTTTGTCTCAGAGGGGCACCTGGCTGTATGAGGTGTCAGTAGGCCCCTACTGGGAGATATCTCCCAGTTAGGCTACACAGGCTTCAGGGACCCACTTGAGGAGGCAGTCTGTCTGTTCTCAGAGCTCAAACACCATGCTGGGAGAACCACTCTTCTCTTCAGAGCTGTCAGACCGGAACTTTGAAGTCTGCAGAAATTTCTGCTGCCTTTTGTTGAACTATGCCCTGCCCCCAGAGATGGAGTCTACAGAGGGAGGCAGGCCTGACGTGGGCTCGACCCAGTTCAAGCTTCCCTGCCCCTTTGTTTTCCTACTCAAGCGTCAGCAATGGTGGACGCCCCTCCCCCAGCCATGCTGCTGCCTGGCAGTTCGATCTTGGACTGCTGCACTAGCAGTGAGCAAGGCTCTGTGGGCATGGGACCCGCTGAGCCAAGCGTGGGATATAATCTCCTGGTGTGCTGTTTGCTAAGACCGTTGGAAAAGTGCAGTATTAAGACAAGAGTGTCCCAATTTTCCCAGTACAGTCTGTCACAGTTTCCCTTGGCTAGGAAAGGGAAAACCCCTGACTTTTTGCACTTCCCTGGTGAGGTGATGCCCTGCTCTGCTTTGGCTCACCCTCTGTGGGCTGCACCCGCTGTCCAACAAATCCCAGTGAGATGAACCAGGTACATCAGTTGGAAATGCAGAAATCACCCATCTTCTGCGTCTATCATGCTGGGGGCTGCAGACCAGAGCTCTTCCTATTTGGCCATTGGAACAGACCAGAGAAGTTACCTTTTACTTTATCAATGTTGCTTAGTTATTCTTTACTGTTTCTTTTCTTGTTCTCTGTACAAATTTTAAAGTGTATTTTTTATTTTTTAAAAAGCAATACACATAATTCTTTTATATTTTATTCAATAAGTCTAATACCTGTGTCCTTCGCAAGTCTGTTCTATGGTCAATTGTTTCTGTTGCTTCTTTGTTATGATGCCTTGTTTCCTTGTGTGTTTTGGTTAATTTTGTACTGCAAGTAGCCCATTTTCCTTTGATTTGTGCTTATGGAAATTTGTGAGAGCTAGGATTGTAGAGGCTTCTTCCAAAGAGTATTTATTTTTTGCTCCTGTTGGGCTCCTGGGGGCACTACATGGTAGCAACCACTCCAAATTAAATTCTTGACTTGTGGGGTCTTGAACAACCCAGATAGTATGAAACTGGCTTACAAACTTGTGTAAGAAGTGGCTGATTGTTCCAGATTTTTAGTACTTTTTCCGTTTTCCACTTAGTGCTTAGTTTTAAGGCAATCCACTTTCCTTGTAGTCCTCATGAAGGAGAGTTCCTTGATATTTCTCCTTAGTCCCAAACCTGAGAGCAGCCCCTTGGAAGTCTCAGCTATTCCTTGGGAGAAACCCTTGTCAGACTTTCCAACTTGGGAAGATCCTGGGCTTTGTTAGCTCTTCTTTGATTGCTAGGATCCTGGGAATACCAAAACTCTGTTTCACAGGGTTCAGTAAACGTCCTCTGGGAAAACATCAGCTGCTTTTCTCCTGTTACCTTTCTGGTTTCTACCTTCACTGTATTTCTTGCCTTGTGCATTATTTACTTTCTTGCCAGCTTATCTTACATATAAGAAGATCTTTTATTATTTTTTCTAGACTTTTAAATCTGTTTTCAATAGCAGAGTCATTCCAGGCATCTGGCATTTAATATTACCAAAAACAGAACTACTGGGGTCATGCTTGGTGTTCTTTCCTATTACCTAGCACATAGTAGGTCCTCAGACACTATTTGGTAAGTAAATGAATGAACAAGAGGATGAATGAACATGTAGGCACGCTGCTTTGCCTGCATGAAATCTTGGAAACACCATGAGGTCAGAGACCTTGCCTGATGAGTTTATCACTGCCTGAAACTTTATGTAATGACCTATGCCAGGGTCCAGCTGATGTCAACTGATCTTGACTCAGACTGGTCTGGAGGCATAATGGGAAATTTTTTCCCATAGGCAACCCTTGCCCTATGCATAAAGCAACTCTTCTAATCTGTGGGATGTTGGAGATGGATGATTTTCAAATGATGAGGATGGGTTTCAGTGACTGTTCTCTGTTCTTTTCCTGGTTACTCTGGGGCTGTTGGCTGCAAATCTTCTCTCATGGTGATGGAGTGTTGTCCTTGGTCTCCTCGGGGCTGTGTCCAAGCCCTTGCAAGTCAAAGTGTGATCCACAGACCACATCTACATCTGCTAGGAGCTTGTTTGAAATGTGAAATCTTGGGCCCCATCCCAGACTTACTGGTTCAGAATCTTCACTTTTAACAAGGTCCCTGGGTTATTTATGTGCACATGAAAGTTTGAGAAACATTGCTCTTAGAAGTTTCCAATAGGTGTGTGCTGTGAATAGGTTACAGGTGTGCAATAAATGGGCTACAGGTGTGCACTGAGTGGGTTACAGGCGTGCGGCGAGGAACTGATTCTTAACAGCCTTCAGATGTTTGTGTAGGATGACTGATATAGTTTGTCTGTGTCCCCACCCAAATCTCATCTTGAATTGTAGCTCCCACAATTTCCACCTGTCGTGGGAGGGACCTGGTGGGAGGTAATTGAATCATGGGGGCAGGTCTTTCCTGTACTGAACTCCTGATAGTGAATAAGTCTCACGAGGTCTGATGGTTTTATAAAAGGGAGTTTCCCTGTACAAATTCTCTAATTCTCTCTTGCTGTGGCCATGTGAGAAGTGCCTTTCAGCTTCCGCCATGATTGTGAGGTGTCCCCAGCCACGTGGAACTGTGAGTTCATTAAACCTCTTTTTCTTCCCAGTTTTGGCTATGTCTTTATCAGCCCCATGAAAATGGTCTAGTACAATGGCCAACACATCTTGGTTTGCCTGGGATTTTGCCAATTTTAGCATTGAAAGAACTATATTCTTGGAAACCTATGAGATCCAGGCTAACTGGGATGATTGGTCACCTTACCAGATGAGACTGAAAGCTCAGTGTCTAGTCCAATGAAGCGGGTGACAGGGAAGCTGCATAGAGTCTCTAGCATGGAGCAGCTCTAGAAGAAGTCTCCAAATTTCTGTCTTTTTATAAATTGGCAACTTTAACCTATTTGCAGGTGATGTTCCCTTTTAGTGGCATCCTTGTTAGCTACAGCGAGAGAGCTCTAGCAATACACGCACATTCTGGAAATTAGAACTTCGTCATTATTTTTAAATACTTGATATAAAACGTTTGATTGCATTCACAATCCATTCACTTTATCATAAGAAATTTCAACATTACATTTGTCAAAGAAAGAAAAGGAAGAGCTGTTAGATTCTTTTAATAAAATTTCAAATGTTCTACATTTTTGACTGGTTATAAAATGGTCTGACATTTTTTATTATGTACTTGTGTGAACAAAAGTTTCCTGTTGATAGTGACTTTCAAGAATTTGAAGAGATCATCATTAAAAAGCCCCGGTCAAGAATTGCATATGGCCATTTCACACATGAAGCCTGACATGAAAAAAACCTGTGTTCATGGAAGAAAGCTCAACTTTCTCATTACATTTTTTGAAAAGATTTTATTGGGAAGTTTTATACATATTCAATTTTTAATATTCTTCCTATTACTTTGTACTTATTTTTCCTATCAAAATTATATACGAAAAAGTAATATAGTTTTTTTCACCCAGCTTCCTGTAGATGCTCCCAAATTACCTCCACTTTACCCCAATGTGCCATGCAAATGTTATCATGTTCTCTGTGTGCGGAGGCATAAGTGCCTTGGAAATCTTCCTCTAACCTTCCGAGCTCCCCACTTCTTTGAACTGATTGGGATCCCTCTATCCACTGGGGGAAGCAGCAAGGCAAATCGTCACACCCTCCAGGAATCTCCCCTCCCTGCCTTTCCTCTGCCCTCTGATCTCCCTCTGTCCCTGTGAGGGACCCCTTCTTTAGTGAAAGAAGCATCTCAGCTGCCTCAAATGGCTGCCATGGCAAACATAGTGCTGCGAGGAGCAGGGGTGGCCTGACTTGGGGGTGGGCTTCAATGCAGAGCTGCTCCTGCTTTCGGGGCAAAATTGTGATGGAGGGTAGATGGGGTCAGAGCACTCATGGCCTGACCTGAACTCCCTGCATGCAGGCCTGCTGAAGACACCCCCTGACATGGGGTCCCCCAGACACTTGGCTCCCACACTTCCTGGATGGCTTCAGGGTCTCCTCAAAAGATGATTCATCATAAGGCCATTCTCTGACCACAGCTGGTTTCCACTGGCCTGTTTTTCTAGGGCCCCAAGAGTATATCTTACCTCACTCCTTGCACTACTAGTAGCTTGAACTTGACTTCTGCCTCCAGAGTTTTCTAGAACAACTTGACTGGCACAGGTGATGGGGGGCTTATGCCTGGGCTTTGGAGTCAGAAAGATGTGGGTTCAAGTGTTGGTGCTGCCACTTACTAGCTCTGGGATCTAGTGCCTGGCATTAAGTGCTCAACTAATGAGGATTGCTGTTATTATAGTTGACCCTTGAATAACATGGGGTTGAACTGCGCAGGTCTACTTATACATGAATTTTCTTCTGCCTCTGTCACCCCTGAGACAGCAAGACCAGCACTCTTCTTTCTCCTCTTCTTCAGCCTACTCGACGTGAAGACAATGAAAATAAAGACCTTTATGATGATTCACTTTCACTTAATAGACAGTAAATATATTTTCTCTTCCTTTTGATTTTCCAAATGTATGATTTTCCGATTTTCTGAAAATGTTATATTTTCCTTTCTCTCACTTACTTTATTGTAAGAATACAGTATCTAATATATATATAACACACAAAATATGTGTTAATTGACTGTTTCTGTTATTGGTAAGCCCTCCAGTCAATAGTAGGCTATTAGTAGTTCAGTTTTTGGGGAGTCAAAAGTTATATGCAGATTTCCCACTGTGCAGGAGGTCTGTGTCCCCAACATCTGTGTTGTTTAAAGATCAACTGTACTATTTCCCCCTCACTTCCTTGAGTTGTTCCTTTTCTTTTCTTTTTCACAACCAAATCCTGCTTTGGATCCAGGTGGTTGTAAACCCCTTTAGTTTTTTGTGTAAACTTGACATTGTAAGGAAACAGGATTCCAATAGGATGCTGATGTGAGAAAACAAAAAAAACAAAGAAACAGGAAAAAGCCTAACTTTGCACACATAAATCAATAATTCTGGTTATGAGGATAATTACTAAATGAAATCCCTGGGAAATACCCAAGAGAGCTTATTATAGAAAATGACACTGAAACTGTTATGTAACATCCAGACCTGCATGTACTCAACTCAGCATTTTGAAGCCTCGCTCCGATGGTCAGTGGTATTTGATGAATGACTCTTTGGCTACTCTCATTGAATGTTCTGGCTGGAGGAGAATTGAGTCTGTCTGTTTTGAAGTTTGTTGGTTTTTGGCAGCAGACTAATAATAACTCTCCAATAACAAATTACATTGATATTTTGGTTTTTGCCATTTTCTAAGCAAACCTTAATATATAAAATAATGTTTTGAGTTGGGTTGTCTTGGAAGTAGGCTCTGAGACAAAGATTAGTGTGCAGGATGTCTATCAAGGAGTGTCTGTGGGACGAAGACCTGTGGAAGGGACAGGGAGGAATCAGAATTGGGCAGAGGGAGAAGTCAAGCTGGGAAGCAGGCCCAGGATCATCCCAGGCCAGCCCCAAGGGGAGCTCTGCAGCTAGCACTTGTCCATCGACACTGTCTGAATGTACCAAGATGGCCAGGCCTTTATCCTGCCCACCTCTTTGGTCTGTCACTGGATGGAGGCCACCCTGGGATGGGTGTGACTTCTGGTGGTGGCTCTCTGCAGTTGAGGTGGATACTGAAGGGGCACTCCCAGCAGTAGGAGCACCAAAGCCCTTCCCTGAAGGAGGGTCTGGGCTGCATATTTCTATGTTCATTACAAAAGGTAAATTGGGGCTGGGCTGGGGGCCTACAGCCTTGCTTGTCCACTCTGGATATTATAGTCACTCCTTAGGCATATTCATGGAACCCCTAAATTTAGCAGACCCCCCAAATAGAGCTCACTCTTCTTTCATTGATTAGTAAACCAAAGCTCGGCCCAAAGCCTGCCAGCAAGTTGTGGCAGAATCTCTCAGCCAGCCTGTTCCCTTCATGGGATCTCAACTCAGGTGTCCCTGCTCCAGCAAGCCTAGTTGACTCTGCAAGCCACTCTGGGTGTTCCTGAATGTACTCTCCATGCCCAGATTCACCCTCCATCCATTGCACCATGCTACCTCCAAGGCCTGCTCACTTTGCTGACTTCCCACTAGGCTGTGAGCTTTCTGAGGGCAGAGATCACATATTATTCTCTGTGGGGCCCCCATGTACTGGTGAGAGGGTGGGTGCTCAGTGGTGGATGTTTGCTGAACTACAGTTGAGTTTGTTTAGTGCTTATTTTGTGCCAGGGATGGTTGTAGGGGATTTACATATATTTAGTCATTAAACCCTCCCCAGAAAGCTGAGAGGTGAGTCATATATGCAGGAATGAATGAATGAAGGTGATGGCAGCAGCAGCCCACATGGAGTGGTCACTGTGAAGATGCCAGCTGCAGAAGGGGAGGTGCAGTTGGGGCTGTGTGCTCCATGGAGCTAGTAGGGGTGGGAGCAGGCAGAAGCACCACCCCCTTACAAGTTGGAGGACTGGGAGCCCCGCCCTCTGAGAGCCTCACCCTCCCAGGCATAGCTGCAGCTGTAGACCTGGGCATCCTTGCACTCTTGGGGTCCTGGAAGCTCCCATGCCCCCACAGGCTCAGAAATGCCTGCTTCTGATGCCTGCTTTGATTTCAGAGCAAAGTTGAGGCTGAGGCTGAGCCTGGGTGCTATTGCAACCTGGCTGGGTGTGCACATGTTTGGGGCAGTGCTGACATGCCAGCTCCCTACTGCCTTGGCCCCCTCTGGACTTTGGGTGCTGTTGAGCATGGGAGGGAGGCTGAGGTGGGGACTGAGGGCAGCTAGGCACAGGCCTGCAGGTGCCCCTTGGCACGAACAGCCTGGGTGCTGTGGGCACTGTGGGTGGCAGATTGATGGCAACAGGAGGCAGACAGGCTCTTGGGTGGAAAGGGGCACGTGCCTTGTGAAGCCCACCCTTCAAGTGGGGTATGGCCTGAAGCATGGATGCTGGGCTGCCAGTTCTGCTAACCAAAGTGAGAACTTATGGTGCTTTTCCAGGCCCACCCATGGCCACCCATGGACCAATAAGCACACACTTCCTCCCCTCAGAAGCCCATAAAAACCCCAGACTCAGCCAGACTCGGGCAGATAATGAGATGACCTGCCTGTGGATAGGAGATACCCATTCCAGGTCTCCTTTCTGCTGAAGGCTGCAGAGACATCAGGACAAACTGCCTGCAGATAGGAGCTACCCACTGCGGATCTCCTCTCCACTGAGGGCTGTAGAGATGTCAGGATGACCTGCCTGCAGATAGGAGTTACCCACTCTGGGTCTCCCCTCTGCTGAGGGCTTCACACTTGACAGGACAACCTGTCTGCAAATAGGAGCTACCCACTCCAGGTCTCTTCTCCACTGAGAGCTGCACTTGTTGGGATAACCTGCCTGCAGAAAGGAGCTACCCACTTTTGGTCTCCTGAGAGCTGTACTATCATTCAATAAAGCACCTCTTCACCTTGCTCACCCTCCTGTTGTCTGTGTACCTCATTCTTCCTGGATGTGGGACAAGAGCTTGGGACGTGCCAAATGGCAGGACTGAAAGAGCTGTAACACAAACAGGGCTGCAACATGTCCTCCCTGCTTGCCATGTTGCAAGTGATGAGAAGGAGAGAAGAACTGCAGCTCCCTGGGGATCCCACCTAGGAGCTCCCTGAGCCTGGGCTGTGACACCCTCTTAGGGGCTCTGTAGTTCCTGGCATCTTCAAGCTACTGGGTGCCACCACTTTCCCCGTTGCCTGCAGTGGAAGCTGCTTGATGTATGCCTGGTCCAGCCATAGCCTTGCAGGGATCCAGCATGCATGCTGGTGCCTGGAGTTGCCTGCCCCGCTGCAGCCAGCATGCCTGGCTGTGCACAGTGGCCAGACCCTGTGTTCGCTTGCTCATGCACCCCTCACCACTCTATGCCTGGCTTGCTCTTGGAAGGCATGGGATCCAGGCTGGTAGTGTGAGCTGAGTGCAGCCTGCCAGGCTGAGTGGGTGGAATGAGCCCAGTGGGCCTGAGCAAAACTTGGGCAAGGGCACCACTGGCCATAGAGGTTTCTGGCTAGTGAAGCAACACCCCAAAGATCCCTTGACAAAAGAACCTAGTCAAAGTCCTTGACAGCTTGGCCCATGGTGTCTGAAGTCCACTGTTGGCCTCACATGGAGAAAAATGTTAGGGCTTTTCTCTTTTAGTCCTTTGACTCCTCTCCCCTGATCTCTAAGTTATGGTCCTCCAGGCTTTTTTGGGTCAGTCTCAGGAAACTCAGAATTGATTTAAGCTTCTTCTCGTTTCTGACCTTCACATCAGTGGTCCGTGCAATGATATGTGGATGAATTTTTCTATGACCTCTTATCTCTCTTTGGGCTTCTTTGCCTGCATCTAATGTGCTTGATACAGTTCGCTTAATTTTTATGATTTTATGAAACTGACATAATTTTATGTACCTGTATTTTCATTTGTATTTCATTGTATACAAAAGACCTAATTCTATTTTTTTCTCTCAGCATTATGTTTGTAATGATCTATCCAGGTTGGTGTATGTGCCTCTAGACTGTTGCTCCTAATTGCTGTATCCACCACACTTATCCATCTCCTAGCAAGGGAGCCCTAGCTTGCTTCTAAATCTCTTCTTCCCCCTTTCCCCCTTCAAACAGTCCCAAAATGGAGAGCCTCACACTCTCTTTATAGATCTGCATGACAATTTCTCTAGGATCTATAACCAGGAAGGAATTTCTGAAAATGGTGTATATGTATACTTCATTTGACTAAATAGACTTACACTTTCTACTCTTAAAGGGCCTTGTACTCTTCAAGCCACATGGCTCACTACACTGTGAAGTCTCTCAATTAAGATGCTAGAAAATAATTAAACAATATAATTTTGGAAGTACTTTGCCAGCTGAAAAAACTACAGGGATTAGATTCAGCCTACTGGCCTTCACTTTACAAAGTCTGAGTTGGAGGCCCACACCCAAACAAGCCCTAACCTTGGCCTTTGCTTGCAGAAGTCATGCATTCCCAACACTTTGTGTGTCTCTAAGGCAGGGTCAGGCTTCACACTAACAGGTCTTGAGCAAAGCTTCTGCTCTTCCTCAGACAGTACCTTGTCAGAGTCCCCCACACAGGTGGTTGGCAAGTGCTGTGTGTAGTGAGGAAGAACATCAGCAGCCTACCTGAGCTTGCTTCTCCTGCCTCCTCCAGTCTTCCAGGACCATCACTCAGTTAGAGCAGATGAGATCTCCCTGACAGAATGTTCTCCCTACCTGTGTTTTCCCAGACAGCTCCAGCTTCCTGCTGGTAGCCCCTCCCCGGAAGCTGAGGAACGAGTGGGAGAAGGCCTGGTGAGGAGGACTGTCTTAGTCAATTTGGGCTGCTGTAACACAATGCTGTAAACTGGGTGGCTTAGAAACAACAGAGAATGATTCCTCACAGTTCAGAAGACTGAAAATCTGAGATCAGAGTGCCAGCATGGTCGGGGTCTGGTGAGAGCCTTTTTCCGTTTGCAGGCTGTCCTTTTCTTGTACCTTCACATGGCAGAAAGATGGCAAGAAAGCTCTTTGGGGTCTCTTTTATATGGGCACTAATCCCATTCATGAGGACTCCACCCATGACCTAAGTATCTCCAAAGGCCCCATCTTCTAGTAGCATCACACTGGGGACTAGGATTTCGACCTATGGATTTGCGGGGGATGCAGACATTCAGTCCATAACAGGGACCCTTGGTGCCTGCTCTAGCAACTCCAGCAACAAAGAAGATTGCTGTTGCTCATATCCTGGTGAGTCTGGGAAAGCCGTCTGCAGTGGAGAATGTCCAAACCATTGTGTGGCCGTAGACAATAGTCACAGGTGGCCAGAAAGTCCTCAAGACTTGTTTTTAAAACAAAAAACTGTAATAGCTTTAAGTCTTCCTGTTGTGAACCAGAGCATCGGTGGCTCCAGCCTGCCTGGGTATTAATCCCCAAATTTCCATTAGGTCTTATGGGGATTAACTGTTGTCCCCTGCTGGTGTCTGGACTTCCTACGGCCAGAAGCCCACCTCCCTTTATGCAGCAGAGGGAAGCGGTCAGGATGTTCAGGTTCTGGAGTCAAACAGTCCTCGGTTGAAACCCGACCCTGCTACTTCCTGGCTGTGAGCAGGGAAAAGCTGCTTCATGTCTCCAAACCTCAGTTCCCTCAGCTGCAAGATGCTGATGATATGAGCTTATGAGGTGCTGTAAGATGAGATGAGCTAATAGTTGTAAAGCCCTCTGGCCAGTGCCTGGGACATGATGATAATTAAATAGATGGGAATTTCAAAAAGCAGCTCAGGGCATTCAGGGGTGCAAGAGAGTTAAGAAAAATATAGCAATCAATAAATATGTGCTTGGGCCTGCCATGTGCCAGGCACAGGTTCAGTTACCACAATGCCTTGGGTTGCATTCTGCTTGCATTGATGGAGGCTGCCCGAGGGACTTGGGGTTGTAATCAGGAGGTGGAGAGAAAAGGAGGGCTTAGACATGCTGTGCACTGGGGCTCCCTCTCCAGACTCCAGGGAGAGAAGTGATTTAAAAATGTTTATTTGCCAAACATTTACTGACTTGCAAATATTGGAATCCATTTTGGCTAGTTTTAGCTGAAAAGGGATTTATTAAACTATATCAGATTGCACAGAGTCATTGGAAGGGTAGGAGAAGCAGACTTGAGGTGAGGTTTCCAGGAGGAAGTCTCAGGACCAAGCCATAGAATTGGCTTGATGGGGACATTGTTCGTGCTGCAGTAGCTGCCCTTGAGCTGGGTGCCAGGAGCTGACGTTGCTGTAACCATGGTCTCTTCTGTCATTGGAAGTTTACCTTGTAACTACAGCCACCCTGAAGGCTGGACCACAAAACAGATGTCCTGTGTCTGTTCCCTCATGAGAATCAGGGACTCTCAGGGCAGTGTCTGATTGGCAGAGCCCAGGTCACATGCCTGCATCCTAACTGCAAGGGAGCCAGAGAAGTAGGTTAAGACATACTTAGGGAGGGAGAACCCATCAAGAGGGAATGTCTCCAAATGAAAAGCCCCTTAAGGGATCATGGGCAGCCGCAAATATGGAAAATGTCCCTAGGCACCTACTCAAAGCACCATGTGGAGGATGGGGGACATATCGGGGGGTGGTGGGGTAAGACCCAGTTCTTTCAAAAGTACATATTTGGCCAGGTGCGGTGGCTCATGTATGTAATACCAGCACTTTGGGAGGCTGAGGTGGGTGGACCATTTGAGGCCAGAAGTCCGAGTCAGCCTGGACAACACGGCAACCCTGTCTCTACTAAAGATACACACACACACACAAATTAGCCATGTGTGGTGGTGGGCGCCTGTAATCCCAGGTACTTGGGAAGCTGAGGCATGAGAATCACTTGAACCTGGGAGGCAGAGATTGCAGTGAGCCAAGATTATGCCATTACACTCTAGCCTGGGTGACAGAATGAGACTGTCTCAGAAAAAAAAACAACATATATACATACATATAATATATATTTAATTTGTATAAATTTATGAGATGCAAGTACAGTTTTGATACATGGATATATTGCATAGTGGTGAAGTCTGAGCTTTTTGTGTAACCATCACCCAAATCATGTACATTGCACTCCTTAAGTAATTTCTCAGCCCTCACCCCCACATTCTCCCACCCTCCCTAGTCTCCAATGTCTATTATTCTGCACTCTTGGAATTAGAATTGGATCCGGCTCTTGGAGGTGCTCCTATCTAGTGGGGTAGACAAATATCCACATAAGACCCGTCAGGTGAGTAAATGGACTTGAAGGGGCATGGACCATCCACCATCCACTGCATGTGTATATCTAGTTCCAGTGGCCCAGCTCTAAGAGAGAGAGAGAGAGAGAGAGAGAGAGAGAGAGGTTATGGATTTCTCGACTTCTCTGAGCCTCAGTTTCTTCATACATGAAATGGAGATAGCAATACCTATTGCATAGGGGCTGATGTTCACATTAAAGATAATACATGTAAACCATCTGGTCTAATAGATGTCCAGTGGAAGGCAGTACTCTTATAGGCACTGGAGCAAGCATGATCACTTTGGGTGGGGGTTCTTTGGGTGGGGGTCTGGATGCCATGCTTTCGGGAGGTGGAGCAGGGGTTGGGATCTACCTGGGGGATTCTGGGAGAGTCACTCTTTGCTGACAATGGCATCTTTGGGACTAACAGAACAAACCCTCATGTGTCAAGCTCCAACTTCAATTGTCACTACATGAAATATCCCGAGACAGTCCGTCTCCCCACAAGGAAACGTTCCTCTCTCCAATGTGTCTCCCATTGGGTGCGTTTCCCAGAGTCCTTATTCAAACAGAGAACAGTGAAGAGCAGGGCTTTGGGTTTGGGGTCACTGGCCCGAAGGTGGGTTCTGTCCTGCGGCTGGGGATAGATATCCTGCCAAGGGCTCCAGCTCCCTGGGTGGAAGCAGGAGGCATGCGAGTGACATCCATCCAGAGTGGGCAGTTTCTTACATGGTCAGGTCCTGGGGAGGGCCTTCTGGGACATGAAGACACACAGGGGCAGAGGCTGCATGTGACACCTCCTCCCTGGTCTCCTCACTGTTCCTGTAAGGTGCCAGACAGAAGGCTTGGTGCCTTCTCAGCCTGTATGACGCTGGTGGGTGTTTGGAGGACTCCATAGGGGCAGGACAGGACAGCCTGGCCACATTCCCAGAGGCCTTTAATGGGTGCATCTGGATCCCAAACTTCTTGCTTCTTCTCTGGGGAAACTGAGTCAACCTTGTCACCCTTACCCTGAGCTTCCACTTGCCCACATGGGCTGCTTCCCAGAATTTTATCCAGAGGGCGCCCCAGGGTCTATTCCTGAAGAAACAATGGCCCAGAGTGGGCAGTTTGGTGACACAGGAAGAATGGAAAGGCTTTGAGATCAGTCAGACCTGCTTTTGACCTCTGGCTTCTTCTCCCTTTATAGTAATTTGGGGAAGTGATTTGCTGACCTCATGTCTAAGATGGGCATTTTAAAATTGATCTCACGGGGTTACCGAAGATAAAACGTGAAAAGATATATACCTGGCAGAATTTCTGCCTCAGGGTAGGCTTGACAACGATTTGTATCCTGGCCTTTCTGTTGGTGTCTGTTTATCTGTCCCTCTCTCAGAGAAACAGTAGCTGCAAAAGAATCTATTTGAGTCAATCCACAGGCAGAAAGCATTGAGTTAGAATGAGAAATATTTTAAACATTCTGAAAAATGACAGGAATGATAGATACATTTGGTGAATGATACAAATGATCCATGGCATGACACTCTAGGGGGAAAGACTGCTCAAGAAAGGGATGGAAAGTTTTAAAAAATGCAATTTGGGTCATTCAAACCCAAATAATTGAGTATGTATTAAAAAGAGAATAGCGTCTAAAGACATCAGGCTTAAAGGGACAGGCTCAAAATGGAAAGAAAAGATACCAGTGTGGCTAGGAGTTTTCCTGTTACAAGTGGCAACCCCTCGAAATCTGGATTAAACCAAAATGTAATTTATTGAAGCCTAGGGGTAGGTCTTATTTCAGGTGTGGCTTGATTTAGGAGCTCAAATGACGTCATGGGACATAGCATAGGAGCCTATGCTGGCTCCATTGTTATGAACTTGCATAGGAACTCCTTTTATGATAGCCACGTACATGGCAGCCACTATTCCAGACTTAACATGTTTCCAAGTTCAAGTCCAGTAGGAAATCGAGCCCAGTGGTCCCAGCAAATGTTTCATTGGCTGGGTTGGGTCATATGGTCATTCCTGAACTAATCACTGTGGGCAAGGAATACAATACTTTATTGATCAGGTTGGTATCACATGTTCACCAGTGGCAGTGATGACAGGGTGTAGTTAACACCAGACCTCTTCACACATTGAGAGTAGTGGGGAGGGTGCCTTCCCAGAAGGAAACGATCACCATTGCCAAAAAAAGACAAAATGATGACCTGGTGGTCAAAACACCAAATGACCACTCAGTTGGGTGTGGATAGGCAGTGTCAGAAAATCAGAAGGCCAAGTGAGCTAAGGCTTCCTAAAATTTCAAGGATAGCAGAAAGGGATGTTTATGAATTTTACAGCAAAAAGAAAATTGAGAATAAAAGATCCCCTTCTTGGGTTAAAATTTTTTTTTTAACCTGTAAATAATCGCTTTAACAAATTTATTCATGTAAATAATAAGCTTGTATTATTTGTTTCTAATTTTATTACAATTGGTTTTTTGGAACTGCCTGATTTTGAATAAGGTTTTATTTGTGGCTTGGTATGTGATCAATTTTGCAAGTGTTGCCCAAACACTTGACAGAAAGATACGGTCTCTATAGAATATAAGTTCAATATCTACTAATTCAGCTATTAGTGATATAGCTTGTATCTCTTATTGCTTTAAGTTTGCCTTCTTGATCTTAAATGGATTGAGGTGAGTATGCTAGTTTCCCACTATAATTGAGTTTCTGTCAATTGCTCCTCACACATCTAAGAATTTATGCTTAATGTATTTTGATGCTATGTTCTCTGGCCCATTAATGTTCATGAACTGGACCCTGACTTCATTATTGATCATTACTTTTATCAATACCAAATGACTCTTCTTTGCCCTATTTAATTCATTTTGCCTCACATTTTATACTTTCTGTTGCTTTTCTCTTTCTTTTTGTTTCTTTTCCTGATATATTTATGCTTTAGGCCCAGCAGAACTTGGAGAAGACGGCATACTGCCTTTCAGTGGTGGACAGAACATAATTCTTCATCTCCTATTTTGCTTCTGTCACTTCTCTTTGGACTGACAAGGAATATACAAATATGCTATGGAAGCATTTAGGTGTATGAAAAAAGTTATCTGCACTCACCTGGCTGCTCTAAATGAGTTCTGTGCTCCACACTGAGCAGAGAACTCGTGATCCACAGATCAAGTTGGAGGGAAGATCACTGAGCCACTCTCTCTGTCCTTGAGGAGGAAAAGTAGGAAGTGTTGCTGAAGATAAATGTACACCATTTCAGTTCTCAAAAGGGGGAAGAATGTGGATTCTGATCTACAGTATACAGATCAGCATACTTTTCACCATGCAAGATTTGGCCTAATCTCCTCTCATTAGGCCCCACCTCCCAATACTGTGGCATTGGGGATTAAGTTTCCAAAGCATATGTTTTGGGAGACAAATTCAAACCATAGCAGTACCCATCCTTCAACTTCATCAACTTTCCACTCAGGGATCCATCTTTGTTTCACTCCCAACCACATTCTTTCCTTTCACCCTCCCCATTATTTTGAAGCTAATCACAGACATTATATAAATATTTCACTGTGCATCAAAAATCATAACTATGGTACCATGATCACACCTGTATTAGTTGTTTATTATAGCATAACACAAAACTTAATGGATACATTAACTTAATGGCTTAATGGCTTAAGTTAATGGTTAGATCTAGAAATTTGATCAGATTCAGGTTCAGTGTCTTTCTTTCTTTTATATTTGGCAGAGTCCTGCACTATTTAGGAGCCCAACAGGGAAAACAGAAACTACACTGGGCATCAGCAGAGGTAACAACTCCAGGATGCATCACCACCTCTAGGAATGGAGGACAAGGGGAAGAAGTGGGAAGACAGAATCTAGAACTGCAGAGCTGGCTCTCAGACATCCCAGGGGACATCACTCAGCAGTTGCTGGGTCCCCTGAGGGGGTGTGATGAAGTGTCAATGCTGGAGCAATGGCAACAGAATCCAGCAAGCCAGCAGGAAGTAGCAAATCTCTTCTCCTGCCTTTGAGTCTCTCCTTGGTGTCCTTATTGGCAGAGCCAAACATGGAAGCAGCCAGGAAAAGATTAAGGTGTTTTGCAGAGTGCCAGCCTTAGCATCTCAAAGCAGAGCATAGAAAGGGCAAGGAGAGGAGGGGGCTTGGAGCTGAGAGATAGTCACCGAATAACTGGCATCCCTCTTCATAGTAGTGTTGCGTATTCACTGGGAGTACGTGATGCTTGGATGATTCTCTTCTTATGTGTTGTTATCAGCCACTGATGATGATTACCTTTATCCATTAATTCACATGGGACTACAAAATCAGCAAATATGTCATGATATCCATGTGGACAAGATGGAGAGAGACACGGAATGGATGGAAAAATATTTGGGTGGAGTAGTATTTAGATAAACACACCCAGTGTTGATGAATGGCTCTTGTCCCTCCAGAGGGAGGTTTCTGGTGGTTGGTGTTTTGTCCCTGACCCTGTACTGGTTAGCATTTTTATCATCGACTTGGATGAAGGTAAAGAGTATGGAGGAATTATTCAAAGATATTTGCTGAGTTCAGTGTTGTTCACTTTTTTTTCACATCTTGGGACTGATGGAAATTGTTAATATCTTTACAGTCCACTGGGGAAATTCCACGAGACTGCACACAGCCTAAGGTGGCTGGCTTGGAGTCTGACTATTCCAGTCCTCATCCAGCGGTTCCAAGGGCTGAGGGGATCAATACCTCAAAGCTGGAGGGAAGTTATACTTGGCATACACCCAAAACTTATTCACAGATCACTAGCTGGAAAACTTCATTCTAAAGATGTGGTTATGGCTGGAATTCTGCCTCACATTACAGCCACTTCTCCCCATGAGGTTCCCAAGAAGAGCAAGTGGAAAGTCAAGCCACTGCTTTATTATTTGCTGTGTTGGTGTCTGACCTTTCAGTGAAGGGCTCTCTGATAACCTAGGCTGGGCCCTATGGATTTAGCTTGAGATTTAAGGGATTGGGAGCAGGCTTTTGCTTCTTCTAAGCCCATATCCAAGCAGTTTCCTGAAACCAGAAACAAAATGTGTCCAAGCTCTAAGACATAGCTAGAGACTAAGCTCTTCCATGCAGCTTACAGCCTCTTGTTTATGCAGCACAGATGCCATGAGAGGAGACCCCTAAAGGCTCTTGTCTGAGTGGGATTAGCAGGAAGAGAAGACCCCAGGCTGACTTACGCATCAGATGACATGCATTGAAAAAGAAGAGATAAGAGCGAGTCTCATGTGAGGATGATTTTAAAATGCATCGTGACTCTGCTCACAGTACATGTGGCCCACTGTCCTCTTGGGACCTGCAACCTGATTATCAGCTCGTCTTCTCTGGGTGTGTGTGAAGGGGTTAAGGTTAGTTATTTATTGTATTACATATTACCCCAAACTTAGTGGCTTAAAATAACAAGAATTTCTTCTATTTGCTTCTGAGGGTGTCTGTGAGTTGGGAAGCTGGGAGTGACTTGGCTGGGTAGTTCTGGCTCAGGGTCCCTCATGAGGCTGTGATCAAGATGTTGGCCAGGGCTGCAGTCATCCGAGGCTTGATGGGGCTGGAGGAGCCACTTCTGAGGTCACTCAAAGGACTGTTGGTAAAAGCCTTTGGTTCTTTGCCATGTGGGCCTCCTGATGGGGCTGCCTGTGGCATAACTTCCCTCCCCGACTGCAGTGGGGAAATGGGTGAGGGTTGTTGTGGGCTGAGGCTGGGAAGTTGTGCAGAGACTTCATACCACATTTAGGCAATTAGGTAAGACAAATTTTCTGCTTCCCCTCCGACCCTCATCTTCCCCTATCTAGAAGCTCCTCCTGAGGCCAGAGAAATTGAGAGAAGACGCGGCCTCACAACCTTGCCAGTGGGGAACACTGGCTTTGGAAGGGCATCCTGGTTAGGGAGTGGGTGGGAAATGAAGCTTAAGCCTGGACGAGCATGGGCCAGGGAGAGAGGAAAAGACAGCCTTTCTTAGGCTCTCCATCCCCAGACATGGCCTCATCTCCAGTCCAAATTATCCTGTGGGCTCTGTCTCACCGAAAGCTGCTCCCTGAGACATGGAGCATCAAGTTACCCCAGCCAATGTTTTGTCATCAGCCCTTGAGGGGTGTCCCTAGTCTTTGTGGCCCCCAAAAGCTGTTCTAAGCTTGAGATTAACCTGAGATGTCCCCCAGTGGCTAAGTCACAAGAAGAGGGCAGCCAGCTGGGGGTTAGGGTGTGAAAGCCACAGTATAAAGAGAGGTTTTGTGCTGCCACTGGCAGGGGTCAGTCCACAGGGTGGCTGGCATTGGGGTTACCTGTGCTTGGCCTTCAGTGGACGGGGAAGACTCTCCCCCACCCTGGAGGTACTGAAACTTGCCCTTCCTCTTGTCAGTGCAAAGACCCTTGCCATTCACAGCAGTTCCCCTGGTGTCCATGCTGCTTCTGACTGCTCACTCGTTGCCTCTCACCACCCTCATGCTTGTCATGGGCCTGTGGTCATGTCTGTCTTAATACTTTATAGGTCTTTGCTATAGATCCAGGTAATAGTTCCCAGACCCCTCCCTGACCCCCTGTTGTGTGCTGATGTTGGAGAGTTCTGCCATCATGCTCTGGATCATTTCACTTGCTAAGATTGCTGTCTGGGCTCCCTTCTTGAATCTGCCCAAGGGAAAAGGAAGAAGCAGGTGAGTAACTGGGAGGATTCAGTTACTCAAATGACATGAAATGTTGGGAAAGCATTACCTATTCATGCATCCATGCATTCGTTGTCAGTCATCCACCCAACCATTCATCATCCATGAATTCATGTATCTATGAATTCATCAATTCATCCATCATCCTTGCATCTGTGCATCCACCCATCCATTTATCCATCCATCCATCATCCGAATACCCATTCGCCCAACCTTCTATCCATCCATCTGTTCATCCATCATCAGGATACCCATTCATCCATCCATCCATCCATCCATCCACCCATCCATCCATCCATCCATCATCCAAGTATCCATTTATCTAATCACCATTCACATCTATGAATCCATCCTTTTCCTATCCATCCATCCATCTGGCCAACCATGCATTTACACATCATCTGTCATCTATCATCTCTATCTGTGGTGGACACTGTGATGTGCTGTTCAGATCCCCTTACAATGGAGGACTTGTTGCTCCAACTGCTAGGAGTGCTGGTGTCAAAGAGCTTTTAGTGGTCAGTTACTTCAGGGATTATCTCAGCTGAAGAGAACTGTCTTGCCCAAGATTGCGCCCTTTCCCAAGGCAGCCTACATCCAATGACATCATTGTGAGAGTATAAGGGCCTGATCATGTTGGTGCATCAGGACAACTCTGCAGGGCTGTTCTTGCTCCAGAGCTCCCACGGTGTGGGGCCTGCATTCCAGCTTGAATTTCCCTCTGCCTGCTCCTGCTTCCTTTTCTCTCCTTTGTACAGGTGTTGACTCCAAGCATGCTCCTTATTAAACATCCTGCACACTAAACTATGGCTCAGGATCTGCTTCCTGGGGAATTCAACCTGTGTCTCTGACATCATCCTTTCATCTATAAATGCATTTCTCCATCCACATGTCCTTTCATCCAATAAGTAAACATTTACCTTAAACTTGCTGCATGTGTAAGAGTTGGGTATTACAGGGGACAGAGACATGAACTAAAAATGAGTCCTGCCCTCAAGGAGCTCACAGACTGATAGGGATGGTTAGACCTGCCTACAAACAGCTCTAACAAGTAAATCAGAACAGAGAGTGGTCCTCTCAGCTGAGGGAATTGGGGAAGGCTTCATGGGGGAGGTAATACCTGAGATGGGCCGTGAAGGAAGGGGGATAAGAAATAGAATCTGGTTTTGTGGAACTGGAATGAAAGTGGCTTTTATGCAGTATGAACAGCCATTTAAAGCATATAGAATGGAAATGAGACCCATCCACCTGAAGGGAAGAGGCAGGTGCCATGGCTGGGCATAGCTGGACCTTGGATAACCTCATGACAACCACTTTCTATGTCTCTACCATGTCCCTTCCTACAGAGCCCTTCCTTTACTCCCAGCTCTTCCTCCCACCTGCCTCCCCTCTGGCCCCACAGGAAGCGTGGCTTGGTCATCAGCCAAAGCCCTGTGGTCTGGCCATAGTGGGGAGGGGCCAAAGGCCACAGCAGAGAGGAGGGCAAGATGCTTTCCTGGCCGCAGAGAAGAGGAGGCAATGGCATGACTGGCAAGCTCTTTAATCCAGGGCTGCTCACTCCCCAGAAGACTGCTTCCTCCAGCTCCCTTCTGGATTAATAAGAAACCAGATGGGCCCAGCTGGTTGGTGAGAGTCATGCGCTAATGAGGCCAAGATTGCAGCATGACCTCTGGAAGGGCCTGGAAGCTTAACGTGCAGAGAGTCTGTTCACAGATCTCTGACCCAGGCAAAGATGGTAACCCTGACCTTGGCTGGGTACGTGACCCCTGGCCTCTACCATTGACTAAGCCCTAACCCTGATCACAGACTAAGCCCAGTGTCTGGCTGCAGAATGATCCCCAAACACCAATCAATCAATTAATCAACCATCTGACAGCTCTGTATGGAAGAGCTTCTGTAGAGGCTGAATGTTATTCCAGGATGCTGGGGGATGAAGGCATTGCCTCTGGGGCTCACCTGGGTCTAGGGTAGCCACGCTCAGGGATGCTGGCTTCTGCTCACTGTCGGGATGGGTTTTCTATTTGCTCCCCCACAATAATAAGGGCTGCTCTTTTAAGCAGTCAGCTCCCCATCAGAGGAAGTGTCTAGTTGGTAGCTGGTGGACAATCATCCATCAGTGACTTTTAAAGAGGATGCTGGCACTGAGTGGGGCCTTCACTGGACACAATGCTTGCTGACTGAGTGACCTGGGCCAATGAGTTTCTTCTTGAAGCCTCAGTTTTCATGTCACTACAATGGAGATAAAGAAGTATGTATTGGCTGGGTGAGGTGGCCCACGCCTGTTATCCCAGGACTTTGGGAGGCTAAGGTGGGAGGACCTCTTGAGCCTGGGAGTTTGAGACCAGTCTGGGAAATATAGTAAGATCTCATCTCTGTGAAACAAACAAACAAACAAACAAAAAAAACATTAAAAAATAAGGCAAGTATGGTGGCGAGTGCTTGTAGGAGGATGACTTGAGCCCAGGAGGTGGAGGCTGCAGCAGAGAGCTGAGACTGTGCCACTGCGCACTCCAGCCTGGGTGATAGAATAAAATAAAATAAAAGAAAGAAAGAAAAAAGAAAAAAGAAGTGTGTACTGTGCACTTCCTAGCCCTGTGGTGACTGCTTGATGAGACTGTGTGTGTGCTGCTCTAAGCACTGTGCTAACTCAGTGCTCAACACTTCGTAGGCATTTTTGTTATTGCTCTAAGACTATCCCCAGCAGGAGGGCTGTTGAGGTTTTCGTTTCAGGCATTTGAGAAAGGGTGCAATGAATCTTGCCCTTCTTAGCAAATAGCCATGGTCAGGGGCTGGGCCCATGGGCCAAGGAAGGGACAAGGCTGTATACTCAGCAGGGCTTGTTTCCCCACCCAACCTCACCCCCTCTCCTAAGCCCTGTAGCCCCTTGACCTTTTATCCTGGGAAGTGAGAGGAGCCAGGGAATGGGGAATACCAGGGAGAGGAGCCATCCATAGGGAATACCAGGAAACACCCCATTCCTCCCTGCCCCTCCCCAGCTCAGGCAGGTTTAGGGCCATTCTGCAGCCTCAGCGAGAATCTCCATGCCTCGAATGGTTACCATGGCAACCCTGCGGCGGGAGAAGCAGGGGGAGCCTGACTCGGGGATGGGAACCTGAATTTCCAAGGCAGCACGGCCCTCAGGTTGGCTGCAGAGTTCTGATCCTGCTAGGGGTGGGGTGGGGCAGGAACAGGGTGCTCAGGGATGAACTAGCCTGCCCGAGAACCAGGACCTTTGCCCTCAGAGCTGCTAGGGACAAATGGCGTCTTGGCTCAGAGTCTTCCCGTTGCCTGGTTTGTGCCCTTCACAGAGGTCCCTCATCAGGAGCCTGGCTGTGTCCTGTCCTTCACCTGGGTCCCTGCTTTCCTCTCAACCCCACGCTGATTTCCTTATGTCTCCCACCAACTCTGACTCAGGATGTCCCTGATGCCCTCCTGAACTGCCCTGGTCGTGGCCAAGACGCTGCCAGGGAAAGAACTTGAGAGGGCAGAATGAGTTTATTAAAATTCAAATTTGGGTCGGGCGCGGTGGCTCATGCCTGTAATCCCAGCACTTTGGGAGGCCGAGTCGGGCCGAGGCCTGAGGTTGGGAGTTCGAGACCAGTCTGACCAACATGGGAAAACCCGTCTCTACTAAAAATACAAAAAATTAGCCTTGTGCGGTGACACATGCCTGTAATCTCTGCTACTCGGGAGGCTGAGGTAGGAGAATTACTTGAACTCGGGAGGTAGAGGTTCCGGTGAGCCAAGATTGTGCCATTGCACTCTAGCCTGGGCAACAAGAGAGAAACTCCGTCCCAAAAAAAAAAAAAAAAAAAAAAAAATTCAAATTTGATCAAGTCACTCTGTTATTTAAGAACCTTCAATGGCTCCCTAGTGCCTTCAAGGGAATGGTCAAAGCCTTTATCGTGGCTTACAGGCTCTTTCCTACACTTTCCCACCTCGCCCTGCTGAGCTCCATGCACACTGGGAACCTTCAGAGCTTTTGAAGGGTTGCACTCTCCTCCCTGGGCCTTGGCCTCAGTTATTTCTCTCTTCCTGGACACCTCTGTTTACTTACCTGGCTGTCTTTTACCCATTCTTCCTTTGTTAGCCTAGGCTGTGTATCCCCTGGGAAGCTCATGTCAGGATTATGAGCCCCTTTATATTCCCAGATCACTATTCTCTGACCAGAGCACAGATCCTCTTAGGTTAGAATTTCCCACTTACTTAACGTCTTCTTCCTTCAGGGAGTGATACCCCCAGCTGTGGCCTTGCTTGATAACATTTGAGGAAAGAATGAATGAATGAATGAAGAAGCCCCCCAACAATCTGTTGCAGGCTTTTCTCCTGGGGGAGGTGGTGACATGGGCAGAGTCTGGCACTCCCTGGGGACAGAAGGGGAGGCAGAGAAATTACTTCTCTCACAACGTTAGTGCATCAGATTTCAGAAAGCAAAACAAAATGAAACAAAACAAAATGCCTAGGCAGCTGGGTTCCCTACACCAGTGAAGAACTAGACACCATTTAAACATCTGGCCTTTGGGAACTGGTTCAGCAAATTGGGTCTGCCTATTCCATGAGGAATTGTGCAATGATTAAAAGGGACCCTTGAAAAAGAAAAAAAGAAGCCTGGAAAATCACAGCAAAGACTATACAGAAAAATAGCAAAATGGTTGGGATAATTGGTTATAAGTAATTTATTATGATCCTGGGACACACATAATTTTGCATTCTGCTTTTTCCATATAATTTATTATATAGAAGTATATGTACAGTATTTATATGTAATTTATTATACATAAAAATATAGAATGCAAAATTATGTGTGCTTCAGGATTACGTGTATGGGACGATGTTTGCCTATACGGTTGAGACTTGGGAGGGAGAGGATAGACTGAATCTTCATTCCCCTGGGGTTAGGGGCTAACAGAGACAAGAGTCATATCTGTGACAAGGGATAAGGGTGAGAGGAGAAAGGAAGACAGCTTCCCAGCTCTTGGAGGAAGGGGATTCGCTCTGAGGGGCCTCCAGAGAGGGGATGCCTTGATTTCCCATTGCTCCTGCCTCTCTCCTTTGACCACCTTAGAGTCTTGCTGGGAGGGGCTCCCCATCCCTCCTGTTGGCCACTCTGGAGAAGCCACTGAGGACAGGCTTGGGATTCCTGGAGAGGGACATAGGGCTATGTGGACCAGGGACTGCTTCCTTTGGTCCAAGCTCCAGGCTGCCCCCTCTCCTTGCTGCCACATGGCTCCCCTGGTCCCTGAGGAAGCAGAGCTGTGCCTGCCATCTCTGGTGGAGGAGTGTGGAGTCTGTGCTTCTTCCTGTCTGTGGTCCTGATGTGCCTCCCTGGAGCCGGCTCTGCTCTGCCCCTTTCCTTGCTGTCCCACGCCTGTTTGCACACTGATCACCCCCTTTGTCTCCCCTAAGATGCCCCACCTCCAGAGGCCATTCTGAGGATCCTTTGTGCTTTTATTCTCCTTTCATTCCTGTCCCAGCACTGGCTAACGGGACCTCAGGGGAGGCTCCGTGTCTTAACACCACCACTGGACATCCTTCCTTCTCTAGAAAGCCTGGAAAGGGGGTCGATTCCACCCTTATCCTGAGGAAGGGCCTTACTTCCGGGCCCCACTTATGGTATTTCCCATTTCCCTCTGGAGTCCTGCGCTTCCTAAGCAGGAGTTTGCTCCCCGAGGGCGGGGACGTAATCACCGGTCCCAGTGAGCTGTTCTTGGGCCAGAATGTGAGGCACTTGTGTTTTAAGAGAGAGGCCAAAAAAAAAAAAAAAAAAAAAAGGGCTTCATTGTGGAGAAATGATTGTTCAGGGAAAACTGCAGTCTCTGTAGCAGATTGGTGGGGGAGGTATTTGGAGACACAGGGCCAGCTCCACACTCCTGAAGTCATCCTACACAGGGGACTGGGGAGTTCTTTGTATTATTCTGTACTTTCCCAATCATCTAAGATAAACATGTTTTCTTTTAGAATCAGGTAAAAAGCTAATAAAGATTCGTTTCCCCCTTCTTGGCCAGCTTCTATTTCTCCCCTCTACAATCACCCCTAGGGCAGGTAAGGAACTGGTGTAGATGGCAAACCCGAGAGCAGAGCCTTTACCCCACTCTTCCTTCCACGAGCCAGGCAATAGACAATGTGGGCTTTGGAGTCAGACAGTTCTGAGTTTGAGTCCAGGCTTCACTGTCGGCCTGCTGTGTGACCATATGGGAGTTACTTAACCTTTCTGAGCCCCAGTTTCCTCATCTATTCCATGTAGTTAATATCTATGTTCAGGGTTCTTGTGAAGGTGAAATGCGTTAACTTGTTTTTTGTGCTTAGCACAGTGTCTGGCACATGATAAGCACACCATAACTGGTGTCTTCTATTTACAAAAGAGAAAGAAAGTGTTGTTTTGTAAAAACAACCTTCTAAAGCTCTATACAAAAAACTGCCTCCATTCAGGTATGTGTCCTGAGCCTCAAGGTTTGACTCAAAGAATGAATTCCTGGCTGTTGTCATAGGTCAGTCATCCTGCTCCAGTGTCTGCAGAGGGATGTGATGGCAGGTGCTGTTGGCGTGTGAGTGATGCCTGGGCTACTGCAGAGTGTCTCCGTGGCAACTCCGCTGATGCCCACCCCTGCACCCAGCCAACAGGACTCACCCCTCCATGGGCAAGAAGCGTTGGTGGGAGGGGATGAGGCAGAGAGGGATCCTCCACCTATGATTCAAATTCCAGAGGATGAAGAGAAACAGAAAGAGAAAACCATTTGAAAAAACAATGGCCAGAAACTTCCTGATGAGAACTATATACCCACACATTTAAGCAGTATAATGAGTTCTAAACGGAGTGCACACATACACACTTACACACACAAAACCACACAACCACACCAGGACATATGATAATCAAATTTCTAATAACCAGTGACAAAGAGAAAATCTTCAAAGCAACTGGGGAGTAAAAACAGGAAAACAGATAAAGCCATCACACACTTAACAGAAATTATGCCAAGTCAGAAGATAATGGAAACTCTGTAACTAAGAATTCTCTATCCATTGAAAATATCCTTCAAAAATTAAGGCCAAATAAAAGCTTTTTCAGACATACAAAAGCTGGCAAAGTTTGTCTTTAGAAGACTTCTACAACCACAAATATTAAAAGACATTCTTCAGTCAAGACAAGAATGGTACTAGATGGAAAACTGGTCTATGTAAAGGAATAAAGAGTGTCAGAAGTGGGAAAAATATGGGTAAATTTAAGGAATTTTATTTTCTCATTTTAAAATTTCTTTAAAAGATGATTTGTATTGATAGACTTATTATAGAGATAGATGTAAGACGTATGATAACAATAGTATGAAGGACAGGAGGGAGAAATGTAAGTATATTGTTTTAGGCTTTCTTCAACAAGTTAAATATTCATATTCATATTCATATTATTATTATTTTGAGATGGAGTCTCACTCTGTCACCCAGGCTGGAGCGCAGTGGCATGATTTTGGTTCACTGCAACCTCCACCTCCCGGGTTCAAGCAATTCTCTGCCTCAGCCTCCCAAGTAGCTGGGATTACAGGTGCCCACCACCATGCCTGTCTAATTTTTGTATTTTTAGTAGAGACAGGGTTTCACTATCTTGGTCAGGTTGGTCTTGAACTCCTGGCGTCATGATCCACCCGCCTCAGCCTCCCAAAGTGCTGGGATTACAGGCATGAGCCACAGTGCCCAGCCAAGATTCATATTTTAAACCTTATAACAACCACTAAAATAAAACAAAGATATATAGCTAATAAGCCAGAGGAGATAAAATTGACTACCAAAAATATTCAATTAACCCTAAAAAAGACAGGAAAAGGGGAAAAAGGAACAAAGAATAAATGATACAACTAGAAAACAAATATCAAGATGGCAAATTTAAACAAAATGTACCAATGATTACAATGACATATAAATGGCCTAAACATTTCAGTTAAAAGGCAGAGATTGCAAGACTGAATAAAAAAGCAAGACCAAATTATATGCTGTCTATAAAAATTCCATTTTAAATATGGTTAAAAATAAAATAATGGGAAAACTCATATCATGAAAATACTAATTGTAAGTATGCTGGAATGGCTACATTAATATCAGACAAAGTAGATGTCAGAACAAAGAATATCATCAGGGACAAAAATGGGCCATTTTATAACGATAAAGATTTGATGTTCAACTCTGCTACTTTCCAGATAGATGAGGTGGAGACAATTAATTACCCTCTCTGAGCTTCAATTTTTCTCTTCTATAAAATAAGCCTAAACACTTCTACCTTGCAGAGTCAACCTTGCACATTATCAGGTGTAAAGGACCTAGTACAGTGCCTGGCTTTGGGCGGTTGTCATGGTTCTCATTTTTATCAGTGACCCCTGGATGCTGTGACTCTCTTTCCCAGGGAACAGACCCCCCCCTTTTTTTTAATCAGGCGCTCCCCCTGGGGCTGCTTGACAATTATTCATGCCAGCAATTACCCTCTGAGCGCCATCACAAAGGGCTGTTGACTTTACTACTGACTCTATGAGAAGATTCTTCCACAGCTATTGGGAGCCCAGGCTTGCAGTGTGGACGAGGGTTGTGAATACTTGATTACAGGAAGAATTTTGGGAAAAGTCATTTGCACCCCTGAAGTCCTTTAAAGGATGATGTGGAGTCTCCTCAGTTTTCAAGAGCAAAGGTTATTTATGGACCTGTATTTGGGGTTTAAATAAGATTTTTTCTTCTGTGATAGCCCAGACATACTTAAAAAACAAAACTCTATCAAATTTTAAAGACAATGTCAAAAGGCTTCATCACTGAGAAATTATTTGCCAACAGTTAAAAAGATGTGGGAAGAAAGGCATTTCTAGCACAATGGCAAAAGCTCTCTGGGCTTCAGAGTTGTGCAGACCTGGGTTTCAATCCTAGTTTACCTACTGCATTCATTTATTGTGCAGGTCTTTACTGAGCATCTATATGCCAGATCCTCTAGGGACTGGAGATATAGTGGGAAACAGTAGATAGGTCCCTGCCTTCATGGAGCTTATATTCTAGTGGGGGAGAAAACTAATAAGTAAACAAACCAAATAAATAATTTCATATAGTGACAAGTGTCATGAAGAAAATAAAGCAAAGTAACATGATAGAAGGTGTGTGGTTAGTTGGGAGGGTGAGACCTCGTGGAGCTGTGAGTTCCGAGTGGTGAGACCTGAATGAAGGACTCCAGCCAGGTGACAATGAGAGGGAAGAGCATTCCAGGCAGGGGAAACAGCAAGTGCAAAGGCCTTGGGGTATCTGTGTTGAGGACTAAAAAGAAGGCTGATAAAGTTGGAGGGGTGTGAGTGAGGGGTGACTGGAAGATGAGATCAGATAGGTGCGTAGGGGCCTGGTCCCATAGACCCCCCCACAGGCATGATGGATGGGCAATGAGAAGACCCTGGAGGATCTGAAGCAGCCACTTACCAGCTGGGGGGATGTCCCCGTATCAGCTATTTAATCTGCCTGAACCTCACTTTATCTGTAAAGTGGGAATGACACCAATCCCATCTTGTAGAATTGTTGGAAAATCAGGCAGCATGATACATAGTAAGGAGTAAAATGGTACCCAAAGCCTAGCAGACACTTGACAAATGCTAGTGCTCACCTCTTTGTACCTCAACTTCCTTACCTGGAAAGGAAAAGGGTAGGACTTGGTGGTCTCTGTGGCTCCATCTAACTGGAACATTCTTAGTGCTTATAAAAGGAAGGGGAGTTCTAAAGCTGAAACGTTAAGAACATTTCTCCAAAATGAAGATAAAGTAGCTCTGCAATTGTGTTGTAAATCATTGCTGAAATAGGATTCCATTTATAAAAATTCAATTTGAGTGCAATTTTCTCAGGAACACATACTTACTCTACAGAGTAAGGTCAACCTGTGAGCAACACTCTCCCTTGCGGACTGTCTTCTGCATCTCAGCCCATGGGGCTCGGCAGCTTTGGGGGACCGTCCAGGGATGGCTGTCCTAGGCCCCTCCATATAAGAGCTCACTATTCTCACACTCTGCCTGGAGGGCCTCTGAGCTCTGAGCCAGGCAGAGTAGAGTGGGAAGACAACCCTGCGGAATAGAGGGAGGGTCCTTGGGAGGTCCTGGAGTTCCAGGGCATTTGCAGGAATCCTCAGGCTCAGCGCTGCTAATTCCTGTGGTACAAGGAGCCCTGCATAGAACCATCTGCCAGATTGGACTCCGTGGTCGGGGGAAAGGCAAAACCACATTATGGATGGATCATGTCATCTTCCCACTGAGCTCAGATGTGGCCTTGGTATCCTTTTCAGCAATCTCTTCAGGCAGTCTCTACCAATTGATCACAGTTGACAGGTGAGTAAACCTCTTTGCCATCCCTGATCTAATCTTACTCCCATAGATGGAGCAAACGGAGGCCCAGAGAGGGAAAATGAGTTGCCCAAGGGCACATAGCAGAGCCTGATCTTCTGGCTTTCCATTGCCCCCTGCTGACCCCAGGGTGTGAGAGGGCTTGAGAGATTGTTTCCGAGAAGAAAAATGTCATATTACAGATGAGGCCACGTAGATGTAGGGATGTTAGTCAACAGTGCCAGCAGGGGCTTCCTGGATTGCGGTCCTGGCTTTGTTTCCTCTCCCTCTAGTGCCTCTTACTCCTTGATAACCAACAGTACCCTGATGTTCTCAGTTATGTGGTCTGCGGGGACTCACTGACCCCCGGCTTTAAGAGTGGGCCCTGATGAACTTCAGACAATTAGTGTAGCCCCTCCTCATGTCCACAGAGATTACTTCACGACAGATCAGTCAAGGCCAAGGAGATGCCATCTGGGGGCAAGTTCTGGCTGTGTTTTGGGTTGGCCACCAACTCACCTCACTGTGACCTTAGGCCCATTGATTCTCTCTGAGCCTCCTGTTGAAAAATATGTGTATGTGTGTGGAGATGGTGACAGTAAAATCATAGTTTTTACATTGAAGCCTATGAAATAGTGTATCAGGGCCTGTGCCCCTACCTCCCCCTACAAACATTTTATCCAGAGTGTTCTTCCCTTCTTTGGGCTTCTGAGGAAGGTTTGGTTTAAAGAAAGGACTTTGCATCTGGAAAAGAATGGTAGCCCTAGGGACAGGTGACCTCAGGAACGCCACCCACCTGTCCCCATGAGTCATCACAGAAGCTGAGAGTTGGGGTCATTTTTCGAAAAATATGGTCCCCATTTTCCAAAAAAAAGATCAACACACATTTATTGAGCACCTACTGTGCTAGGCCAGTGGAGTTCGTCTAAAACAGCACATTTGTGTTTTTAAAAAACCACATTGAAGCATGCTCAATAAATGAAAACTTAGAAAATAGAAATCACTAATAAGTAAAATTCATTGATAATTCTATCAGAGTTCATCAGTGTTGCAATTTCAGCGAGAGTCATTATTTTCACTCTCTCCCTTTGTCTCTATCTCTTTATGTGTCTCTGTCTACAAGCCCCCTTCCCCCCGTTTTTTTTTGAGATGGAGTCTCACTCTGTCACCCAGGCTGGAGTGCAGTGGCATGATCTCAGCTCACTGAAAGCTCCGCCTCCTGGGTTCAAGCGATTCTCCTGCCTCAGCCTCCCGAGTAGCTGGGACTATAGGCGCCCACCACCACACCCAGCTAATTTTTGTATTTTTAGTAGAGACGGGGTTTCACACTATTGGCCAGGCTGGTCTTGAACCCCTGACCTTGTTATCCATCTGCCTCGGCCTCCCAAAGTGCTGGGATTACAGGTGTGAGCCACCGAGCCTGGCCTACAAGCCTATGTTTTAATTTAGACCCCAGCTCTACCCTTGGCCCCTTTCCCCTTTCAATTCTTTAAAGAGAGAGAGAGAGAAACCCAATTTGCCGATGGGAAAAATGTTTGCTTGGTTTCCTCCTTGGCTGGTCTGGGAGCTGCTTGTCATGTTTCAGAACAAGGGCAGGCAGAGCTCATTTATTTCTCTTTCTATAGCACCTTGGGCCTGAAATCCCAGGCTAAGAGGGGAAGGTCCCTCCAACACTATGTTCCATTCCCAGAGTCAGTGGGATAGGACAGGACACCTGCATTTGTGGACTAAACAACTACCCACAAAAACACCTTGGTGGGGAGGCACTTGAAGGACCCCATCGGAGAGAAACATACAGGCTTTCCCAAGGGCTAATGCTGGGAAAACCCACTCATCCTTGTAGAAAGTTAATAAACAAGGATATTGTCACGTACACGTTAGTGAGAATGAGGGATGTAGAACAGATCTTCAGTGTGACAGGCTAAAGTCCCAGGCAGCAGGCTGTCTCATGTCCAGGAAGGGCAGTCCCCGGCTCTGTCATGTCCCATTTTGTTCTATGATTGCTTCTTTCACAGTGCATTCCAATTTGGGTGTCAGTCACCTCCACGACACTGAGTTACTGAGGCTGGAACAAGCTGAGCATTAGCAGAATCTTCCTGAGTTAGCTCACCTACCTTCACATTGTGCCATATCACCATTTTTTCACTTGATACGTCTCATGACAATTTGTAATCATGTATTTGTTTGAGTATCCATTTCTTGCTGTCTCTTCCACCAGACTGTAAGATCCATGTGAGCAGAAGCTGTCTTGGTTTGGGTTTCCCCAAAACAGAAACTGAGACAGGGATATTGTATTTGGGAGATGACCTCAGAATGTACTGTGAGAGAGTGGGGAAGAGACAACAGGGAAGGGAAAAAAGTCAGTCAATGCGGTGCTTATTAGGGGATACTGCTATGGGCAGTGGGAACTCAGTATGGTTGGGCAACCTCTGATAATTTGTGGGACACACCTCTGAATCCCGCACCCCCCCACCCCTCGAAGCTAGGATGTTTATTCACACCTCCCATCCTTTGTTGGTTGAGGGTTGCTCAGAGCTGGAGGGATGTTAACTCCTTGGCATATCTAGCCTGCCCGTGCTTGGGGGGAATCTACTCCTGCAGCTGGAAAATGCATCCAGGCACAGTGATGCAAGAATAGGGAGATGTGAGTGGAAATGACTCCGGAAGACCTCTAGGGCAGGCCGAGGGGATGTGGATGTGGGTGGGAGGCAGCACCTGGATTCCATGCAGCGCTGTATCTGCAGTCTACAGGCCAATGCCATGGACATGGTCAGCAGCCAGTGATGACTTGTGGAATAACTGAATGAGTAAAGAAACGTCTCTAGATGAAAATGGTTCACAGAGCAGAGACACTGGAGCTGAGCAAGCCCTTGGAAAAACTTAGCATCCAGCATTTCCCAAGCCGTACACTGCACCTTGGGAAAAAAAAGGGTCCGGTCACTGTAAGTTTGCAACTTACTCTTTATGATTGCCTGCTTTGGAGAAATACAATCTAAGTGAACATAGTAAATGTTCTGAGAAGTCCTGCAATAAAAAACTTGTTTAACTCGATGTTTTCTGATCACTTTGGTTGCCAACACTTTATTTATTTATTTTTTTGAGACCGAGTCTCGCTCTGTTGCCAGGCTGGAGTGCAGTGGCACCATCTCGGCTCACTGCAACCTCCGCCTCCTGGATTCAAGCGATTCTCCTGCCTCAGCCTCTTGAGTAGCTGGGACTACAGGCATGTGCCACAATGCCCAGCTAATTTTTTGTATCTTTAGTAGAGATGTGGTTTCACCATGTTGGCCAGGATGGTCTTGATCTCTTGACCGCCAACACTTTATTTTTAAATGAAACTATTCTTTCCCTCTTAGCCTATTTTAGGAGCTGTGGCTGGTACAAGACCCTCACTGTTCAGATAGAAGGCTGAGGTTTAGAGCACCCAGGTAGGTTAATCCCATCTGGATCACTGCTCTGTGGCAAGGATAGATTTTTTGCCTCTGCCCTCCTTCCTGATTTCCTAAGCTCCAGCCTGTGTAACATCTTCAGCAGCACCCCCAGTTCTGGGGTGGACTGTAGCAGATCATTACTCTCCTTCCAGCCCACCACACCTGAGGTCTGGATTCTCCCAAGTGGTTTGGGAGACAATTCTTCACTGGTCAGCTCCCACAAAGGAGGGACTGGGAGAATAAGACAGGGCAGGAGGCTTGAAGCAAGCCAGGAAATTTCCTATATGTTTACCCCGTGGCCAGTCCTCAATTTATTTACATTGAACATTTTAGTAACCATCTGCTCTTAAAATAAACAGAAAATTATCCTTCTCCTGCTGTGATGGCAGCTCCCTCAGATGTTCTTAATAAAAAAAAATCTATTATTTTAATGCAGACAGCTCAGCTAATAAAAATGATCGGTGCCATTAGTAATTATCCCACAAATACAATGCAAACTAGCTGAGAGGCTTGCATGGGCCCCACTGCCTGGAGTGGACCTCCCTGGGTCTGGGGCAGGGCAGGATGGCCTGGCACCTATATGAGAGCCGATGAGTCTGAGGAGGGCAGAGTCCCAGAATTCACACAAAGGCTAGTACCAGGAAGAAGATCTGTGGGGCCTGCAGCCTGGATCTGGGGAGAGTTAGCACAGGAAGGGGCAAAAGAAGTAATGCCTCCTACCCATTATATTAATGCTTCTTACTGGCCGTTACCCCAGCTTCTGCCATGTAACCCTGTAAACCAGAAACTACTGACCACATCAGTCAAACCCTCTGCATGGCCCTTCAGAAAAGGCAGCTGGAGGGTCTCAACCAGGAGTTGCAGAATCATATGCCTTTGGGGGTCAGACAAGCAATATAAATGTGCAGAGAATTAGGGGTGTTGAAAAAACAGAATTCTGGGCCTTTGGCAGGCTGGAAGAAGAATTTCTCACTTAAAAACATTTGAGTGAAACAAAAATTTAAACATACACTGGGAAAATTAAATATATTGCTGGTTGGATTTGGCTGTGGGCCATCAGTTTGAGACCCTGGTCTAAGCCGTGGACTCTAGCCTCCCCGACACACTGCTAATCTTTGCTCTCTCAGGGGAGAGCTGTATCATTTCCATACTATTTCAGGCTGGGAAATCAGAGGTGTGAACGGGATGTACAGACAGATGTGTAGGGGCATCCCTCCTCAGAGCCTGGGGTGGGAGGGTGCACCTCTGCATTCCACCTGTAGGCAGAGAAGCAGATGGAGCCGACCCCAGGCCAGAGGACGGACCATGAATGGATCTTGGAAATAGAGCGTGAGGCTTCTTGAATCCCGATCCTTTGGAGGCAACTGACTCCTCTGCATCCTGGAGTTGAGCAGGTGGTAGAAGTGAGAAAGGAGGGGAAGGGATGTCTGTTAGCTTCTAGTTCAAGTTGGGCAGTGGCCACAGGCCCAGGACTTTAGATAGCTAAATTCGTTAGCTAAAACTCATTCAGTTGCAAGGGGCTGAAACCCAACTGACTTAAAGAAAAAAGTAGTATTTTGGCTACTGTATTGTAAAAAAAAAAAAAAAAAACCCAGAGAGTAGTTCTGGGTTCAGGCATAGGTGTATTCAGGGGCTCAAACAATGTCTTCAGAAACTATTTTTTCTCATTTCCCTGCTCAGCTTTCCTCTATAAGTGTTTCTGTCCCAGATGGCACCAGCCTCATGGGGACAAGATGGCTACCAGCTGCACAGGCGATGCCCGCCCTTCTCAGCAACCTCAGAGGGAGCCAGACCCTTCCCAAAACACCAACCAAAGTCCTGGAATTGAGCCCTCTTGGCTCTGATTGGTTCAGTCAGGGCACACCCCTATCCCTGAACCAATCACTGTGGCCCAGTGATATCACACTCTAATTGGCTGGGCCTGGCTGACAGGTCCTCCTTCAGGGGGAGGGGTTCTGGGTAGTCTCCATCCCAAAGAGGAAAAAGAAGAAAGGAAGGAAATAGAGGTGTGTCGCGTGCCTCCTTTGTGCCAGAATGGTCTGCACACTGCACGTACGTTATCTTATTTAATATCTCCATGAGGTAAGAGCTTGACTCTCATGCTCCAGACGAGGAAACTGGAGTTCTGAGAAGCTAGTCACTCACCTCCCATAGCCCAGATGTTGGAGAAAGGCTGTGCCCTGTAGTTGGCACTGATCAGGGCGGCAGCCTGGGCACTGTGAGGCTCTCACCTTGCTCACTCCTCTCCTGCAGACTGGCTACTCATGGCCATTGCCCATATTCCTATTGAGGTCTTTTCCTCTATCTCATTGGTAAGTAGGATAAAAACAGTGCAGTTAGCGCTGGCCCTTTTCTTGGGGCTTGCGATAAGTACAGGTGACTGTCTGCCTTCCCCATCTGACTGTAAGTTCCTAGCAGGGACTGTGTCTCATTCACCTCTGGATTCTCAGTCTTGGACTGGAGATCAGGAGAATTCCAGTCTTGAATCTGCAGCCCAGTGCTCAATCTCCTTGGCTTTGCCACTCTTCAGTGGGGCACCTGAGCCCCCTCTCCTGATGGCTAGGTCCCCTAGAGCACAGCTTTGAAACTGCTGGTGGGACCTGGGGGTGTCCAGTATGAGTCCTTTGGATGTTGACATTCTTCGGGCTGTGCTGAGAGCTCTCCCCTGGCTCACTGTCCACACTGGTCTGCCTGTGAATTCCATGTTGGATGGTGCTCTAGACAGGTCTTGGTTTCAGGACAGAGTCCAAGAGAGATGACTGTTTCACCTAAGAAGGGCAGGAGTCAAAGAAGAGGGGCTCATGTTCCTTCTCAAATACCTCACCATGTGCTTCCCACAAACTGACTCTGGACTGGCCTGCATGGATGTGGGGAGGGGAGTCCAGGCCCTGAAGTCAGGTGCAATGCTCTCTTCTCTGGTCATCTGTGACCACTCTCCATCTGGCTGTGACAGCCCCACAGACTTCTCCATTCCAGGCAGCTCTAGAGAGCTAGGAAAGGGTGGGAGAGAAGAGAGGCTGCCCCTGCTCCCACGGCCCCCTCCCAGCTTTCCAATCACATCAACAATTTCTCTTGGCATTGTTTCCAGTCCCATTAATATTCATAAGTGACTTTTCTACTGTGCTTGCGATTTTCTAGGAGACAGACAGGCCCGCACTTTCCTGTGTTAATAGGATCCAAAGCTCACCAACTCAGATCTTATTAGCAAATCTCCATTAGATACCGTGGCCCTTCTGGGCTGCCTGATAGGCGAGCTTTGCACCACGGGTGACAGCCAGAGCAGGTCTTAATCCAATATGACTTTGCAATCCCCACTGCAGAGACAAGCCCAAGGAGGAGCCTGGGCAAGGAGCAGATCAGGCTGAGCTGGCCATCCTATTAGGGGTGGAAATGGAGTCCCTGGGGCAGCCAGGGCAAAGAGGCTGGCTGTGGATGGGCTGCCTCCCCTCCCAGAAAGGGGCACTTTATTGATTCCTTCCTTCAGTCACTTGGACTTTCATTTATTCAACAAAATAATCACTGATTGCTTCCCATGTGCCAGATCCTGGGCTATGGCTGCTTTTTCCCTCCCGAGGCTCATTGTCTGGGTAGTTGGTGGGGTGGACAGCTGTGCTTATGAACAATTGTTCCATGGCAGGTGCCATGCATAGCCCAAGGTACTGATCCCCAGAGACAGGCAGGTGAGCAAGCAGGGTTTAGCAACATCTGGGAACAGAGGAGCAGGCTCTAGGAAATTTGTGGGTGGGGAGCAGTGGCTGGCAGCTACTCCTAGGTCTACCTTGTACTTGCAGAAGCTGCTTTCCAGCATGCATTAGCTGCATGACCTTGGCCAAGCCTCTTTACCTCTTTGCTGTATCTTTTCCCATCTGTAAAACATGGCTAATAGCAGTGTCTTCCTCCTAGAGTTGCCATGAGGATTAATGGTACCTGACACATAGGTAGCACTATGTTGGTGTAGCTATTATTATTTGGGGGAACTCCAGGGTTCCTCTTAGCTTTAAACTTCTTGAACTGAGCCCCAGTTTCTGTGTTGTGTGGAACAAGCTTGATGTGTGCAAAGGTTCCAGGCTCTGGGCACACGCAGGCCCTCCTGAGCTCCATGGCTGCTTGTTGTAAAGTCAGGGCATTTAGTGGGCACTCAGGGGTACTGTGTGGCTCCAATGCTAAGCCCCTTTGCCACTGAGAAAACACTGATGTGGATGAAGGTCCTAGGGGTGGTGGGGGTAAACCCAGGTCCTGGATGAAAGGCAATCAAATCTGTGAAATCAGAGAGTTGGAGCAGCTGACCTGAAGGGAGTCTTTCTAGGTCTGAAATTCGCTGACCTAAGGTACAAGGCCCAGACCCCACCCTCTCTAGGTGCTTGAGGTAGATGAAGCTGGGAAGCCCCGTCTGCTATAGGTCAAATGTGCCCCAACATGCTCCCAAATGATGGACCAAATGTGGGATTCCGTGGTTAAGGCGTGACAAAAGCATGGGAAGAGAGACTCTGGGGGCTGGGGAAGTCAGGGAGGACTCTCTGGACGGGGCAGGACTTGATCTGATCCAGCTTCTAAGAATGTGGACAGGGAGAAGGCAAGGTGATCCAGGTGATGGACACTGGAGGGGCCAAGGCGTGGAAAAAGGCTGGAGGATGGAGAGGAAGGGAGTGGAAGCAGTGAGGCTAGGAAAGACCCCTTGTCTTCAGGAGGCCACAAACTGGTGGTCTGAGATCTGTGTTGTTGGCTCAGTGTTTAAAAATATGTGATATTTAAGGGGTGCCTGTGTGTTTTTCCTTGCCGCCATCCTAACCACTCCTTGTATCACACTAGGCCCGGTTTATACTTTTAGGTTGCCTGCCTGACACTCGGAGGCACTGGAGTTTGTGACCCCCACAGGTAGAACCTTAAAGATTTGGTGGGAATTCAAGCCCCAGGTGAAGTCTGGGCCATTTGACCTTAAAAGCTCTAGAAATTGTTATTAGAGTCTGGGCCCTGGTGAGCTGTGTTATTGTGAGGCCTAAGGCTCCTGGGCTGGCCACAGAGATGGCAGAGTGCCCCTGGCCAAGTCCCTATAAAAGCAGAAGCTGTGTCTCATAATTCCCAGACCCGCTTTGGCAAAATGCCCAGTCTCCCTTCCTTGTGGAAGGGGAATTTTTGGCTGATGGGCGCCTGAGTTCGTGATCAGATTCCTGAAGTCCAAAATGGCCAGAAGCCATTCTCTGCCCACTCTGCAGCCTGAGTCTGTCCCTGATCCCCTTCTCTGCAGGCTGCAGCAGTGCCAGCCATTTCCAAAGGCCTGGCTTGGGAGGAAGAGTGGGGCAAATAAAACACCTGTGAGAGGTGAGAAGCTCTCTAAATTCCCTAAGTTGGTTTCAAGGCTGAGGATTTTTATCACCAGCGAATCTCGGTGTTTTTGTGAAGGCAACTGAAATCTGGATGCTTTGCAGTCAGGGGGCCCAGGAAGAGCAACTTTGGATTTTCATATGTAGCTGGGGTTTGCCAGGGAGAGGGCATGGCAGGGGAGGTGGAGGGTGGGTGGGGAGCAGGCTGTTGGAGGGGCAGCAAGACGTTGTTGTTGGGGACATGGGCTTTCTGAGTCACAGACACCTGGGTTGGAACTCTGCCTCAGCTGCTGGAAAACTGTGTGACCTTGAGCAAGCCCCATAACCTCTCTGAGCCATTGCTCGACAATGAGTCTGTCATTTGATAGGCTTTCGACAAAGGAGAGCTATAATTATGATTACTGTTATTTTGGGGCTAGCCTTGTGGAGTCCTCAGCTGGTGGACAGCTGAGCTCTTCCATCTTTGGGAGAATGGGTGGAGCATGGATCCTCTGCCCTTTGACTGCAGGCTGTACTGATCCAAGGGGTCCAAAGGAGAAAACTTTGAGCCATTATTGAGCAAGGCAGCTGAGGAGTAGAAACGTAGCCTGCACAGAGAGCTGTGTTAGCCTGGCAGCTCCCAGCAAGCTCTGGGGCAGGTACCCAGGGATACTCTTGGGGATCAAGGGTCAGGCAGTTCTACCTTGAAGAACGAAAGCATCAAGAGTGTCACAGCTGGCAGGAACTTTGGGGACTACCCAGGCCAATCCCATCAGGGTTTTTTTTTTTTTTTGACCACTTGCATAGTGTTAGGGTTTTTTTTTTTTTTATTGCCACTGTAACAAATTAGCACAAGCTTGGTGATTTAAAACAAGAATAAATTCATTTCAAACTACCAAGTTTAAAATAGTTTTGGAGGCCAGAGATCCAAAATCAGTATCACTGGCAGAAATCAAGGTGTGTGCAGGGCTGTGCTTTCTCTGGAGGCTGCAGGGGAGAATCCCTTCCTTGCCTCTTTTAGCCTCTAGGAGCTCCTGGCAACCCTGTGCTTGTGGCTGCGTCACTCCAGCCTCTGCCTTTGTGGCTATCTTGCCTTCTCCTCTTCTGTCTGCCACCATCTTTTAAGGGTACAAGTGATGGCATTTAGGGCCACCTTGATAATCTGGTATAATTGGTATAATGTCCCCATCTCAAGATTTTTTTGTTGTTGTTGTTGTTGAAATGGAGTTTTGCTCTTGTTGCCCAGGCTGGAGTGCAATGGCTTGATCTTGGCTCACTGCAACCTCCACTTGCCATATTCAAGCAGTTCTCCTGCCTCAGCCTCCCAAGTAGCTGGGATTACAGGCACCTGCCACCACACCTGGCTAATTTTTTGTATTTTTAGTAGGGACAAGGTTTCACCATGTTGACCAGGCTGTTCTCGAACTCCTGACCTCAGGTGATGCACCTGCCTTGACCTCCCAAAGTGCTGGGATTACAGATGTGATCCACTGTGCCCGGTCTCAAGATCTTTTATTGTATCTGCAAAGTCTTTTTTTTTTTTTTCCATATCCTTATATGTATTCACAGGCTTCAAGGATTAGAACATGGATCTCTTTTGGGGGCCATTATCAGCCTACCACACCATTAAAAAAGGCTTTTTTTGGAGTTAATTTTAGACTTATGGAAGAGTTGCAAAGCTAGTCAAAGAGTTCCCATATAGTCCTCACCCAGTTTCCCCTTATGTTAAACTCTTCCATAATCATACAACATTTATCAAAAATTAGGAAATGACTCTTGTTACAATATTATTCACTATTAACTAAGTTTTGGAATTTATTCAGATTTCACTTGTCTTCCCACGAATGTTCTTTTTCTGTTTCAGGATCCGGTCCAAGATATCACATTGCATGCATTTAGTGTCTCCTTAACATCTTCCAGTCAGTGAGTTTCTCAGTGTTCCACTGTCTTTTATGACTTTGACAATTTTGAAAGGTACTGGTCAGTTTTGTTTCGGTGGAGTATTCTTCTGTTTGTGTCTCTCTGGAGCTTCTTCATGGTTCTATTGAGGTTACGTGTTCCTGGGACAGATACCATAGAGCAATGTGCAGCACAACTGCATCGTACTGGGGATATGTGATGTTGGTATGTACTAGTCATACATACCTAGTGATGTTAACCTTCCTCTCTTGGTTAAGGTGGTGTCTGCTAGGATTCTCCATTATAAACTTACTATTCTTCCCTTTGTAATTACTCCTTATTTAGGAGGAGATACTTTGAGACTACACACATATCTTGTTTCTGCTCAAACTTTCACCCACTAATTTTAGCATCCATCGATGGATCTTGTCTGTGGCAATTTTGACTATGCTGTTCTATTTCCCTCATTCCTTCTACATTTATTTCTCAGAATCCTTGTGTAAGATGTTAAGTCTTCTCTCCTATTTATGTCTTCAGTTATTTATATCAGTATGGACTCAGGAGCATTTCTTTTATTCTTTGGGTTACAATTTAGCAATATTGTTATTGATCTTGTTGCTGAAGTCCTTTCAACTTTGGCTGTTGGGAGCTCTTTCAGGGTGACTTCTGAGCCCTTTCCAATTGTTCCTCTCCTTCCTCCCTCCTTCCTTCCTTCCCTCCCTCCCTCCCCCCTTTCTTTCTTTCTTTCTTTCTTTCTTTCTTTCTTTCTTTCTTTCTTTCTTTCTTTCTCTTTCTTTCGTTCTCTTTCTTTCTTTCCTTCTTTCTTTCTTTCTTTCTTTCTTTCTCTTTCTTTCTTTCTTTCATTCTCTTTCTTTCCTTCTTTCTTTCTTTCTTCCTTCCTTCCTTCCTTCTTTCCTTCCTTCCTTCCTTCCTTCCTTCCTTCCTTCCTTCCTTCCTTCCTTCCTTCCTTCCTTCCTTCATTTCTCTCTCTCTCTCCCTCCCTCCCTTCCTTCCTTCTGTCTCTTCTTCCTTCTCTCTCTCTCTCTTTCCCTCCTTTACTCTTTCTGAGGGTGAGTTCCCCCCATGACTATAACCTGTGGTCTTGCACAAGCTTAGAAATTAGTCCCAGTCTTTCTGTAGATGGTTTTTGATGGACAAGGACTACATCTCTCACTTCAAAGTTCCTGGCACTTAGCACTGGCTGAGCACAAAAAACACACTCAAAACCATGAGTGTTCTTGGCTTCCCTTCTTCACTCAGCCCCCTTTCCTTCCCACTCTTGGTCACTGAAGATCTGGCCTTGTCTCCTGGAGCATATTCTCAGGAGGCAGGGGAAAGACACGTGAGGAATGTGGGCCTTGGAATCAGATCTGGGTTCAAATCCTGTCTCTACTGCTTCAGGCTCTGGAAGCTTGGGCAGCTGACCTACCATCTGTGCCCCTGGAAGACAGGGATGATGGAATCAACCTTAGAGAGCCAGTGCCAGGATGACAGAAGACAATAGATGCAGAGAAGGTTGCACCCTGCTTGGCCAAGTCGGTGGTGACTGCTGCAGCCTTCATAGTTGGTTAGAGAAGAAAAGGCAGATGAAGTAGGGGGAGGGTGGAATCTCTGCTGTTCAGTCCTGTTTCCAGGTGAACTTCAATTTTATGCATTCCATTTAAAATAGAAGGGATTTGTGAAATATATAACCATAGGTGATTTGAAATGGATAAATTTGTGAGGCTTTGCCTATAAATGTGTTATACATAAGACTAAAAAGATCCTCATATCTCCTCTCTCTCTTTTTTTTTTTTTTTGCAAGTAGGGTTCCTGTGTTTTCCATGTTATGCCCAGGGTGCTCTGAGCCCCAGGACTCAGAGACCCCCAGATGCCTTGTTGAGTGCCCCTCCTATGAGCATCCTTATGCCTCTGCCTCCTTGGCCCACAGGAAAGCAAGCAGCGGCAGCCTGGCATAGCTTCCTTCCCTGACTGGAAGAAAAAGCCTGATGTATTAATGACCACACTTAACAGGCCTCAATTTTAATCTCTGCTTTAAATTTGGCACAATTGTTTTTACAATAAAGCCTGATTTTTTTCACAATAGGGTGCTGAGTGTGTGTGTATTCCATTCAAACACAAAGAAAGCCTGCTTTACTTACTGCAAGAAAGGAAATAAATAGAAATCAGCCTTTGTCAGACTAGAAATTCATAGATTCCAGTCATATGCCAGGCTGTTCAATGCCCCCTCTCCTCTGCCTTCTTTGACATCTCCCTCAGCCTCAGTCTCATTCTACAAGCATTCCTGAGCACCTGCTGTATACCAGACGCAGGGATTAGGGATGAGTGGGGTACATGACTGCCCTCCAGGAGGGAGAAGTGACTGCTTTAGGGGGTCACAGGCTGAAGCTGAATAGGCTGGACCCGGACCCTGTAAGCCAGGTAATTGGGATCAGTGTTTCTCAAAGTGTGGGTTCCCTAGATGAGCTCAGGCACTCTCAGGCTTGGCATCAGTCTCACTGAATCGTGAGTAAGAAGGGTACTTACTTTTGAAATCATTGTCAATCCTGATCCTGGTAGGAGAATGTCTCTGGTGGAGGTTGGCATGTCTTTAAGGCCTTTTGAGCCCTTGAGATCTTTCATTTTAATGAAGAAAGCAGAGCACAGGTTCACAGCCTTCTCGGGCCATGGTGGTTTTTGGGCAACGTGATTCCGGTTTTCTAATGCAGGAAAGAGAAAACTTTCCTTTTTAAATAAACTGATCTGTGTTAAGAAAAGCAGTTGATGTAAAGAAACATATTAAGTCAATAATTATGTGGACGGCATGAGTACACAACATTCTGCTAGTGGTAGTGCTGGGATGCCTGAAGACAGTGAACACTGATCTGGGTGATCATTCTCTTGGTGTTTATTTCGCAGGTGCCATTCCTGACCTCAGGTCTAACAGTCCCAGCTCTTAGGTGCCTGGGGACATGTGAAGGACATTTGTCCATGATTGGGTCAAAGTGTCATGGTTCATGAGTGTCCTTTGAAGTCAGCATGGTGATGGCAACAGTAATCAGAGAGACGCCTCAAAGGGAAGGTGCGAACTGGGGGCCCAGGCAAGTCAGAGACGGGGCCCCCTCTCCCTGGGAAGAATTTCCTCCAGTCTAACCTTGGAGAATGTGGATTTGCCTTTATTAAGGAAAATGACATTTCCTTACACAGATGGTGCCTTCTTGGCACTTCTGTAGCCCTAAATAAGTGTTTGCGGTTTTGGGGATAAAGACATTTCCATGAAAGAAAGTGGAGAAACTCCTAACTGTAACTGAGGGTGGAATAAGATAGAGCTAGACGAAAGCACATGTGCTGTGCCTACAGGAGTGCATGATGAAGTCTGACAGGTAAGCAGGGAAGGCTGCCTGCAAGAGGTGGCATTTTAGTTGCTCCTGAAAGGGTGGACTGGGTAAAGCATGGGGCTCAGGGCACTCCTTCTAGGGAAAACTCTGGTGTGGTAGAACGGATTGGAGTCAAATAGCCCTGGGCTTGATTCCAAGATCTTCCCCAGACTAACTACCTGACCCTGGATAAGTCACTGCACCTTCGTTTCCACTTCTGTAACATGGGCAACGAGGCAGGGGGCTGCCTCTGGCAGGTTTAGAGGGAGAGTCTCCCTAGGGTCCACATGGTGTGACACCCCCCATTTCTCCTGTGTGAGTGAGAAGCTTTCCGGGAGATCAGCTCCAAGTTGTGGGATGAAGAGCCATTGGGCTTAAGGTCCTGTCTTGGGCTCAGTTCCCTCAAGAAAAGCCTGGCTGGTGACCCTTACACACGTGGTTTATCGAGGGAGGACTCTTAGGGGACAGAAGAGGACAGGCAGAAGAAGGTAGGCAAGGCTGTGGTCCCACAGAGAGCTATGGAGCAGGAATTGCATCACACAGTTTGTCCCGCCTGGTGGCAAGAGGGTTTCCCTGTTCTACAGTCAGTCATTGGCTATGGGCTGCCTCTGGGGTGCAGGGAGGTAACCTCCCAGCCTTCTCTGAGTGAGGCAGCTCCTGTCAGCTGAGGACAGTCCTTCAGAGAAGGGCTGCAGGTATGAGCAGCCAGTACCTCTGGGCGGAGCAGCCAGCACCTGCGACAGGCCCCTCGGCTTTGGGGAAGTGGTTGCAACCTTCTCCCGCTCCCGTGGCTTCCAGTCTTAAGCACTGGGTTGACCTGGAGAAGGGAAAGAGCCACAGGAGGGCTCAGGGGACCTCATCCTTTCCCTGTGGGGGAGTCGGACCTCAAGGGGTGGCCCTTCTGCTACCCAGTGGGCTGTGAGCAAAGGGTAAAGAATGGGCCTTGGCACAGCCAGGCAAGCATGCAGCTGGCAGGAGCCGGTGGACCCGGTCTTCAGGAGCCCATAAACCAGACAAATGAATATTTGATAGAAATATAATTCCAGAGGATGAGGGCCCTTGTTGGCCCGACGGTGAAATACAATGGCTGTCTGACCTCGCGGAGGGATAAATCTGCCCAGAGTGCTTTCCAGCCCGAGACGTGGAAGCCCCTCTGATGCAGCTTTTGGGAGAGCTTAAACACTTAATGTGGGGATATTTATTGTCTGGTGGAGCACTGGGATTACAAGGTCGTCCTGGTCACAGCTCCTCACCCTGCCCCAGGCGCGCCTTGCTGCCATCCTGGTACCCCGGGGCTGCCTGCTGCTGCGTGGCTAGAACGACCAGAGGCCAGCACTGAGAGGGAGCAGAGGGAGCACCTACCTTTGCCTGCTGGGCCTTGTTAAAGGACAGGGAGCCAGATAGCGGAATGGTTTCCAGCAGGGGGAGGGATCAGGTAGATCTAGGTGAGGATCCTTGGGTAGGTTACCTACCTGCTTTGGACTCGGCTTCTTCAACCATAAAATGGGCTAAAACTTAACCTACCTCATAGGGCTGCAGGGATGGTTAGGTGGGCAAATGCACCTAAAGTGCTTAACATCGTGCATGGCTCATAGTCAGTGCTCAGTGAAGGTCAGCTACTATCAGAGCATCTCAATAATCTGTCTCTAGGTTTAACACTGGCTAGCTGTGTGTCCTTGGGCAAACCACACAAGCCCCAAAGCCTCAGTTTCCTCTTCTATAAAATTGGAGAAGCATACCTACTTGATTGGTATAAAGGTTATAGAAATTGAATGCCAAGAACCTGGCCTAGGTAGGTGCTCTGTAAGTAGTGGTGGAGGTGGAGGTGGTGACAGTGATGATGAAGCCAGAAAGAGATGATAATAATATGAGGCTAAGCCCTTCCCTGTGTAAGGCCTGGGTTAACCTCCCCCCCAGCACACTGGGTCACCTTAGTGATCCTTTGTATTAGTTATCGATTGCTGCATAACAAATCACCCCAAAATTTAGAGGATTAAAACAACAGTAATTATTTATTATCTCCAACAGTTTCTGGGGTCAGAAATTCTGACAGGTCACAGCAGAATGGTTTCATGATGTCTGGGACTGCAGCTGGAAGACTTGAAGACTGTGGGCTGGAGTCTGAACCCTCATATCTGGTGGTTGGTGTGGGCTCTCCATGGGGACCTAGCTGGGGCTGTTGGCTGGAACACCCACATGTGGTCTCTGCGGTGCCCTGGGCTTTCTCACAACATGGCAGCTGGATTCCAAGGAAAAGCATCTTGACAGAGGGAGAGAGCTGGGGGAGCCACATTGCCTTTTATGACCTACACTCAGAAGTTATAGGGCATCAATTCTGCCACACCTATTGATTGAGAAAGTTATAAAGGTCACTCAAAGTTCAAAGGGAAGGAGTGTAGACCCACATCCTGATGGAAGCCAATATCATATTGCAAGAAAAACATGAGGGATGGGATATTTCTTTGTATGGCTATTTGGGGAAAAGGCAATCTCTCACACACTCCTTTTTCTGGTCTCTTGTACCAGAACCATTCATTCCAAAGTGACAGACCCTAGTCCAGCAGAAATAGGAGGAAGGTGGCAGCAGGAAGTTATCCTACCCCTCCTCTGCCCCATCAGTGGGAAATTCCTGCTCTGGAGTCTGTGCCTCTTTTTGGTGTGGGAGCTGCACACAGCTGGGCTCCAGATTCTAGTTCACAGGTGCTGGGATGGCAGAGGGGCAAGAATTACCTGGGATGAGGGGTTCTCCTTCAACCCTGGACTTTGACATGAACCTGCATGAGCAGATGTTTCTGTCACCAGTGATTACCCTATATTGCTCTTAGTATCTCATAGAGAACACTTCGTTCACAGAATGTCATCCAAAAATGGTGAGCTTCAAGTTCTAGAAGCCCTTGGCCAGGCTTTCCATCGCCCTACTGCTGCCTTCAGCCCACACATTCCCTCTTATGGCTCACGGAATCTCTAAGTCTTACAGATTTGATCTCATTGTTAACATCCACATTCTCACTCTTCCCTGTCTCCATGGTCACTGCCTCAGGCATGGTCACCTCTCTTCCAGTGGCCTCCTCTTCCTAATTGGCCTCTCTGTCCCAAAGTTTTTTTCCTCTCCCATTTATCCCCCTGTGCCAGTGCAGTCTTCCCAGAGCTTAGCACCAAGCTGCCACCTGCCCAGCCATTGGCTCATTGTCTGGAATACTCTCCCTCCAGCCTTTTCCTGGTTCACTCCTAATTATCTCTGCTATCACAGCTTGGTCTCCAAGTCCTTCTCCTGTGTGCTGCCTCAACAACCAAGGCATCCTCCAGAATCCTGCCTATCAGGTTGTGTTACTGGGCAGTTACCATGTGCCCAGCATTGAGCTAAGGGTTTCCCATACCGACAACCCCCCCGGTTCCTCTCCATCCTCCTCCTCCACTTTGTCTTCTTCCCAGCAGTGAGTACTTTTGAAAGGTGTATCACCTAGGTATTTAGGAACTTATTGTCTCTCTCCTCTTCTAGATTAGAAGATTTGTGAGAGCAAGAATAGAAGGCTGTCAGTAATTGCCTACTGAATAAAGGAATAGACCTGGCATTTGGGGTATTTTGTCCTCAGTAGAGACTGATATCACCCTGGCTCATTGATTCCATCACACTGGGAAATAGTGGAGGAAGATAGGAAAGAGACTATGTCCTTTGATCCACAGGGTACTAAACTGTGGGTACTGTTTGATCAACAGGGTGCTGAACTCATGTTCCCTCTGAAGGGACTGATTTTTTTTTTTGAGTCTCACTCTGTTGCCCAGGCTGGAGTGCAGCCGTGTGATCTTGGCTCACTGCAACCTCTGCCTCTGAGGTTCAAGTGATTCTCCTGCCTCAGCCTCCCAAGTAGCTAGGATTACAGTCATCTGCCACCATGCCCAGCTAATTTTTGTATTTTTAGTGGAGATGGGGTTCCACCATGTTGGCCAGGCTGGTCTCGATCTCCTCACCTCAAGTGATCCACCCGCCTTGGCCTCCTAAAGTGCTGGGATTACTGGCATGAGCCACCGAGCCTGGCTGGGAATAATTTTTTGATGCTCTCTTGTTGTAAGAAACCATTCCCCAGTACCATATAGTTATCTGTACCTTACCAAGTGCTTCCCCATCTCACCTGAGCCTCTCCATGACATCAGGAAATGGGAAGGACAGTGATATCCTTCCAGTCTTATAGATAAGGAGATTGAGACTTAGGGAGGCTAAGGGGCTGACCTAGAATGACACAGCTTTAATGGCAGAACTGGGAACTAGGACTCCTGACTCCTTGCTGCGGGCTCTTTCTCCTTCATTCCACTCAATCTCCTCCTGGGCCACATACATGTAAAATCTCAGAATGTCCTAGTTGGTTGGAATCTTAGAGATTGTATTTCCCAGTGCCTCATTGCATAGATGGGAAGATTGAGGCCCCCAAAGGGAGAATTAGCTGCCCAATTCCCCGTGACTAGCAAGTGGTGAGCATAGGCTAGAACCTAGCTATCTTGGCTTGAAGCCAGGTCCCAGAGGGGTGAGTTCACCACCAGGAATCAGCCTTCTGGTGTGATCAATCTGGGGCCTAGCACAAAAGGGTTAGCTGTCATAGCCTAAAGGTCATTTTTACAGAAAAGTGTTATGATATGTTCTTGGCCTAAACACTTCTCCCCAAATCCTGGCCAGCTGAGCAGACGGGCATCTATCACTGGCATAACAAGGAGGCTGTGGGAATCTTGGATCAGGCATTCCACATAGAAATGGCTAGGAACATCCACGCAGGGAAACACTAATGTACCTAGTGCTCCGGCAGAGCACTTAAGTGAAGGAACAGGAATGTCAGCTGCAACCAGGCACCATTTCAGCACTCAGGACAGTTCCGAGGTGGGCCGTTACCCGTCCATAGCAATCAGAGATCTGGAGAACTTTATAATCAGAAGCCTGGCCTCCAAGGGGTTCTCTGATGGACAATCACTGACTTTCTGGGGGAAAAATCAGAGGTGTTCACAGAAGCAAGGTATGACTTAATTTTGTGGCATTTTGTTGCCATTTGGATTTTTAGGAACTTAAGATAAAGAGAAGTGATAAGGTTTGGCTGTGTCCCCACCGAAATCTCATCTTGAATTGTAACCCCCACAATTCCCATGTATCATAGGCGAAACCTGGTGGGAGGTGATTGAATTATGGGGGCGGGTCTTTTCTGTGCTCTTCTCATGATAGTGAATGAGTCTCACAACATCCGATGGTTTTAAAAACGGGAGTTTTTGGCCTGGCGTGGTGGCTCACGACTATAATCCCAGCACTATGGGAGGCAGAGGAGGGTGGATCACTTGAGGTCAGGAGTTCGAGACAAGCCTGGCAAATATGGTGAAACCCTGTCTCTACTAAAAGTACAAAAATTAGCCAGATGTGGTGGCGCATGCCTGTAATCCCAGCTCCTCAGGAGGCTGAGGCAGGAGAATTGCTTGGACCCAGGAGGCAGAGGTTGCAGTGAGCCGAGATCGTGCCACTGCACTCCAGCCTGGGTGACAGAGCGAGACTCCATCTCAACAAAACAAAACAAAACAAAACAAAACACACACACACACACACACACACACACACACACACGGGAGTTTCACTGCACAAACTCTTTGCCTGCTGCCATGATTATGAGGTCTTTCCAGCCACTGGAACTGTAAGTCTAACAAACTCTTTTTCCTGTATAAATTACCCTGCCTCGGGTATGTCTTTATCAGCAGTGTGAAAATGGACTAATACAAGAAGCATAATACTTGAAGAATGAAATAATTGTTTTGGAGTAAGCTTGAGTAATGATCATTCAAAACTTCTCCTCTCCACACTATAGCCTGTAGGAGAAGGAGGAGAAGAAGGAAGGATACAGGATGAGAATCAGAGGATGAAAAAGAACAGATAGGGCCCCAGAGAGGAGAGATGGAAGCACACAGATGGAGAGAAGTTGAAAGACAGAGAGAAAGAAGTGGGATGAGAGCCTGGAATAAAGGTATGGAAGGAGAGTCCATCAGTTCTAGAGTATTATTACATTCTGTCCGTCACCCTGACATTCACATGGGCCCCAAGCTGTTTGTCAGGATTCCCTCTTATTGCCTTCCTTTAGAATGTAGTGAGTAGATGAACCACCTTTTGAAATTCTTCAACTGTTCATTATGCTTAAGGCTCCAGAAACTCCACCCTGATTAGAACTATGGTAGCAGTCTATCAAAACAGAGTCTTCCCTGGTGCTGCCATCAGCAAAGATTTCAGTAAGAGCCAAAACGACTCAGGAAGTGTGTTGGATTTAGCCTGAATCTCCTATCCTTCATTTCTGATGATGAGAAACTGACCTGTGGAGGGCTGATATCTAGTGGCTACTGTTGAGGACACGAGGAGAAGAACTGTCCCTACGGGGTCACTCAGTGCAGGGACAAACAGGCCAGACGTCTCAATGGCCCTAGAGATCGACAGAGAGCTGTGGCAGATGCTCATAGCAGTGGTCCCAATGCATCAATATTATGGATTAAATAGCATTTGATAGTCTCTGTTTAAGAAGGTGGGAAGATGTGAAATATCCTCTAGAAACATTTCCATCAACATAATTAAAATAAAAAAGCTTTAAGGTGTTTAAGTTTCTGTTATCTGAAGAATTCACTCATGTGTAATACATCACTGCCCACATATTCTGGACAATAAGGTATGTATTCTTAGCCAAAAGGGCTCATGCTATTATAATGAATTCTAAGTAATTAATCTGAGCTGTGGAATATAGTAATGATGCAATGTGGTATGAAAGGGAATTAATATTCTGTGTTTCTATCACTTGCCAGGCATAGTGCCAGGGGCTTTACATGCTGTGATAGATTAGATTATTGTTTAGCAAATACGCACTCCCCTCTCCTTGGAGGCAGTGCCTTTTCCCCACCTTATTATGTTGGGCTCAGTCACGTGACTTGGTTTGGCCAATAGGAGGTGGGTGGAAGTGACAATGGTCCTGTTCCCAGCTGAGTCCAGAAGAGGCAGTGCTTGTTCTTGCTTGTCCCCCTTGCATTCCAGTGGCTCCACCATGAGAAGAGCAGGACCCTTCAGTGTGGGCCCCGTCTGAGTCCAACCCACATGCACAAGCCACCCAGCTGAACTTGGGCTGGATCACTGAACCTTAGTCATCCTGCAGACCTGTGAGTTTGAGAATAAAGACTTGGTATTGTCAGGCACTGATTTCGGGGGTTGTTGGTTTTTCAGCCTTGTTTAGCAATCACTGATGGATACAACATGCATTGTCTCATTTAGTCCTTGTAACAGCTCTCTGAAGTAGGGCGCCATGATTTTTCCCATTTCACAGGCAACTCAGGCCCAAAGAGAGGATGTGCTTAACCCCAGGCCACAGAGCGAGTTAACTAGTGATGGACCCACATTTAGCTCATCCTTATTTGGTAAGTAAGGTAGGAGCTGCTTGGCCCTCCCCAGCTAGCCCCTGCTTGCTGCTCCCCTCACCAATCCTTCCACTGACTCAGAGCTTCAGGAGTGGGGGTGGGGTATCAGGGAAGCTGCAGGGAGAACATACGAAGCTCCTTTCAAAGAGCCAGCAGGGGCTCCCCGCCCTGTGGTTACTGGAAAAGGTCACATTTGGCGATTCAGCCCACAGAACAATGACATTTCAAGGATCAAAGGAAAGGTTAAAATATTCCTATAAATCTATTCTTGGGACTTTTAAGTATTTCCAATGTAAAAGGAAAATGTCATTTCTTTTTCCCCCAGGAGTGGTGGAGGGTGGGCTGCTGGTAATGGATCCACTCTCGTTTTTTCTGGGGAGGATGAGCCAGGAGGAAGGAAGGATTCACTCCCCATCCCTCCCTATGCAAATGGAGGTGTGATTAACCCCAAAGCTTATTTACTTATGAAAATTGAATCCCAAATTCCCCCTGAGAAGAGCTTCCCCAAGGGGAGAAATGGACAGTGTCAAATTCCGGAGCTCTCCTGCTCCTTCTCTCCAGAGCAGCCCATGGGCAATGCTGGCAAGGAGGCCTCCAGAGCTGGGATAGGGATGAGCTGGGCAGGGGCAGGGAGGGCCAGACCCCCTGGCAGACCACCTCCCTGAGCTTTGATCCTTATGCACAGCTCCCTGGCGCATTCATGTGGATGAGTCTCAGGATTTCTAAACCCAGCAGAGCCCAGACGGACACATCATCTTCTCCTCTTGGAGTTCATGTCTTGGTGAGCGGACTCACACTCCTTCACCCATGCATTCTGCAAACACACACTGAGTGGCCTCCGAGTGTCAGGCACTGCACCAGGCACCAGGATAACAAGGGATGGGGACTCCTGGCCTTGGGCAGTTTGTAGACTATTTGGGAGACAAGCCAAGAAAGGGACAAGGACCCTGTTGTGGGTGAAGGACTAACACATTTGTGAATCAGATGCTGGCACAAGCCAGGGAAAGGGGTGACTAATTCTGCAAGGAAGTTGGGGAAGATTTCCCAGGGGAGTCACTATTTGAACTGCGGCCAGTCCCAAAAGGGCACTCTTGGCAGAGGGGGTGCTGTGCACAGAGCTTGGAGTCCCAGCAGCCACGGCTGGCTGGAGACTTGCTGCGGCGCAACTGCCCTGCACCACAGGAAAACAGGTGTGTCCTAATGGCATCGCAACCCACTTTCCATGAGGGGACTGGGTTGCCTGTGTTGGGGGCTGCACCCCACAGTGTGCCAGAAGACACCGCTATTCATAGTCCCCAAGCTATCACTTGCCTCCCACTTCCTATCAGTCACCAAGCCCTGTCTCATCTGCCTCCCGAACACCTCTTGTTGCTGTCTCCCTCCCTCCCTGCCCATGGCCGCCCCGGTCAGGGCCTCGGCATCCCCATGGGTCTGCCTGTTGGCAGTCTCCCTCCCACCCCAGTGCACATTGCAGCAACGAGAATGGACACACAGAAGTGCCAGTGTGGCATTTTACTCCCCGTGGAAATCCCTTTCATGGCCCCTCAGGCCCCAAAGAGAAGGTTCAGTTCCTGAGGATCATGTCCAGAGCCCTTCGTGGCTGGAATCCCTGCCTCACCAGCCTCATGGGGCTCCTATATGTCCCACGCCCACCCCAGCCCCTCTGAACCACCAGTTGCAGGGACTCATCAGGTCCCTTCCAGCCTCCTTCTCTTTGCTTGTGCTGTGTCCTCCACCTGGAATTTGCTTCCTTCCAGCTTGTCTGCCTAATGAACTCCCACTCAGTGATCAAGCCCCAGATGAGCAAATAATGTAATAGGAATGAATACAATGACTACCATTTATTGTCCACCCTTCCGGTCCCTCTCTAGTGCTTACGCTGCTTATTTTCATAGTATCTAAAATGTTATTTTTTATATATAAGGCTTGTCTGTTGTCCATCTCTCCCATCAGAATGAGCACTTTGAGGGCACGACATGGTTTTCCTGTGTCCCCAGTATCCAGAGTCATGGCTGGCACTGAGCAGGAGATCAGAAGGGTTGGTGGATCCAGTGCTATAAAGCACCATCCTATAAAGTGTTCATCATTCTTATCTCCCTTCTACCAATGGGGAAACTGAGGCTTTGGCCGCAAGGGCTTTGGGAGCTACCTCAGTGCTCCATTGCCAAGCTTGTTCCTGGGAGCCCCTCGAGGGCAGGGGCAGTGACTCATTCCCACCAGGATCTCCTGGATCCTCAGGAAGGACTCTGCACATGGGTGGTGGAGGGCTCCTGGCAGTGGCAAGGGATTCTGAGATAAGGAAAAGGGGTGGCTGGGATAGTTTGGGGGGGGACATCCCAGCTAGTTAAGGCTTGGCTTTGCAGAGCCTGTTTCTAGGCTTTGAATTGAATGCACTGATGGTTCCCACTCATTCCTAATTGGCACCAAATTATGTGGAGTGGGCTGGCTGTGCTGCCCGGCTCGGCTCAGCGAGGGCAAAGGCGGCTGCTGGTATCAATAAAAGAGTTGACGTCAGAGATAGAGTAGGGATTTTCAGGGCAGCATGGGGTTGTGGAGGAAGCCCTGGGCTGGGAGTCCTTAGTCCTTCATCTGGGGCAGGGGCAGGAACCCAGGCTTTGGGTTTGGCAACACCCCGGCTGTGTGGCCTTGGCCAGGCCATTCATCTTTCTGAGCCTCAGTCACTTTATCTCTAAAATGGGGGTGGCCATCCCCCCCGCATCTCAGGCTTGCTGGGAGGTAAAGACTGCTGCTTTTCTGTGGGTGCCACATCTACACCCTCTGCTGCATAATGGGGTGAGGGGTGAGCCTGGCTAGGGGAGCCCTTCAGACCTGGATGGGAAGCAGGGCAGGGTCAGCTGCCTTCCTGGTTTTCATTTCATCTGCCCTCAGAGGGCTCCACGCTTCTCCTTCCTGCCCACCTGCTGAAGCTGAGTGCACATTCTTTGCCAAGACTTTTGAGCACTGGGGCCTCTCCCTGGAGCAAGGTTCTGAGTGCAGGGCAGGTACCACTCTTGCTAGTGAACGTTTCACCAGCTCTAACAGGGCGAGGGGCACTGTTGTAGGAGCCACAGTCCTGAGTGTGTATCTCGGGTCATCCACTCCTCTGTGTCTCAGTTTCCCTGTATGTGAAATGAGGGGGATGGACTGGACGATCTCTATGGGCCCATCCAGCTCTGATTGAAGTTAATTCCTTGTTTCCTTTTATATTAAGCTTCCAGTTCCTACAAGTGGGCCTCTGGGAGGGACAGAGTTCGGTCAAAGGAATTCTCACAGAGGAGTCCTTGATTTATAGCTTCTTTCAGGGGTATTTGTTGTGCTTTATGTAAGAAAGGGGATTTCTTAACCCAAGGGGGTAACAGTGGGACTTTAGGTGGTGAACAAATTGGAACATTTGAGGTATGAGGGAACAGAGACACAGATGGAGAGGAGGCAGGGCCATGCAGGCAGAGACGGGACAGATGGCGAGGACCCACTGTCAGCCATGGGTGGGACCAGGGACAGTGCAGGAGGTGATGGAGATGAGCAAGGTGTCTGCAGGAGGTGCTGGAAATTGCACAAAGTCACTGTCCAGGTGAAGAGCTGGGGTTATAGCTTTGGACAGTGGGGCTGGGTTCTGGGAAGCAGTGATCTTGAATCAGTGTTGGGGTCTGCTTAGCTATTCAAGGACAGAGTGTGGGCTTTAGAGTCTCGCAGCCATGGGTTCTACTCCTGGCCCTGCCACTGACTGGCTGTGTGACATTGCATAAGTTACTTAACCTTTCTGAGGCTATGACAGGGAAAACCAACCCCCCTCACAGGATTGTCATGGAGAGTCCATGAAATAACAAATGTGAAAAGCCTGGCACTGGCTTTGCACATCATAAGCCCCCAGTACGTGGTGGCAGTTATTGTCCTTCTAATTCCACGGAGGGAGGAAAAACTCACCCTGGGGACTGTCTCTGAGGCTTTTTGGGGACAGCAGCTTTTGCCTTTGTGTCTTAAAGACCTGTCAGGGCCATGTATCCTAGAGCAGAGGGCTGTTTTGGGAGCTGGAGACCCTCCTGGAGCCTCACAGTTTCCAGTGTGAGGGCGGCTGCCTCGCTTGCTTGGTAGGATCAGGTAGTGCAGCACTGGGGTGAGGTCACAGGCTCCACAGTCTGCCTGCCGGGGTTCGAATCCCAGTCACCTGCTGTGTGACCTTACGCCAGTCCCTTCACCTCTCTGATTCTCAGGCATTTCATCTGTTAAAGGGGGATGATGATAAAAACAGTCACCTGGTAGAACTAACCAAGAAGAAATGAATGGATATACACAAAGCATCTAGACCTGCACAGTAGAATAGGGCAACCACTTGGCCCCTCTGGCTCTTGGGCACTTGAACTGTGGCTTGTCCAAATTGAGTTGGACCATGAGACTAAAATACCCACCAGCTTTTGAAAACTTAGTATGAGAAAAATAGGAATGCATCTCTCCAATAATTTTTATATGGGTAACATGTTGAAATGATAATATTTTGGGCATATTTGGTTAAATGAAATATATTGTTAAGATGAACTTCACCTGGTTCTTTTTGCTTTTTTTAATGTGGCTACTGGAAAATTTCAGATTACAGTGCGTATGTGGCCTGTATTCTATTTCCATTGCTTAACAGTGATCTAGAGCAATGCAAGGCGTTTAGTAGGCATGATGTACATGTTTGCTGTTATTATTATTAGTTGTTGGGTTTGAGTACTACATTTACAGCTTCCTGGGTTATCTTGTGCAGGTTAACTTTTCTAAACCTCAGTTTTCCTCTCTGTAAAATGGGACTAATGGGATTATTGAAATTGTGCCTACAGAGTGTTTGGCACGGTGCCTGGCACATAGGAAGCTCTCAATCCATGTGAGCTGGCATACTGCTTGCTTATGGGATTGGAGGTGAGGCTCTCACCCCTCCTTGATGGGAGAGAGGCTTCTCTGTTACCCCCGGGTACTGTGGGTGGGGTGGAGCTTACTGAGCCTGCTCTCCCCACAAACGGGACCTGAGCTCTGAGTAAACTGCCTAGAGCCTGAGGTTGAGCTGTTTGGCCGGTTATATTAAGGGAAGGGTCAATAACACATTAATTGGATCAGTGGCTCCATTAATCTTCCTCTAATGAACAGCCATTCCAGCCAACCCGTCTTCCCTAGATCCTGGAAGACATTTCATATTGGCAGGAAACTTGCTGGGTAGAAAGAACCTCAAATCCTATAAAAGTGATTTAGTGGTTTTGCTTGGGGAAAGTGTGCTGCAGATGCAGGGTAGGGGAGAATTGAAACAGCAAAGTCACAGCAAACCTCTCCCTCTGGGGTCCCAGATCGAAATCCCAGGGAGTGCTGGGAAAGGTGGAGGATTTTGGGGAAGGTTGGAGGTGAGGGGAGGGTTGATCTCACCCTTGTCTAGCTTGGACACCCTCACCTCCAAATCAACAGATGGTTGGTGATGACAGAGACACGCTGGCCTGGAGGGCCCGGAGGGGTGATGATGGCTGTGGAGGGAGCCCTAGAGTGGGCACTGGAAGTCCTGGGCTGTATAACTGTGTACAGATTACTCAGCTGCCTCAATTGCAGGGGGCTTGCAAGTGATGTCAGGTCAGAGGAGCTTTGCTGGAGGGTGAAGTGGCAGTGGGCCTGGGAGAGTGCTGAGCTGGGATGGGGGCAGAGGAGGAGTAGCCTTGGGGAGGGTGTCCCTGGGGCCCCCAGGAAATGGGCAGAGCTGAGGAGGACCCTGTCTAGGTGGTTGTTTGACTTTGGAACCTCTCTTTCTTCCCTGCCCTAGTATCTCACCCTCTGCCCAAGGATGCTGTAGTTCAGCCATCAGCACTTCATTCTTTGATGGGGGAAGTGTCTTCTCCTGGACTCCAGGGGTCTGTTTTAAAACACAAATACCAGCTGGGCACAGTGGCTCACATCTGTAATCCCAGCACTTTGGGAGGCCAAGGCAGGCAGATCACCTGAGGTCAGGAGTTCGAGACCATACTGGCTAACATGGTGAAACCCGTCTCTACTAAAAGTACAAAAATTAGCTAGGCATGGTGGTGTGCACCTGTAGTCCCAGCTACTTGGGAGGCTGAGGCAGGAGAATCACTTGAACCCAGGTGGTGGAGGTTGCAGTGAGCTGAGATTGCACCATTGCACTCCAGCCTGGGCAATAGAGCTAGACTCCATCTCAAAAATAAATAATAAATAAATAGAACACAAATGCTTCCCGAGGGCTGCTCATTTCATTCTGTCCACCTGTTCATCCATCACCCACCAGAGGGAAACAGAAATGAATCCAACTCAGAACCACTCACCTTCAAGAAACTTTGGGGTTTTAGAGGACAGGGTGACTATTTTCATCTGGGGGTGGTGGGGAGGGGATTTAAATTAGGCCTTGGAAAGGAGCTTAAAGATCAGCAAGTCCAACTCTCCCATGTTACAGATGAGGAGAGAGAGAGGCACAGAGATAACACCTTAACTTAAGATGTTATCTTAAGGTTAAGTGGCCTGCCCGACGTCAGTATGGCTGGGCCAGCAGCGTGTGTAGGATTTGGCATTTCAGGTGAAGGGAAAAGCTTCAGCAAAGTTCCAGAAGAAGAAAATGGTGGAGCATGTGGAAAAGGCAGAAGGCAGTTCCATTTGACCAGGGTCTGGGGCCAGCTGAAGTGAGTTAAGGAGGATGCTGAGGCAGATGTTGTTCCCAAAGCCCTGGTTTGGCCAAAGTCAGCAAAGCCTCTGGGTAAGGTGGGGGTCCCAGCGGCCTGTGGAGAGCCCCTGTGCTCACACTTCCTGCCCCCCATAGTACTATGAGTTATTCCTCCTCCCAGTATCCCCACAGCCCCCGGCAGACTCCCTTGAGGTGGCCCACCCACCTGAGATGCCCATCTCAGCCTGGAAGGAACTAGTTTGCTTCCAGTCCCTTCGGCTCTGCGAATGGCACAGACCTTCCCCAGCTGAGTCACTCCGTGTCCCTAAGCCTCCCCTTGGTGAAGTAGGACCTCAGCCTGGCCCCCAGGGTTCTCCTGGTGATCCAGGGAGCAGCAGGTGAGGAGTTAAATATTTGAGGGAGGCAGATTGGACACTGTTATAACTATAATGGTAGCTCAGACTGATCAAGCACCTCCCAGGTGCCAGGCACTGTCCTCAGCACTTTCCAAGCATTCCTTCACTCAGCCTCAGATACCTGTATGGGGCAGGTGTTATTGGTACGTCCATTTTGCAGGTGGCTTTTGAGGCACAGAGAGGTAAAGTGACCTGTCCCAAGACACAGAGCTGTGCCACCCCCAGGTAGTCTGAGTTTGTGCTTTTATCTCCCCCAATGCCCCTGTGCATACACGCAGGCACCCACATATGCGCACATGCATGCACGCACACACCCATGCATACATGCACCCATAAGCCTATGTGTATTCACACACATGCACCCCTGCATGCACACACACACCCATGCATACATGCACCCATATGTCTATAGGCATTAACACACACACGCACCCCTGCATGCACACACACCCCCACGCATACATGCACCCATGTGCCTATGTGTGTTCACACATACACATTCACTCATACGTGCCTGCTTGGGCCCCTGGGTTGAGTTCCAAACCTCCAGAGCAGACCCCAGCAAATCCTCCAGGAAGAGCCATCAGGGCTGACTCTGGGCCAGGATGGTCCACAATCTTGGAAGCGGAGGTGACCCCTCATAGTGCTGCTTGGGAAATGGGCAGGAACAGGCAGGATGACTTGCCCAAGGTCTCAGTGTGAGAGAACAGCTTAATGAATCTGTTAGAAGTGAGACAAAGTCAAGTTCAGCATCACCTCTCCTCACTTTTGTTCCCACCAAAGACCAGCCACTCTGTCCCTTGAACGCCTCCCATGACAGGGTATTTCCTGGGAAGCCTCTTCTTGGATTAGCTCAGACCCTTCGAAAATTCTTCCTTCTACTGACCACAATCCTCCTCTTGTCTCTCCTACCACAGAGTCAGGTTAAGTCCACACAGCCAGATGCTCCCAACAGACCTGCAGCTGCCTGCAGATGGCCATCGTACCCCGGCCTCCCCATTTGCCAGCTGGTCTCTCAGTTGCCTCAGCCCTTCCATCTCCACTGAACAGGGTTCACAGCCCTTGCCCGCCAGGCACCCTTATCTGAAGAGCTCCAAGCTGGGGTGGGTTTGGTCTTCTCCTGACCTCCGTCCGCTTCCTGGGGCCTGGAACATCCTGAAGCTAGAACAAAACAGCTAAAGGCAGAAAAGGCGGCAAATACTCGTTCAGTCAGAAGACAGGAAGACTAGCAGGAGGCTGACTCTGCGAGTAAGACCCACTGGCTTTAGATTGGTGTTTCTTCCTGAGGCTGGGTCACACCAGGAAACCTTTGATCCCTCCCTTCCCCTCCTCCCCAGAACCTGGAGCTTCTGTCTCCCACAGCCAGCAGTGGAACCAGTGGTGGCTGAGTAACTGAGGAACTGCAGGAGAGCCTCCAAGAAGAAGTGGAGAGAGGAGAAAAAGAGAGAGGACAGTTGAACATTCTTCAGGATCCATATGAGTGTGAGCACATATCCTCATGTGCTGGCATTTGACTGACTGACAGGTTATGGAGGCCCAATCTCTCTTTGGCGATAAAGTGACAGAGGTCAGACCCGGATATAATCTGCCGGGTTGATTCCTATAGGAGCAAGAGGAGACAATCCCCTCCCTCCCTTTTTAGAACCCCATACTTCTGTGAATGCAACCTAAGGTCACACTGGCTTTTTAGTAGCTGCGTAATCCTGTTGACTCATTTTGCACTTAATGTTGAATAAAAAACTGTAAGATATTTTCTGTTTCTTGTGCCACTGAGCCAAGCTTTATGCCCATTCCAGCTCCCCTTCCCTTAATCATACCCTATTACAGTTTTCTATTGGGTTGTCCAAATCTGCTAGCCTGGACAGGATGGAGAACACAGGCCTGTGGCCAGTACGTGTGACTTCGCTTGAGTTGAGGCTGACATCCTACCTGGAGATCCTGCCATCACCTCACTCTTCCTCTTGCCCAGCCCAGCCCCAACCTTGTGTCCTTGCTGGGGCATCTTGAAGGGAACCCAACTAGGTCAAGGGCCCAACCTCTTCCTCCACCCTGCCATCACCCATCTCGGCATGAGCACAGGCTCTACTGAGCGGAGGCAGGAGGCGAGACTGGCAACACTTCTATTTTCACTCTGACATTTTCTGTTTCTGAAAAATCTCACTTGAAGCTCATTCTGATGTTTGCCATCCTTTGAAGGGGAAGGGCTGAGGGTCCCTCCCACCGTGGCTGGATTCTTCCTGAAGTTTGCCACTTTACCCCAAACCAGACCTTTCTGTCTAAACTCTAGGACAAGAGCAGTGGTGGAAAAGCCAAACCAAATCAAACAGAATAGGCCTTAGATGCCCCCAGAGGTGGGGCAAGAAGTAGGAGGGCCAAAAAGGGCCCCCAGAAGGTTCCTGTAGGCTCTACATGGAGATCAAATGGGGTTCAGCATGATCCTATCTGAATCTTCTGTTCTCGGGGGTTCTCAGGGTCTGTAGCTGAATGTGGCAGTCTCCCAGGTCTCACCAAGAAAAGGGCTACTTAGAGGAGGGAAGCTCCAGCGGGGAGACTTCAGCCTTGGAGACTTTAATTAGGGCGTTGGCGTTTCATTGGAAGGTTAGAGTGATTTCTACTCCTGGAGACATTAGGAGGCCCAGCAAATTCTATCACTGCTTTATAGTTTAGAAATACAATATAGATTTTACTGCAGGCTACGATGTCTTCCTTTAAACAATTGCTCAGCCCAATAAAGCAAAGCAGCTGGTAAAGCAGCTGCAGAGGGGCTGGGCAGGGCTTTCCATGGGAACACAAAGCTGTCTGGGAAGCTGTGGCCTCCCTTTCTGAGGGGGAGGAATCCAGACGCCTGGTTAACCTGTTTTGGGCCACACAGGAAATTGGGAATGGGTTTCTGAGAAATTCAAGATTTGAGATCTCATGGGGAGTAGGGAGGGTCCCCTCCCTTTCAAGAGTTTATTTCCATTTAATTCAGTAGTTATTCACTGAGCACCTACTATGTGCCAGGCCCGCAGAGAGGGTTGAGATTAATAAGGCACTGTCCTTGTCCCTGGATGGGAACAATGAATGATGCTGTTGGATACAAGCAGTGTGCAAAGCAGGTCGCAAGGCTGGCAGGGTAGAGAAAAGGGGAAGCAATTCTGCAAGGGCAGAATCCTGGAGGGCATCCTGGAGGACAGGACATATGAGCAAGGCCTTGAAGGATGAAAGGTTTTTAACCAATCCCCTTTCTGAAGCTGCAAATTTGCTTCGCCTTGCATCTTCTTTATCTTAACTAAGTGGCTCTGCCATTGTCTCAGGATTACCAAGCTAGAAACTTGAGAGACTCATCACTGACATCCACCTGTCACCAAGTCCTGTTGATCCTACCACCAAAACATATGTCAAATCTGATCCCTTCTCTTCATGTCCACTGTCATGCCCTGGCCCAAGGCCCCATCACCACTTGCCTCGATGCCTCAGTATCTTCTTTAGTAGATATTTGTTGTTTAGGGCCACCCAGCCTTCTGTCACTGTATTTCCCATCATAGCCCCTGTTTGTCATCTGGGGGATGCACCTCCTCCTCCTTCAAGTCATGTGGTTCCAAGGAAGCTGCCTCCATCCTGGCTCCAAAGGTGAGGCCTATGACCCAGGCCAGGCCAGTGATTTCTTCCATTCCTCTGGCCACAGTGATTGGTTCAGGGTTAGGAACATGACTGAAATCAGACCAATCAGATCCAATAAGACTCAATTCCAGGACTTGAATATGTTATCAGGGAGGCAGCATCAGCTTTTTCCTGGCTATGTCTGGACAGGAGTGGATATGGGATGGGAGCTATGGCAGCCGCTTGCCCCATGCAGCATAATCCTGAGGTTAGGGAGGAAATGGAGCCACCAAGAGTAAAGAGGGACAAGAGATGGAGGGAAAGAAATAGGGTCATGGCAGCATTATTTGAACCCTGATCAAGCCTTACCTGGATCCTTTCCCTATCCCTGAGCTTTCAGCTCCACCTGTCAATAAATTTGGGTTGAGTTTTGAAATAATGATGTAGTTCTTAGACTCTCCCCACACTCTCTCCTGCCCTTCCCAAATGTCTTACACACCATAGACTGTGTATGTAAAGCCCTTTAGTCCCTGCCCATTGCCATAAACATAAAATCCCCCAATTTAAAAAATGGTCCATGAGTCCCAGCACAACCTCAGCCTCACCTCTTTCTGTCTCATTCACTGCAATCCACTGTGCTGGTTTCCTCTTAGTTTTTCAAATATGCCAGATCTTGTCCAGCAGAGTCTTCCCACACACTATGACCTGTGTCCTCACCCTACACCTGGTGGGTTCCTATTCATCCTCTAGATCCCATCTCAAAGAGCCCTGTTCCAAATGCAGTTAGTCCCCTGCTGCTTTTATTCTTCATGACACCTGACATGATTCACAGTCCTGTGCATACTCTTGCGTCTGTGTGAATGTTGCATCTTCCATGCAGTGTATAGTCCCTGAGGCCTGAGCCAGGCTGGTCTTGTTCACTACTCTGTCACTTATGCCTGGAAGAGCTCCTGGCACATTATAGAGGCTCAACAGGTTTTTGTTTTTCATTTCTTGAAACACAGTCTCACTTGGAATGCAGTGGCACAATCTTGGCTCACTGCAACCTCCCCCTCCTGGGCTCAAGCAATCCTTCCACCTCAGCCTCCCTAGTAGCTAGGACTACAAGTATGCACCCTCACGCCCAGCTAGTTTTTATATTTTTAGTACAGATGGGGTTTTACCATGTTGGCCAGGCTGGTCTCTAACTTCTGACCTCAAGTGATCCTCCTGCTTCGGCCTCCCAAAGTGCTGGGATCACAGGTGTGAGCCACTGTGCCCTGCCGGTATTTTTTTTGATGGAGGGAGTGAAGAATAGGTGAGGATTAGATTGGGCTGGGCAATCCTGCCTGAAATTATATCAGAAGCAGAAATTCAAGGCCTGAACAGGCAGTGTGCAGTTGAGGAAGCATAAGAACCCTAGAGCAGAGGCTTAATTAGGGAAGGTGGGTAGAGCCAGGCCACAGGGGCCTTGAAGGTCTGGCTGAGATGTTTGATATTCAATCTGTAAACCAACAATTTTCAAAGTGTAGTCTTGGGAACACCAGTCCTGAAAGATGCTCTGCCAAAGGAAAATATCAAGAGGATGAGGGGTTAAACAAACTTGCAAACAGATGAGTCCTGTAAACTCCTCTAACGGAGGCACAGTGCATGTGATCATCCAAGGTTCTGACAAGTCCTGCACTGGTAGACTCTTAGGTTAACTAAGCACTTACCAAACACAGTTGACCACAAAATCCCTTTTCTCCCCCTCACAACAGCTACAACTGTAAGATGGATATTTCCATATTTATGAAATAGGGTAGTCATACAATTGATATGCATATGTAATGTAGAGTTTCTTTAAACTCCCTGAAAGCTGGTTGTTTAATCCAAAGGCCCTCTGACAATTGGTGGTGACTTAGAATCGAGGCCATATGATCACATCTTGCAGAAGTGATGATCTATGGAAATCGCTTTTGAGGAAGAGAGTGACATATTGTGACTTGTGTTTTGGGGCGGCCATTCCTGCAGCAGTGTGAATGGAGCCGGGGGTGCTGAGCAGGCCGGGCTGGGAAGCCTGAAATCTAGACCTTCTACCCCTCCTGAAGATCCCACTGACGGGTCTATGGAGTGAGGCACTGACTTGGTGCCTGCAAATAGGAGAATTTAATTAGGACACTGGGGTATTGTTGAAAGGTTGGATCAATGTTTTGCCCTAGGAGGCCTCTTGTCTTCTAATGTAAGAAGACAATCTAGAAGACACCTATTCCTTTTCATACAGCTGTCCAGAGATGCCTGTCGAGGGTGTCTGGGGGCCGAGGTTGTGCATGGAGCCTGGGATGGGATGAGTTTTGGCTCCTCTCTCTGCCCTACAGCACACTGCTAAGCCAGGAAGCCTGTCAGCTCTACTTTCAAAAGACGCCCAGTATCTGACTGACTCTCACCTCTTCCACTGCTACCACCCTGGTGGAAGGCACCATCTCTCTTCCCCTGGGTGACGTCAAGGGCCTCCTAACTGATCTCCCTGCTCTGCCCTTGCCCTCTGCAGTCTATTCTCAATGCCACAGCCCAAGGGACCTTTTAAACATGTAAGTCAAATCATGCCAGTCCTCAAAATCCTTTGATGATCCTGCATTGCAGTCGGCTTTTGAAAAGCTGGTGTCCTCGCCATGGCCTAGAGGCCCTATACCATCTGGTCTCATCCCCTGTGGCCCTCCCCCTGGCTCTCTGGTCCTTGCTGTTCCAATGTGCTGCCTCGGGGTCTTTGCCCTTGCCATTCCCTCGGCTGGGTGCACACTCCCCAAGGCTAACTCCCTCACCATTGGGCAGCCTCTGCCCAAATGCTGCTTCTCATGGTGCCTTTCCTGAGCACATATTAAAAATTGCAACCCCCCCCACCCATCACTCTGTGACCCCTTTCCTGCTTAGTTTCTCTCTGGATCACTTTGCACCTCCTAACATATGACATACCATGGTAGGCAGAGTTCAAGATGCCCACAGACTCCAGCCCCCTGGTGTATACACACCTTCTCTCAGCAACATATTCCATCATGCATCTAGATGCTGCCGTGAAGGGATTTGGCTGATGTAATTAAGGTCCCAAATCATTAGTTGACTTTATAAAAAGGGAGGCTATCCTCCAGGAGCCCAGCCCTATTAGATAAGCTCTCAAAAGGGACTGGGCATCCAGCGAGAGAGATTCAAAGCTGGACGTGGGGAAGTTCTCCGTTGCTGGCTTTGAAGATGGAGGGAGTCGCCTGGTAAGGACCCAAAAGCAACCTCTAGCAGTTAAGAGCAGCCCCTGCTGACAGCCAGCGAGGAACTTGGATCTGCCAACAACCACTTGAACTCGAAAGAGAACACCGAACTCCAGAAAGGAATGCAATCCGGCCAACAACTTGACTTCAGCCACACAAGGCTCTAAGCAGAGGGTCCGGCTAAGCTGTGTGTGGATTCCTGACACATGGAAATGATGAGATGATTAGTGGGCCTTATCTGAGGCCGCAAAGTGTGTGGTCATTGCTTACGTAGCAAGATAAAACGAATGCAATTAGCAACCTCTTTCTTTTGCTTATCGGCTCTCTCCTCCTGCTAGAATGTAAGCTCCAGGCAAGCAGGGATTTCTGTTTTGTCCGCTGCTACAATCTCAGCACCTAGAACAGTGCCTGATGTATGGTGGGCGCTCCATACACGCCAGTTGAACGAATGAATAGGAGTGGGCCCCAGGCATCAATCAGCACAGCCCTGCCTTCCAGGAGCTGCCCGTCCATCAGGGGAGATCAGCCCCACCTGTAAAGAACAAGGTGGGAAATGCTAATGGTAGCTGGAGACGCAGAGTTCAGTTGTTTTCTATAAATCCAGTCTGGCTGCCTGTGCGAAGATCTGTATTTTCACAGCCCCAACAAAGCACTCTGCTCCGAGAGGAGCATCATTGAGATTAATACAACCCCCAACCACCCCCGCTCAGGTAATTAAGGCTGGCCTGGCTCCACCTCCCACTGCATTCACTGAGAGCTTGCCTGGGGAAAGCTGGTCACCCCACAATTGCCCTGTGCTGAGGAGGAAGCCTCTCAAACACCTACCTGTCAAAGTAATTAACCTATTAAAATGAAAGCAATAAATCCTGGTGTCAGGTTGAGCCATAGGGAAGGGGTCTCTGTTGTGGTTCTTTCATTTAGATTTCAAAGCCATGTCACTGTGGCTTCATAGTCACAATGGTAATGAGTCTGTGCACTGTCTGATGCCTGGGGACCAGCCACTGTGTTGAGGTCTGTGATGAGGCAGCTGCTCTCCAAACCCAGCAGCCCTGGTTTGGGACTAGCTGATGTTGCCCTTTGGATGTGGTGGGTCAGGGTCTGGGGGAGGTATAAGGATAATATTCTGGACTCCTCCCCTGAAATTTCCATACTTCCCCCAACCTCCCATCCCCTCTGTCCCAGGTAGGCAGGGGTAGGAGCTGGAAGCCCAGAATCTTAGAATTTTACAGGAGGAAGGGTTGTAGAAGTCCTTCATGTTACAGCTGGCACACTGAGACACAGAGAAGGTGAGAGATTTGCTTGAGGTCACCCAGCAAGCTGAAGGCAGAGCCAGGACTGGAATCTAGGCACTTCCCACTATGACCGCTTGTCTGTCTGCTTCCTTGAGGGTATCAGGGTCAACCTCATTCCACAGATGGGAACACAATCTTTATTTCCAGCTCTCTAAGAATCTGTTTACAGTCTCTGAGACCAGGCCTAGGAATCGAGGTTGCACTGAGAAACCATATCTGTAGAGGGAGCTTAGAGATCACCAGCTCCATGGGCTCCAATTTACAGATGAGAAAACTGAGGCCCATTGAGGATCAGTGCTAGCCCCAGGCCCCCTGGCAAACCGGTAGTGAGAAGCCAGGATTTCAAGCTCCTGGCCAGTGCTTCCTCTCCCATTCTCTCCCTATCTCATATCTTCCTATTAGGAAGAAAGTGGCCATTGAATCAGAACCTTGAAGGATAAGTAGTTAGACCTGATGGGGAGGGAATCCCAGGTGGAGGAGATAGCTTGATTCAGCACTGGTAGCATCAATGGCAGGTGTATGCAGGAAGCAGGGAGAGGCTCGGGTTGGTGGAGCTCAGGGTACAGAAAGCAGGTGCAAATGTGACCCCAGGGCAGGGGCCTTGGCAGGTACATGGACATATGTGCTGGAGCAAGCTGAGGAGGAAGACATGTTGCTAAATGCTTGTGTCTGCTCCTGGGCTGGCAGGAAAATTCCTGTGGGATGGGGGTCTTGGTGGTGTGGAGTCGGATGGGGGTGGGGGAGGCCATAGCCTCAGCCCTGCCCCGCCCCGCCCCACTAGCCCTTCCCTTTCCTTTCCCTGGGTGCTGAGCTCATGGGAGGAGGAGACATGGGAGTCTTCTCTGGCCTCCTCTTTCTACCCCCAGGTCATATTTTTCTCTCCTTTCTTGCCGACTATATGCCTGACCTCAAGTTTGCATTCTGAGCATTTTCCTTTCTGTTCTTTTCTGGAAATGCTCATGATAGCCCTGTGTCATCGGTAGGGAAGATGTCACTATTCCCATTTTAAAGATGAGGCAACTGAGGTCCGGGGTCTTATATTTCCTCAGAATGTACTGATCTCCTTGGAACTGATACAGTGGTAATATATGACTAATCTGCCAGGCACACCCCTGTCATCCCAGCTACTCAGGAGGCTGAGGCAGGAGGATGGGTTGAGCCTAGTTTGAGGCTGCAGCGAGCTGTGATTGCACCACTGCACTCTAGCAGTCTGGGCAACAGCCAGCCAGACCCCTGTCTCTCTAAAAAATAGATGAATAACTCCAGAGTCCTTGATTCTCTTCCTGGCTTCCCCACTTGCCAGCTGCTTTTAGAATGTGACTAACCTCTCTGGGCCTCAGTTTCCTCATCTTTAGAATGGGGATGCTAGTATCTTTGTAGGGTTGTGTGAGAATCAAATGAACTAATATGTGTACATATTTGAGCCACACAGCTATGGTCAGTGTCCTCATCATCATCATGACTGAAAGTGATCCCAGAGCAGAGCCCTCTCAGGTGACCAATGCCCAGCCAAGCCATGGGAGGCCACCCCACCTCCGCCATCTCCCTGGGCCCAATTGAATCTGAAAACAATGAACTGGGTCCCAGTAAGTATTTTCAGTCCTGACAATCAGAGGAGAGTTTGAAAAAAACAAAAAAAAAAAAAAGGGAGAAAAGAGAGTGAGATCAAATTGTTTTCTTCAGGGAGAAAGAAATCTCATTTGGACGCGAGCTCCGTGGCGGGGAGCCGGTGGCACCGGGTGTGACACAGGATCTGTCCATTTCCATGCGGCTCAGGAATTGCTGCTGGCATTTCTAGCAAGTAGCTGCCACAGGCCCCACTTCCTATAATATCCTAATTAAAGAGCTGTTATTCATACAGGAGGCACCGTTGCCAAGTGACAGGCTGGGGCTGGTCGTGGCCCGGGCCTGGGGAGCAGAAGTTGGAGGCCAGGGAGGGTCTCCGCCACTGGGTACCTCCCTGCCCACTGCCCGCCACCAGGCCTGAGCTGTGGAGCCAGGAAGGTCAGGTGTCTGAGAGGCTCTCCTAGTGTTCCCAGTTTAGGGGTGGGAGCTCCAGAGAGGGGCACTCCTAAGGCAGGAGGTGGGTGGGGATTAGGGAGAAGGCCTTCCTGGAGCTCAGCCAGGTGGAGAGCTGGGGGTCAGGGTGGACGGGCAGCTAATATGGAGATTGAGGGAGTGGCAGAGGGACAGATGGGAACAAAGATGGAAGGAGGAGTCGCAGGGAGGAAGGGACAGCTGCTGAGCATGGCTGGGTGCCAGGCCAGGGCGCTCTGGGCCCTCGGCCTCATTCGCCCAGCAGGTCAGTCTTCAGAGGCAGCAACTGAGATGAACCCTTCCCCTGAACCTCACTTTCCCCACGTGTGGAGTAAGGGGCCAAGTGAGGTGAACAAGTGAAGGAAGAGAGAGAGGAAAGGGGATGGCGATGAGGGGGTGGGCAGAGGGGCCCCCAGAGAGAAGGGCTGCAGTTGCTAACAAGTCGTCCCTGCAGCAGCCAAGCACGGTCCTCAAGGGAGAGGGGTTTGGGCAGGAGAGACTTCCAGGGAGGCGAGGGAATTCTGCACATGCTTTTCCAGTCAGGAAGTGGGGGAGGGAGGTGCTGAGTCCCCCAGTGGCAATTTTGGCAGAATGTTCCTGATGTTCTGCAGGGAAAGCAGAGTCCTTGGGGTGTGGGAGCAGCTGTTGGTGGGAGTTGGGCCTCAGGTTGGGGAGGGGGTGGGGCACACATCTCCCATCTGGGAAGGCACTTGGGGGCTGGGCCAAGAAGGATAACCTGGTTACAGGGGCTGTGTGTGTGTGTGTGTGTATGTGAGTGTGTGTGTGTATGTGACTGTGTGTATGTGTGTAGGTATGTATGTGTGTGTATGTTCATGTTTTACAAACCCAGGAGTAGATTTGCTACCCCATTGACCACTAGTTAATTTCCAGAACAAAAGTGAAGGAAGAGATGGAAGAAGGCTCTTGCAGTAGGAAGCTGGGGTCAAGAGCAGTAAGGGGTGTCCCTCCTGCACTCCTGTGGAAACATAGGAGGGACTACTGTGAGCAATTCCTCCCCAGGTTCAGGCCTGGGGTTTGAGGTTGGTGCCTCGCGGTGTGCCCAAGGGTTGAAGGAGAGTCCAGGGTATGGTCCTGGCTTCCTCGGGCCTCAGTTTTCTCATCTACAAATAGGGCTTGTAGTCTCTGCTCTCCTAGCTTCAAAGAAAGGCTGTGAGGACCCCAGGGAGTGATGGCTGGAGGCAGGATCAGCTACATAATTTGCAGGGCCCCTTGCAAACTGAAAAATAGAGACTCTTTGTGAGAAATAAATTAAGAATTTCAAGACAGCAACAGCAGAGCATCAAACAAAGCATGGGCCCCACACAACTGCCTGGGCCACATGTCTGTGAAGCTGGCTCTGGCGAGAAGGGGTGTGGAGGGGCAGGAGGCCCCTGTGCCCATCTGATGCCTTGGCTCAGAGCCAATTTCACATGGGTTCTTGGTAGGCCCCAGGGAGGCATGATAACCCTCAGCAGTGGATTCTGGGTGGGGCAGGTGGGTGGAGGGAACTGTGGGGTCATTTGGGTGATTGGGGCTTGGAAATGCTGAAAAAGGAGGAGATGGTGATGGTGTGAGCACAAACCCCTAGTCGTTACGGCTTCCTGGAGAGACTCCCCACTTTGTCTGCCCTGGTCCTGGCCCTGAGCCAGGGTCAGGGCCAGGGTCTCTCTAGCTAGCCTAGGCTCCTGGTCCTAGGGTGGTAGAACCAAGGCAGGTGGCTGATTCTGAACATCTGCTAAAATACAATGTGAACCAACCAGCTTCAAGACCGAGTCTTGCTCCCAAGAAACAACTCGCTATCTGGTCTTACTTAGGGTCTCTTGACCAGTTGGAGAGTAACTTGGGGGAGGAAGAGGCCTTCCCAACAAGCTCTGACCAGCCCTCAAAGGTGGGGCATATACTCTAGAAGTCCCAGTGGCAGCCTGAACCCTGGGGTCTGGGGCTTAGCACAATTGAGGATGCCTACCACATGCGAGGATGCCTGCCTCATGAGAGGCTCATGCTGGGCCTTGGAGAACTTATAGGCAGGGGATGGAGGGCTGAGCCAGCCCTGATTTATCAACAAGGCCCTCCTAGTGAGAGATCCTGCAGCTAGAACCCAGTCAAGCCATGTCTGGATTCCTGAACCACAGAAACAGTGAGATGGTAAACGTGTATTGTTTTAAGCCTCTAAGTTTTGGGAGTAATGACGAATACATCCCATAATAGTAATGACACTAGGATTCACTCATTCATTCATTCATGACATCAGTCAGTACTCATCCACTCATTCATTTATTCATGAAACCAACAAATATCCATGAAGTGCCCGTCATGTGTCAGGTACCAGCGTCATGTTATATGAGCACTTGATATGTGAACTGTACATTACAGTTTATAAAGGACTCCCTTGTAGGTTAATTATTCTTGTGTCTCAGCAGAAGGGGCTCCTAGAGCTCCTCAAGTACAGCCCTGTAATCAAGGCCTGCTTGCTGTGTCTCCTTCCTACAGCAGCCGAGGATGGTGGGGAGCCCAGCTTGTATCCTCCCGCCTGCCTTTGCCCATGTGGTCCCAAACAGGCACCGTCAGTTCAAGCCCAGCATGATCTTGAAGCCTCAAGTCCCCAAAGACTCAAGGGTGAGAAACATAACCTTCTAGGTCACTGGGCAGAAGAGGCACCTGTAGCTCAGATATGGTTTGGCTGTGTCCCCACCCAAATCTCATCTTGAATTCCCACATGTTGTGGGAGGGACCGGGTGGAAGGTGATTGAATCATGGGGGCAGGTTTTTCCCATGCTGTTCTTGTGATAGTGAATAAGTTTCATGAGATGTGATGGTCTTAAAAAGGGGACTTTCCCTGCACAAGCTCTCTTCTCTTGTTTGCCACCATGTGAGACATGACTTTCACCTTCTGCCATGATTATGAGGCCTCCCCAGCCACGTGGAACTGTAAGTTCAATAAACCTCTTTCTTTTGTAAATTGCCGAGTCTTGGGTATGTCTTTATCAGGAGCATGAAAACAGACTAATACAAGTCCCTCTTGAGTTCAGGTAAGTAACTTTCCTGGGCTCTACACTCATTCCTGGGATCCAGGATCTTGGGGGGTGGGGTGGGGTCTTCCTACCTGCCTGAAGTCCCTTGTCTGTACAGAAAAGGGCACTGGTCTGACCCAGCCCCATTCCTCACCTGAGCACCCACATGGACCCAAGCCAGAAAGAGGAGGTCAGGCTAAGATGCTGAGTCAGGGTGCTTTAGGCAGCAAGTAATAGAAGAATCGACCACTGCAGGCATCAACCATAAAGAAAATGTGTTATCTCATAGGACGAGATGTTCCAGAGGCAGCGTTGCTTAATTCCATGACTCAGCAACATCCCCTGAGGCCATGGTTTTTGTTTTCCCTTTTCTCTCTCTTCCATCCTCAGGGTGGGCTGTTCCCTCATGGTCATGAGGTGGCTGCCACTGCTCCAAGTATCACAGCCTTATAGCTGCAGCCAGAGGCAGAAAACAACTTGCTTCTTGTGACTCATTTCTTTTCAAGAGCAAAGAAACTTTTCCCAGAAGTCCCCCAGCAGACATTTTCTTTTGTTTTGCTGGCCAAAATTGCACCACCTGCCCTCTCTCCCCGAACAAAGCATAGTCATTGGGGTTACTGGGATTGGCTTAGACCAATCATGATTCATTCCCTGGGGCTGGGAGTGGCTCCACCTTTCCTGACCTCTGGACAGCACTGGGCTTCTGTTAGAGAGGAGTCCCTGCTGTCCCACTCTGCCTTCTCTGCCCCTCCCCTTCCCACTCCAGACCTCAGCCCTCAGGAACGTACCCCCATCCCACGCCTGGCACCTCCCCTCTGGTCAGCCAAGGACAGGCAAGGATCAGAGTCTCTGAGACAGAGGGCCCAGTGTGAGCCAGAGCCCTGGGCTGACGCAGGACCTTGGCATTGTCCAGCTCCCAAATCCCTGGGTAGCTGGTCTCAGAGCTCCCCTGCCCGACCCCAGCCAGTCACAGAACTGCTGACACTCACATCGCACTTACCAGGCTCTGTCGTAAACTCTTTATGTAAGTTACTTACTCCTTACAGCAACTGTAGAAGTAGTTCTGTGATCATCCTCATTTATCAGAGGAGGGAATGGAGACAGAGAGCTAGACCATGCAGCAGGAACTTAGTGGAGCTGAATGTGAACCCAGGAAGTCTGGCTCCAGAATCTTCCCTGAACTGCAGCTCTACGGCCCCCCCAAGTCCTGCTCCATCCCCTTAGTGCAGGTCACTGAATCACAGCCTTTCTGGGCAGCAAGCAGGACAGAGCCGGGGAGGGGAGGTGTCCTGGAGGGACCTGGGCTGCCTACCTCCCCCAGCCCGTGGGAGAGTCACAGGGCTTTGCTGAGCCTCTGTTTTTAATGTTTGAAAGGTGAATCCTAATGATGCCTGTATCAGAGGGGTGTAGTGAAAATGAGAGATTATAACCTCTAATAGTTAGTAGAGGACGACAGGATGGCAGAACAGTGATGGATGGGTAGACGAGGAGCATAGTGGATACAGCTCCCTCTGCCCACCACCCTCTTGTCTAGTGGTGCCCATGGCTTACTCCTCCACTTCCTACAGATCTTTGCTCAGCAAGGTCCTTCCTGACCACTGATAGGAAACAGAGTGCCAGCGCTGGCACTTCCTCTCCCCTTACCTTCTCCATCAATGAAGGGATCCCATCAACATCTGACCTGTTCGCTGCCTTGTTAAGATGCGTACTGCCTGTCTCCTGCATTAGAATGTAAACTCCACTATTTTGTTCACTACTTATCTCTAGGGCCTAGAATGTTATTCAGCACATAGCAGGTACTCAACAAATAATTGTTAGGGAAGTGAATGAATGGATGAATGAATGAGTAAAGGGGAGGATGGAATGAATGACCCATGCTGGGATTTGAATGCTGGTCTTGCTGAGGGAAGCAGGGAGGTCAAGTCCAAGGATTCTTCCCAGCCCCACAGCTGCTGTCCCTGGCAAATCAGTGGCCACTCCGTATTCAGTGTATACTACTGGGTGTAGGGAAGGAGCTCCAGGCTTAACCTCTCTTGGCCATCTTCTCTCTTGTCCCTCTACCCTTCCAAGACACAGAGCCTTGTCCTATAGCTCAAACTTATCCCACCCTGGCCTCTCCTCATAGATGGAATTTGAAACTTCAGGAGCACTTGGTCTGGAGTCAGACAGATCTAGATTCAAATCCCAATGCTGTGGCCTCCTTGCTGTGCGACTTTGGGGAAAGTGACTTGATTGTCTAAGCCTTTGGCTCCTCTTTTGCAATATGGGTCCAATCACAAGCCTGACTTGCTAGCATTGTGGGAACTAAGCTTGATGACAGACGCAGAACCCTTATTGTGGCTTGTGAGAAGGACTTAATAAAAGAAATCGAAACCAACCAGACAGACAATTATTGAGTGCTTACCCTCAGGCGGACATGGTGCTAAGTGCGTTATGTGCACTTAGTTCTCCCACCCACCCCATGGGGTAGATACTAGCAGTATTCCCCTTTTAAAGATGAGAAAACAGAGGCACTAAGATGTTGAGTCATTCACCCAGCAGCACCAAGCGAGTGAATGGTAGAGCTGGGATTTAACAAACATTTAAAACAAAACTCAGCGGTGGACATGAGAAGATGAGGCAGTGAGAGCCTCTGGTCTGGGGGATGGGAGCCCTGCTGCTGGTCCCTAACTTGCTTGGTGACATGGCTATTCCCACAGGCAGTGCTGAGAAAACCCAGAGGACAAACGGGCTGTCACTGAGGGTGTCTGGGGAGTAGGGCCTTGAAGCAGGAGAAGAAGCTCTGCTTTATTCTGTTTTTAGAAGCTTTTTTTTTGGTTGGGGAGGGGGGAAGTGTCTGGTTATGAAATCAACACATGCTCATTTTAGAAAACATGGAGATGACTTAAAAGTATAAGGAAATAAATAAAAGTGATCTGAAATTTCCCGACCCTGAATATTCACTGTTAACATGTTCATGCAGTTAATTTATTTGCTCAACAAATGTTTATTGAGTGCCTCCCGTCAGCCAGATCTGTGTGTGCCGGACACTGGGGACAGTGTGAGAACCAAGTGGACACAGTCCCTGCCCTCTTGGATTAGATACTGCACAGCTAAACAGACTTGGGGCAGCTCATGGGTGTGGTGCTGAGACGGAGGAGCCACGTGCTGGAGGGCTGGACGTGGACACACGGAGCCAGGACCTGACGGGTGATCTGATTGTGTATTCTGTATTCTCCACTAACTAGTAGGTGTGAGCATCTTTAATTGGGAAATTTTCACAATGCATGAGTGGAAGGGTCCCCAGGTGGAAGGCAGGGCAGAGGCACGACAGCCGCTGCACCTTGGGCCAGGCCCTGGGACACATACCATTCCCCTACAGGAACCCTCTGACCTAGTTTCTTATTCCTCCTGTGTGTTCATGTCCATCAGAACCTGGACTCAGGCCTCACTCCACCCTCCGTGGCCCAAATCCTGGGGTAGCGTGAGTCATCACAGGGAAAGGCCTGAAGGGCAGCCCTCAAAGTCACCTAGACCTCCCGCCCCACTTACCTCAGATGGGGCAGAGGCTCCAAGGCTGTGCAGCAAGGCGGGGCTGTCATCATGGGCAAGGTTAGGGGCCAGGCCTTGTATTGCCTGTGTTTTCTTTCTGCTGCTCTCTAGGCTCATCCTAAGCCAGAAGGCCTGGCCCCTGTCCCCTCCCACCCCCTCCTCCATATGGTCAAGCTTGCTGGAGGAGTGCTGTCTTTGTCTATGGCTACGCCTGATGCCACTTCGTGCTGGTGATCTTGAAGGATACATGAGAGAACAATGCCTGGGCCTTTGCCTCTACTTTCTTCTCCAGCCAGGCCTGCTGGCCTCTTAGGCCGGCCCCCAGCCTGGTTTAAAAGTCCTCCATGCCCCTTGGCATGGAGGAGTCACTTTGGCTGACTCCTTGTCACAGCTGGGGCAAGGTCCAGGCTGGGGTGGGGGATCCCCGGCACCTAGTGTCCCCTCCCCCAGAGGTGAGCTGTTCCAGCCACGGAGGGGGAAGACAGAGTGCTCTTTCTTACTAACTGGATCAGGAAGGGGTGCCAGCTCCACTCCGCATGGTGCATATACACATGCTGCCACGTGCACATATGTTAGCACCTAGGCCACACGTGTGCTCACCCACCATGTGTACAAGCATCCACCAGGATGTACGCTGTGTGGAGGCAGGGACTTCGTTTCATTCACCGAATGCTAGCACAGTGGTGGGTGCATAGAAGGTGTTAATTAAACATTTGTCAAGTGATAACTAAATGAATGATGAAATGAGTGGTAATACTTGTGCATGTCAGTGGCTATGCAGAGGGACACTCCAGTGTCCATTGACAGGCATATGTCAGGCTCATACACATACAGGGGTATGCCAGCACACAAACATATGCTCAAAGACACGTGCACACAGGTGTGTGCTAGTCACACTAGTTGATGTGCACATCTGTGCATGCTTGCTTATTTGAACACATGAGTATGTGGGCACACACCAGTGCAGGCAAGGAGACTCACATGTGTGTAGCCATACCCCTAGTGCAAATATGCACACATAAACCTGCATTTAAAACTGAAGACATTTTAACAAAATTGAGCAAGTCACTTGTTCCGAATCCTGTGCTAAGTGCTGGGTAGGGCTCAGGGGTGGAGAATTGAAGGTGGACTGAATTGGGCTCCATCCCCAAGATGCTTATAATCTATGGAGGATGACAGATATTAATTTAAACAGTACAAAGGGGTGAAGGAAACCATGTGTACGGGTGTATTTGTGTGTGCACATGAGTGCAAGAAATCCTAGAACCTTCAGAATGGAGTGTTGGGTTCCCAGGTGTGTCTCCAGGTGGCTCGTCTAAATCTTGTTTCCAGGTTGATCTAGGGACACTGAGTGACTTGAGTGGGGACTCACGAGCAAAGACGGATGGACTACTTAAAAATGCATCCACAGCATATATTTCTCTGCATGCACACAGCACACATGCAGGCCTACAGCACAGGGATACACATGACCACAGGTGCACAGAACACCCTGCACCTGCTCACACAGCCGGCCAAGCACATGTACCCCACAGGTTCTGACAAGGCCTGCAGGTGTCTCTGGCTCCTCCTGAGTCAGGGGAAGGTGCCTTGAGAGAATCCTGTAAGAGACTGGAGCTGGCGGCTCCTCTAAGGAGTCTATTACACAGCCCAGCTCATTCATCCTGGAGGTGGGTAACAGGATGTGGGCTGCATCTTGGGGGTAGGAATGGGTTTGAAATGTAGCTGAGTCTCAGAAATGTCCTGGACCTGGTGGCCTCAAAGGGGATTGTGTGTTCCAGGTAGCCCTGGGCCTAGCCCCTGTTCTTTTAACCACACCAGGCTCTTCAGCAGGACTGGAGAAGCCTGGGATTGGGGAGAACCCGAGGAGAGGGTGAGGGATTGACCATAGTTATGAAAGGGGCACTCATGAATGCCAGAGCTGACAAAACAAGTCAAAGACCTGTGACACAGGGGGAAACTGAGACTCAGAGAAGGGGAAGGGCTTTCCCAGGGTCACAGAGAAAGGCAGCAGTGAACGTGAGACTGGAGCCCAGGTTCCTGGGGCACTTGTTGTATGTAGCCCTGGGATGCCTCAGGCGGAGGCAGAATGGTCACTCGCTTGGGGTCCATGGTCCTCTTTAGGCCTTTCCTCCCTCCCAACACAGAAATATTGGCCCCACCCCAAGACCTGCTCATGAGGAGGTGGCTCCTGACTCTACTTTGCCATCAGAATGGCAAAGTCCCTTTGAGCTGTAGCATTTCGTGCCAAAGCAGAAAGATGGACCAGTGACCTCTGATGTTCCTCATTAGCTCATAGGACTTACCCCTGGGGATATCTCAGACCACGATTTCCGTAATATGGGCCAAGGAGGGAGGGAAAGCTACTGAACCTAGAATCAAGGGCTTGGCTTCAATCCCGCAACAGCAACTTCCTGGCTGTGTGACCTTCAGTGTGCCATTTAACCGTTCTGTGCCTCAGCTTTCTCATCTGCAAAATTGGGATAACATTCTTTATCTCATGGTCTGGGCTGTAGATTAAATGAGCTCATGCCTGGAAAACTCTTAACTTCATCAGGCATATAGCAAGTGTCCACTCAAAAGATGGTAGCAATGACTATTTTGGTTAGAACAGTAATTGTTAGACCTGTCTGTGTGGCCTATACCCTGTATGCACAGGCCTTGTATGCCGCAGGTGCTTGCAGGCAGCTGCAGGGAACTTGGCTCTTTTTTACTCTGTGGCATGAATTTGGAAAGCATGGTGTGTGTCTGAGTGTGGGTACGTAGTTGATAAATACCCAACGTGGAATGCAACTTTGCCTGAATCAGGCGAATGAACCTGCCAGTGCATCAAACTGAGAAATGAGTTTCGATTTCCAGCTGCCTGTGATGTATGGGCCTGCTTAGGAGCTGTGGGCTGGAAGCTCTTAAGCCTGGTGCTCTGGGCCACATGGCTGCCTGGCTCAGCGGGGCCCAGCCCCTCACGTCAGGGCTCTGGGAAACACTATTGGAGCCTAATCCGGGGATTTCCTCGTGATGGCCGCAGCATCAGGAGGACCTGCAGGAGATGGGACATGGGGTGGCAAGGCTGAGGGGGACCAGGGAAGAGCAGGCTGGGGACACCTCAGCTCCTTTGTCTTTTGGGACTTGGAGGTTTGGGGAGAGAGGTTTATCCTGAGAGCCTGAGAAAGTTGGCCTGGACCAAACTGGTTCCTAGGGGTCTTTAGGCCTAGGGGTCTCTGATTCAGTGAATAAGAACAGAATACCTAGTTAAATTTGCAATAAAGAACAAATAACTTTAAAGTAGAAATATGTCCCAAATATTGAGTGGGATGCACTTACACTAAGAATTATTCAGTTGATCTGAAATGTAAATTTAACTGGGCCTCCTTTATTTTATCTGAGCCCCCAGGCACCAGCTGTGTGACCTTGGATCACACAGATCACCTTCCCTCTCTGATCTTCAATTTTCTCTCCTTTACAAGTGGGGATAAATCGCGGTCCTCACATGGTTGTTATGAGAATTGGTAAGACGCATAGACCGATAGTAGATTGTGGTGGCTGAGACCGTGACTCTTCAGCCAGACTGCTTAGGTTCAAATCCTGACTCTGCCATATCCTAGCTCTGTAATCCTGGGTATGTGCCTCAGTTTCCTCATCTGTAAAAAAAGATAAACATTTTTCTCACAGGGCTATAGGTAGGATTAGATAACATAATACACACATATAGTGCCTATTATAGAAAAGTTAGTGGCACATAGTAAGTGTAAGTGCCAAATAGGGATTAGGTATTTTTATTTTATTATTATTATAGGTATTATTATTACCATGATTGATTGTCCCCTACTACTCAGTGGCCTCCTAAGGCTGTTCCCTACTTATCAACCATTTTCACTTTAGTATGAATTAGTTGATAGACCATCTTCCAATAGATGAATCATGAAGACAGGCTTGCAGACGAGTGACTTGGAGAGATAATGAGGGCCTGTCCAGAAGGAAAGAGCACTGAAGACCACTGACCTCCACCCCACATCTGACCCTTTGGAGATGCCAGACAGGGAAGAAGAGGGAACACTAGACTTGGAGTCAGAGAAGCTGGCTTTGCTGTCCCTCCCACAGCTGTCTCCATCTCAGGTATGGCAAATCTATCCTTCTAGACACTCAGGTCTAACACCTTAGCTCTGCCCTTGACTCTGCTCTTCCTCCCATGTGTCACATCCAAATCCATCAGGAAGTCTTGTGTCTCTACATATACTCAGCATAGGACCACTTCTGCCCACCTCCACTGTTGGGGAGCCACTGGTCCGAGCCACCCAGATTATTGTAGGAGCCTCCTCACTGGTCCTATCTGGCCCTAAGATTTGGCTTTCCACCTCCTTCTGGTAGTCTTCCCTGATTACCAGGCACTGGGCAAGGCTAGGGCAGGTGCTCAGGAAGTGCATATGGAATGAAGCACATCTTTGAAGGAGGAGAGCAGGATGTTGGTGGGCAAGGGAGGGCAGGCTCAGGAGGTACCTGGGCTCCTTGAAGCAGTGAATGGGGACGAGCCACCAGCTTTCCCCAGCAGGCTTTCCATGAAGAAGCCATATTTGCAAAGCACATTAAGCTTGGGCGCTATTCTCTGTCACCGGCACCTAATTGATCAGCATGTGCAGAGCAGAGGCCTTACAGAGAAGCTGACAGGCTTCAGCAGGCCTTGGCCACTGGGTAGCTGGGGGATCTACCTCTTTGGGGTGGTTGGGCAGTGGGTTCACCACGTGCCCCCTGCATGGTGCACCCTGTATCTGCGTGCAGGCTAGAATCTTGGCCAGAAGGGCCCGGCTGATTTTAACATAAATGAGTCTCTCCTCCTTGCTCTCCAGCAGTCTGAGCTGCGCTAAAAGGATAATTAATTGGAATGAAAACACCAGCTCCAGCTCCTCTGATCTGTTCCTCTCAGAGAATTCACAGTTGTCTTCCTCCAAGCCCCTCCCCCCCCCCGACTCCAGGCTAATTCCTTCAGATGCCAGCTGCAGAGGGATGCCCCTGACCCTGCATCCCACTGGGAGAAGGTCCCAGGGACGCCTGTGATGGGTTGTGGCATTAAAATCTTCTTAATGGAAGGCCACAGACATTTCAAGGTCAGGAGAGGAAGCCTGATCTTGACCAATGTGGGGAGATGGGGACAGTGGCCTGATCCATGTCACGGGGACAAGCAGTACAGGTACTCAGTGGTCCTTTCCGACAGGTAGAGGCATCTACCCTGGCCAACATGTTTTTCTTCCCGCTGAACTCTCTCTATCCTCTTCATCTCCTTCTTCTGCATTTTTTTTTTGAGACAGGGTTTTACTTTGTTTCCCAGCCTGTAGCACAGTGGTGTGATCTTGGCTCACTGCAACCTCCACCTCCTAGGCTCAAGCAAACCTCTCACCTCAGCCTCCTGAGTAGCTGAGGCTACAGGTGTGCACTACCACGCCTGGCTAACTTTTTGTTTTGTAGGAACAGGTTTTTGCCATATTGCCAAGGCTGGTCTCAAACTTCTTCTTCTTTTTCTTATTTATTTTTTTTTTTTGAGACAGAGTCTTGCTCTGTCACTCAGGCTGAAATGCAGTGGTGCAATCTCAGTTCACTGCAACCTCCACTTCCTGGGTTCAAGCAATTCTTCTGCCTCAGCCTCCCAAGTAGCTCGGATTACAGGTGCCCGCCACCACACCCAGCTAATTTTTGTGTTTTTAGTAGAGACGGGGTTTCACCATGTTGACCAGGCTGGTCTTGAGCTCCTGGCCTCAGGTGATCCATCCATGTTGGCCTCCCAAAGTGCTGGGATTACAGGCCTGAGCCACTGTGCTGGGCTGGTCTTGAACTTCTGAGCTCAAGGGATCTGCCCACCTCGGCCTCCCAAAGTGCTGGAATTACAGGTGTGAGCCACCACGCCTGGCCTCCTTCCACTTCTGTTCTTTGGGTTTAGGCTGGTGGTAAAGGGCTCATGCAGTGGGCTGGTGAAGGGCAGGCACTAACAACAACCACAGCTAATGCTCACTGAGGTGTTTCCTAAGAGCTTTATATGGATAGTGCATTTTCACAACAGCCCAGTGAGCTGGTGATTACTATGATTCCATTTCACAGCGGAGGCAACCAGGGCACAGAGGTCATGCTGCTCAAAGTCAAACAACCAGCCTGTGGTAAAACCAGGATTCAAGCCTTCAGAACCTGTGATTTTTGAGCCCTTCCCTGTGCATTGGGCCCTGGCCAGGATGTTGAGGAAAGGCTGAGTTTGCACATCAAGTCTCAATCCATCAGCCAGTCCCTCTCTCCTGGTCATGATACCCCCTCAGCAGCCTTTTTTATTTATTTATTTTGAGACGGAGCTCTTTTGTCCAGTCTGGAGTGCAATGGCACGATCTTGGTTCTCTGCATCCTCTGCCTCCTGGGTTCAAGCGATTCTCCTGCCTCAGCCTCCCGAGTAGCTGGGACCACAGGCACGTGCCACCACGCTCATCAGCCAGCTTCTTGCTGCCATCTCTTCTTGCACAATCATGTTCCCCTCTCTCTTGCTTTCTCTCCTCCTCTCTCGTGTCCTCTCTTCCCCCACAGATGACCCAATCACCATTGATCAGCCCAGCCATTACAGGAGGATCCAAAGGGGACCCTGAGTTCTGAAGTAAAAGGAGATTAATAAGGATCGAGAGTGCTCAGCCTCAAAAGCCCTTGAGAAATTCCAGAAGTCTCCTTTAGTACCGCTGCCCCAGGCCCCAGGGGCTCCTCGACCTCCTCAAGCACCTTCTACTTTCCTCTAGGCATGGCCATCCAGCCTGAATGACATCCCCCACTCACTTCATGGTGGACATGATTGTTTTTCTGTAGAGTTTAAAGATTAGGTTTGAGGCAATATCACTCTACTAGTCTGCAGGGCAGAGTGAGAGAGAGAGAGAATGGGTATCAGAGCTCTGTGATGGACTAAACAGGCTTTTGTGGGCTAGCCTGGGAACCAGTTTCTTTTACAAATATTGTTTCTGTGGAAGATGCATTCTGGGTCCCAGAAAACTGACTAGGTGGACATGGCTTATAAACTTAGCTTCTTGTAATCTCAAAATAGCTTTGGCATTGGAGAGTTGGGCTGCTTGGAGGAAAAGAAAGGCTCTTCCTGCCCTCAGTCTTTCTCACCTCAGCTCTAAATATATTAAAAGGCCCACCCCAACCTCTCCATCCCATAATGCACCTTTTTTTTTTTTGAGACAGGGTCTTCCTCTGTCACGCAGGCTGGAGTGCAGTGGTGTGATCACAGCTCAATGAAGCCTCAGCCTCCTGGCTCATGCGATCCTCCCACCTCATCCTCTTGAGGCAGGACTACAGGCACATGACACCATGCCCAGCTAATTTTTTGTAGAGCCAGGGTCTCGCTATGTTGCCCAGGGTGGTCTTGAACTCCCAAAGTGCTAGTATTACATGTGTGAGCCACTGTGCCTGGGCCCATAATACACTTTTTAATGGCAGTAAATTATCCAGGGTGGGGAGGGGTGGGAGTGAAGGAAGGAGGTAGCAATATATCCTGGATATATTGGAGAGAAGAAAAGTGAGAGAACACCTGCTACCATCCGCTGAAGCTGCCATAATGAAATCCCACAGACTGGGTGGCTTATACAACAGTCCAAGATCAAGGTGTTGGCTGGATTAGTTTCTTCTGAGGTCTCTCTCCTTGGCTTGTAGATGTCTGTCTTCTCCCTGTGTCCCCACATGGACTTCCTTTTATAGGTCTGTGTCTAAATTTCCTCTTCTTATGAGGATAGCAGTCATATGGGATTAGGGCTGACCCGAATGACCTCATGTTGCCTTAATTACTACTTTAAACGCCCTATCTCCAAATACAGTCACATTCTGAGTTACTGGGCATTGAGATTTCAACATACGAATTTTGGGGGACAGAATTCAGTTTGTAAAAGGAGCCATTTCCCCTTTGGAATTTCTGTATGCCTGGCAGGGGATGCTTTAGCTAGAAGTGAGGTGGCCCTCACACAACATCAAGCATAATGGAAGGTGTAATGACCACCTGCTGCTCCCCACTTTTGTAGCCAATTCTTTGAGATCCCAGAGCAATGAAGTATAGACAGAGCCAGGTTCAGCACATGAAATCTGTAGAAATTTGATTGACACAAAGATGCTGCCGGCATCTTGGGATCAGGCCAGAGGTGTTGCAAATTGAAGGCAGAGGAATTTCCTAAGCATCTCTAAAGTTATGGCTGAGGCTTCTGTAAGTCAAAAAACCCTTCTCCCACTGCAGTGTTTCTTAATTCCTTATCACCACAACAGCCAGGATGAGTGGCAGGCGCTTTAGAAAGAGGGGCAGTGGGAGCAAGCCCTCCAGTGCTACTTCCATCCCTGAGTTGAAGATGTTGGTCCTTTTGAGTCTCTCCTAATAGTTTCATCTCCCTCTGATGACTGGCCAATATGTCCTGAAACATTTTGGGGTGTATCTGCCGTAAGGATATTGCTGGCATCATTTTATTTATGTAGATCATAAGGAAACCAAAATGACAGAAAGTGTACATGTCACCTATGGGAAAGGTGAGACTTGAGACTCCTAAGCCAATAGAAAGCAAATTATGTCCAGAAAGCAGTTATGCCCCTTTTATTTGATAATAAAGGGCAACCAAGCACTTGATTCTGGGAAACAAGTGAGGAAGTGTAGGAAACACAGTGGATTTGACTCCAGATCTCTGCTGCTTAAGAGGGGAGCTCACTGTAGCTCCCCTCAACAGGAAAAGCCCAACCTTTGCGGCCTGGCACACCTGAATCCATATCTTGGTGGCGTGACCCTGGGTAAGTTACTTAATCTCTTGTAAGCCTCAGTTTTTACACCTGTAAAATGGGGATGATACCCAAATGATATAATTTATAGAAGTGTTGAGCCCAGTGCCTGGCACATAATAGGTGCCTAGTGCATATCAGCTTCTTCCTTGTTCTTCCTCTCCCAATCTGTGTCTCTGGGTCTTTCTACTTTGCCTGGGCAAGGTGACTGTCACTCTTGCCCCTTCTCTGCAGCATTGGTCATGTAATAAGGCAGAAGAAGCCTGGCATATACATTACAATTAGAGAGTTTCTAGGTTTTCCTCTCTATAAATGGTTGGGTTAGATATGGTGATATCTGAGCTGCTTTCTGTCTCTGACATTTGTGAATGCTATATTCTACTGGGGCTGTGAGACCTTGGCCTTGGAAATTCATGGGGAAGTCAAGACCCAGTTCATCCTGATGGTCAAAGGCTGGTCTGGATCCCTGAGAAACAGCTATAGGACACACAGACCTCTCCCTACCCCGGACCATGAGAGGAGGGAGGGTGGTGCGGGGCTGGTGACAGAGCTAAAGGGTGTTGCTATAATTAAACACCATGTCTTACATCAATTCCACACTGACGCTTCTCTACAGAGTCAGGCTGACATTCATTTCTTATAAGAACGCTTTGTCAAAATAATTTTTTTATTAAAAAAAGAAAGATTCCTGCCAAAGCAGCAGAGCCATATTTTCCAGGACTCTCCAAGGGAGAACTGACTCAGAGCAAGCTCTGAGCAGGGGTATCTGCTTATTGGCACCTTAGAGATCTGAGCCTGTGGTAGACGTGAGCTCTGAGAGGTTATTGGCTCCACATCTTGTGCTCCTAGGTCAAGATCCCAGACCCCTCTGTAGGATGGAAGTGAAGATGCTTGGAGCTTGGAGCTCTGGTCCAACCCAGAGGGGGAAGTGACTTGCCCAAGGTCTTAGTGCCTTCTGGCAGGGTAGGGCTGGAGCTGTCTCATTCATGAGTGAGCACTGTGAAATGGAAAGGACAATAGGCCCATTGGTGCCCCTCTCTCAGGCTCAGCTTCTTATTTGAAAGGTAAGAATAATTATGCCTAAGCTAGGGGTTATCATGGGAACTAGATTAGAGGGTTTATTGAAAGGTGTCTGGCTCAATGAATAGAGGGATGTAATTCTAGAAGGCATAGGAAATCCAGGGGTCTATACATGAGGAAGGAGAATTCACTGGGCTTTTCTACCCAAACAGCTCCCCGGAAGTTCCACTACACTGTTTCCTAGGGCAGGACTGGGGAAGGAGGAGCAACCCACCAGGTACGCATGGGCTCCAGCACCTTCTTTGTGAGTAGGATGTGCTCCTGACCACTGCACCACACTGCCTCCCTAGAAGGGTTTTGAACTTTTATAATGAGAACTCAACCTTTCCTTGGCCTTCTGAACAGTGAGAAGACACCATCTAGAAATAATACTGTAAGTTTGAGGCAAGGTCAGAACTTGAACCCAGGTCTCTGCTAACTCAGATCAACGTTGGTCTCCCAGGCTCATGGGAACTGTCCCTGGTGCTGACCCCAGGTCCACACTCTCTAGCTTGACTTGGCCTCGTGTCTGGCTTGGGTTCCCGCCCTAAAAGGCCCTTAAGAACCTCTTTTGGCAGAGGAAGACAAAGCCCCCAGAGGACAAGTGACTTGTTCAAGGCCACATAACAGTTCCCTGTGGCACTAGAGTACCTCATCACTTACTTCATTGTCCATGGATTCTGCATTTCTAGATCAACATTTGAGACCAGGTTTTAAGCTTATCTTTGTCACTGACTCTGCCAAAGTCATAGAAAGAGGTATCTTACAAGTGTGTAGTACTTGCTAACTTTCGAAGTGCTCTCACTTTGAATTTTCAAAATAACCTTTTCGAACAAGACAGATAGGATGGAAAATAAGGTAAGACAGAGGAGATTCAAAGAGAGGCTAAGTGGTTTTCTTAAGGCCACCCAGCTAGTGAGTGGGAGAATCAGGACTGGAATCTGTTTCTTCCAGCGTCTTATCCTGACATCTTCTGCATGATCCCCATGTGACTTATTTGGCCAAGCTTAGCCCTGGAAGAAATCTTACTGGGTCCATCTGAGTCTGTGCTCCCATCCCATTCCTCAGCCTGCTTCCTTGCACCTGTTGGGGGTTCTGGCACACCTGGCCTGGGGCAGGTGCCTTCTTCACAGCCATGCCAAGAAGGGAAGGGAGGCAGGCCATTCACAGTCTATTTTCACCTTACACTTCTCCTGGATGGTGTCTGCCTCAGGGATGTTGGCAAGGAATTCTATGTAAACTGGATAGAGGCCCACAATCTGGGACAAAAACCCTTCAAAGGTTGGAGAATAGGCATAAAGGAATGTAGCTGGGGGCTGAGAGGAAGGAGGCTGTGAAGGCAAGCAGGAATTAGAGTGAAAGAAGAGCACCCCGTCCCTCGCACCTCATTACAGTATGGTGTCCACCCTCATTAGAGGGCATCATGACAACAACACTCCTTTGCAGTGTATGTGGACCCTCTTTGGGCTGGTAGATTATGGAGATATCTATAAGGTGGTTGTAACATGTAGACTGACTCAATCATGGGCTGCAGCCCGGGTATACAGATGTCTCTGCTTCTATCTTATTTTTTTTTTTTTTGAGATGGAGTTTCACTCTGTCACCCAGGCTGGAGTGCAGTGGTGTGATCTCAGCTCACTGCAACCTCTGCCTCCCGGGTTCAAGTGATTCTCCTGCTTCAGACTCCCAAGTAGCTGGGATTACAGGCATGCACCACCACACTTGGCTAATTTTTGTATTTTCAGTAGAGACCGGATTTCACCATGTTGGCCAGGCTAGTCTTGAACTCCTGACCTCAAGTGACCCTCCTGCCTTGGCCTCCCAAAGTGCTGGGATTACAGACATGAGCCACTGCACCCAGCGTCTCTGCTTCTAATACTCAGCTTTTCTCCTCCGTTAATGATCATCACTTCCCAAGAAGAGATCAGTGGAAATTTCCTGCAGCCACTGTGTTTATGAGTGGTGCATGCATGTGATTGGGCACACATTGGCCCACTTTTTCTCTCTTTCTTTTCTCTTTCCTCTCTTTTTTCTTTTACTCATACCCATCCCATCTCTTCATCCAAGCAGAGGTAGGTGAAGACCGCGGGAGAAATTGGGGTCTGGAGAGGGAGCTGGGTGTGGGGAATTTTAGTGTGACCTTCTTCAGTCACGCGATGAAAGAAAGAAAGAGCTGCTTCTCTCCTCCTTGCCCCTCACCCCACCCTTTATCTGTAATAAGCTCCCTTTCCCCGGATTGCCACGGAGGAGGAGAAGGTGGAAAATTATTCCTGTTCTGCTCCTAGAAAACTTTAAAATGCTATCGCCATGGAAACTGCTCTCGAGCAGTCTTGGAGCATGCTTGTGGGAGAGGGTGAGGCAAGGTGGGGGAGGATGAGGATGATGGTGGATGAGATGCTCACAGGGGTCTCCTGACCACCTCAGCACTGTTGGTTCTTCCTGTTTATATGATGCATGATAGAACCAGGCTATTTCCTTCTGGGGTGAGCGGACACAGAAACTATTCCTGGACCGGAGGGATCTGAGGAGACTGGGATCTGTTTGTCCCCCACAACAAGCCCACTCTGACTGAGTTCTGATTGTGTGCATGTGTGCAGGTGCTGTGTATATGTGTGGCAGGGGAGGAAGGGCATAGAGGTGAAACCACCTTTGCCATCAGAAGAATTTTCAAGCTAGAGGGTGGAGAAAGAACTGCCACCTCTTTAGAACTTACTACATGCCACCTACTTTATATATAGTTCCTTTTAAAATCCTTACCTCACCTGTCAAAGAGACAATTAAACACCCATTTTACAGAGAAGGAAACCAAGGTTCAGGGAAGCCAAGTGACTTGCCCAGGAACACATTGCCAGTCAGTGGCAGAGCTGGAACTTGAGAACTAGACACTCTGACTCTAAATGATGCCCAGTTACCATTTCTTTAGTGTCTTACCGTGTTTCAGGTGTTGTGCTAGACACTATATTTATCATTCTTGCACCTTTGTGAACAGAGAGCTTTTATCCCCAAGTCACAAAGGAGGAAACTGAGACACTGTGGTTAAAGAATTTTCCCAGGGTCTCATGGATAAGAGGTCACAGAGCTGGGACATATATACATATGTATTTTTTGAAGATGGGGTCTTGCTCTGTTGCCCAGGCTGGAGTGCAGTGGTGCAATCATGGCTCACTGAAGCCTCCACCTCCCAGGCTTCAGCAATCCTCCTGCCTCAGCCTCCCGTGTAGCTGGGACCTTTTTTTTTTTTCATAGAGATGGGGTCTCCCTATGTTGCCCAGGCTGGTCTCGAACTCCTGGACTCAAAAGATTCTTCTGCCTTGGCCTCCCAAAGTGCTGGGATTACAAGCATGAGCCACCACACCTGGCCCAGGATTGAAAGGTAAACAGCAGAACTGGGATTTGAATCTAGGTGCATCTGATGCTGAAGCCAGTGCCTTTTTCTGCCACGCCATGCAGCCAGAGAGTATGCAAGAGAGTGAAGTGGGGTGGGGAATGCGGAATGTGGGCTGAGGCCAGCTGGTCTCACCTCAGGGTCCAGAGCAAACACTGAGTCACAATATGGGAACCTCTTACAGGTTGTCTCTAAGGCCCACACAGCCCTGGAGAGTTTGGCCCAGAAGTGGGGGGTGAGCAGAAGTCTCCATGATGTGCCTAGTTAATAACCCATCCTTGGGGTGTGGGGGATAACAGGAGATCCTACCTGGACCATGAGGCAGGAGAGTGGCTGAGTGGAAGGCAATGGTGAACAGGAAGAGAACCGTAGAGGATAAAACTCGAAACCTAAGTGGAATGTACTTCCTCTCCCACAGGGAAATGGGAAGGAAATACCATATTAATCAGAATAATGGGCAAGGCTATACTGCAGTAATAAACATTCCCAAAGATCAGTGGCTTAATACTCTGAGGTTTATTTCCCATTCATATTATATGCTGTCAGTTAGTCTTTGCCAAGTAGCAAACCATTTGAAACTTAGTGGCTCAAAACAAAAAACATTTAATATTTTTTTCTGATTCTGTGGGTTGACTGGGTGGTTATTTTGGTCTGTGCCAGTTTAGATGGGGCTAGATGGTTTAGGGTGGCCTCACTCACATGTCTGGGATTTCAGGTAGGACATTTGGGGCCTTGCCTCACTCCATGTGGTCTTCCTCCAGGAGGCTAGCTGAGGCTTTTTCACATAGTGGCAGAAGAGTTCCTTCCCAGCCATGAAACAGGGTGAGCTCCAATATGCAAGCACTTCACAAGCCTCTGCTTGTATCATATTTAAAAATATGCCATTGGCCCAAGCAAATCACATGGCTGAGCAGGTTCAAGGTTGGTAGGAATGGACTTCATCTCTGGATGGGAGGAATAGCAAAGCCATCTGGCAGAGGGGAAGGCACACAGGGAGGGGAGGAATAATTGCGGCCATCTTTACAACCTACCTCGTGCCTTGCCATCCAGGGCCACTGGATAGATCTGCCCCACGTCTTCCTCGTTCCAGGACCCAGGCTGGTCATGATTCCACCTTATTGCTGCTATGATTGCTGAAGCAGGAAGAAGAGAATGTGGAGAATTACACATGACCTCTTAAAGCCTCCATTAAGGAGAGGCACATCACTTCTGGTCTCATTGATTTGGCCAAAGCAAATCACGGCCATGTCCAGTTTCAAGAAGGTGGGGAAGTAGGATTCTACCATGTGCTTGGAAAGAGAACTGCAAACATTTGGAGAATGGCACTAATGACTACCACCAGCATCATTTATGGAGTGCTGACTAGATGCTCGGCAATTTAAAAATGTTATCTCAGATGTTCTCATGGCATCTTTATGGGGTAGGGATTATTATCTCTGTTTTGCAGCTAATGAAGCAGAGTGGTTGAGGATCTCACCCAGGGTTATGCACCCAATAAGAGGCAGAGCCAGGACTGGGACCCAGTTAGTCTGACCCCAGAGGTGATATCCTTTCTAGAGCATCATGTTTGTCCCCTACCTCCTCAGAGAGAGGACAGAGGGCACACTTCACAAGTGACTCAGCCTTCCTGCAAGGAGGTGATGCGGTGACTTTTACGTAATTTGTTCACTCAGTCATTCATCCATTTGGTTCACAGTTATTTAAATGCCACCATGGACAAGAGGAGCAGTGAATAAGACAGAGTTGGTCCCTGTCCTTATGGCTTAAGATTGGGAACACTCACCTCCGATCCCAAAGGTCAAGGATTTCCTAAGTTTTCAGCTTTAGAAAGTGGAGAGTTTCCAAAGTTGAGGAGGCTTACAGGTTCCCTACTCTAACAAGGGTTCCCCATAGATCAGAGGAGCTGGGGAATATTGCTCCAGCATCTGGGCTTCTCAGAAACCCTGGGGAGCTGGCAGCCTCACTGGTGTATTTTGAAGGAGCTGCACAAATGCTCAGTGACGAGCAGTTAATGAGTAATGCATCCCACATGCTGGACAGAATCTCTCCTGGCATTCTTGAATCCAGAGAAATTGCTGGGCTCACGCATGAAGCAGAGGGTTTCAGGAACCCACACAGGTGAGCTTCCTGGGCATCTTAAAGCTTGGGAAGGAGGTCACAGTCTTGCTAAGCCACCAATGGCCCTGACAGTCCCCACCTATGCCACCCTAGATGTACAGTGGGACCCTTTGGGATCATGTGGCCCAGCCTTTTCCCTCTTCCCTCACCATCCGTCAGAGTCCAAAGCTCGTTTATTGCATATCTGTTACATAGACCTCCAGCTCCCCTGGAACCCTTCCAGGGATGAGGAGCTCACTACCTCCAGAATCCGTCTGTTCTAAAGTGCTTTCTGATTACTTGGTTCCTTTGCCCAAGAGCCCACACAACCCACCAGCCACGTGGAGCCAGCACATGCCAAGACGCCGTGCGTCCTGGGTGCAATGACACCCTTGTGGCGGTTGGGCTGCGGGCTGGGGAGGGGGTGTTATGTGAGCACGCGTAGCTCCAGGCAGACGGGCCTGGCTCTGCCGGGCTGTCAGAGATGCTGAAACCTCAACTCTCTCTGGCTCCCAGCAAGTACAACTATTTATAAAAGATGAGGTTTGCCAGGGAACAGGGAGAGGCTGAGACATCTGCTCCCTCTGCTGGGGTGGCCGGTGCTCACCATAGGCCTCCCAGCCTCAACTCCCTGATTGAAGGAGCCTCCAAAGTCCCCAGCCCCAAAGCCCCAGTGAGCCCCACCGGCAATACCTCTCTGCCCTGCCCCCACCCCAAATGGACATCTCAGGGATGGGATCGGCAGGATGTTCTTCTCAGAATGGCAGCTCCCTAGTCCTACTCTGATCTCAATCCAGCTCTGGGGAGGAGAGGGCAGCTCCTCTCAGAGGGGGAGGAAGCTGTGCTACCCTCTGAGTCTGTTTGCCTCTTAGAGAGCTGGCCCCTGGCCACCTAGACTTACCTCCCCTTCAAGACTGGGAGTGTCTTGAGGGCAGAGACCATGATTGGCTTTCAGGGTTCAGGTGGAACAGCTTCTTGCAGCAGCCAGTGCAGCACAGTGGGTACAGAGCTGGTTTGGGAGCGTTTGGGAGCAGGCACAGAGACCTAAGTTCAAATCCTGATGCTGCGATCTTCTCTGAGCCTCAATTTTCTCATTTCTTGAATGGGGATGAAAGGATCTCTGCCTCTCAGCGTTGTAAAAATATTCCATATTAGTTGTTATTATATCTTCACTGTTTAATGAATGACTGAGTTCTGGACTGTGTTGTGAAATGGTTGGAATGCTAATTATGAGTCAGAAGATCTGAGTTCTGCCACTGCCAGTACAAAGTGCTGTGATCTTAGGAGCTAGGTTCCTCCTCTCTTAGCTAGGTTCCATCCTCTCATCTGCAAGATGGGTGTAACAATGACAATGACATCTGCCCTGCCTGACCCCCACTCCTGGATGTCATGAGGCCAGGATGGGGGAATGTAGGGGAAAGACAAACTGCCTTGAGTGTTTGTTCTAATGACAGCCATGCCATGGGTGACCAGACGGTGGGAGAGTGGAGGGAGTCAAAATAAACAGACCTCAAAAAAATGAGTATCCCCGTGCATGGGGCGCTTCACTCAGTGTTCCCCTAAAGATGGGTGACTGTCATTGGAGCAAACTGTGCCACCCATATTTATGCTTTTTCTTGTCTGCAAAATGGGAATAACAATGTATCCTTCAGGAGACGCTATGAGGACAAGAAGTTTCCTGAGCACCTTGGAGACTGAGAGGAAGGCTGAGGCCCCTGCAGGGGATGGCTGGGGAGATGCTTCCCCGGGAATAAATGAAAGGTGGGAGTACCATGATAGTAACTGGTTATGGACACCAACTTCATGCCCTGCCGGGGCATTCACTATGTCTTTCTAATACAAAGAGCCACTGATGAGGATACTGCCTTTATTTTGTAGATGGAGAAACTGAGACACAGGGAGTTATGTAAAGTCACAGGTTTGACAAGTGGTAGAGCCAGGAATGGAACTTCATCTCCCTGGCACTGGGGCCTGGCTTCTGAGATCACATCATGCTTCACCCGCAGAAAATTCCCAGGGCCCCTCTAATAAAGGTCATCAGGGAGGGTCCAAGAGATATTGAGCCATTTTCTAGAGAGTCAGAGGTCTGGGACAGGTGAGCAGCTTACCAGGCTGAGGCTGCCAAAGCCCTTTCAGGCAAACCCAAAGAGGTCAGTTTCAGAGGCAGTGAGGCCTCATGGTTGGCAGGGCTCATGTGGTGTAATGGGTTGAATTGTGTTTTCCAAAAGATATGTCCAAGTCCTGACCCCCAGGACCTGTGAATGAGACCCTATTTGGAAGCGGTGTTTTTGAGATGTAAGTGAGTTCAGGATCTTGAGATGGGAGCATCCTGACAGATGCCCTTATAAGAGAAAGAAGAGTGAGATTTGAGACAGACCCAGAGGAAAAGGCCACGTGAAGACAGGGGCAGAGACTGGAGTGATGAAGGGCAGAGACTGGGGTGCCACAAGCAAAGGAACACCAAGCACCACTAGAAGCTGCAGGAAGCCAGGAAGGACTCTCCCCTCGAGCCTCCAGAGACAGTGCAGCCCTACCGACACTGATTTTGGACTTTTGGCCTCCAGAGCTGTGGGAGATTACATTTCTGTTGTTTTAAGCCCATTTTTGGTAATTTGTTATGGAAGCCCTGTGGAGAGAGGAGATGCCTGGCCAGGCCCCTAAATGTTATAATGGGCCTGTTATTGATCACATTGATCCTTCGTACAACTCTGGATGACCTCTGCTTTAGATCTCCCACTAGGGAAGGTGAATTACCAGTATCTTCTATTCTGTTTCCTGGTGCACCAACTCTCTCTTTGACTTTGGACACACAAATTTTCTTTTTCCTTTAGGGGCCCACTTTTCCCATCAGTAAATGGGAGGGTTGCTCCCTTATGCAGAAGCTGGAGTGGAAAGGGGTGTAGGGGAGCGGGAGGGGGTCCCTCCAAGCATCTCGATCCTTCTGCAGTTCCTGGGATTGGGCTGAGGTGGAATATTCTTGGCAGGAAAAACTGGCTCCTGAGATTTCAGGAAAATAAGAGCTTTTCTGGGAGAAAAGAAGGGTGTGATGTGCTTTAATGCCTAAAAACACTTTGCTAAGCAGCAGATTGTTTCAGGGAGAATGGAAAGTGAGGAGACACTCCTGGAGGGGGTGGGCAGGACCCTGATAGGTGTCATGGAGTGCTGGATGGGGCAGGGGCTCTAGCCAGAATCTGGTGTTCAGAGATCCTGGCTGATGGGGAATTCCTCGTCCCTAACCCTGGAGAGTGAGATTGGGCTTCGCCTCTTGGGCTGGCTTTACACCAAATCCTACTTGGAGACAGGATGAGAGACCATGCACTACTCCCAGTCCCCAAATGAATCATGAATTAGGGGTGTGTCCATCTGAGTTGAAGCTTGAAGGATGTGGTAGAAATTTTTTTAATAAAAGTTTTTCCAGGAGAAGTGAAGATTCCATCCTGGGTAGAGTTGAGAATGTGTGTGGCAGCCCAGCGGGAAGTAAGGTTAGAGAGGCAGGAGACGTGGCTGGAATGAGCACTCACATTTCCTGAAGGCAACTGAGATGCCAGGCACTGCGCTGGGTTTCATAGGTTTCTTTTCATTGTATCCTCAGCACAGTTTTATAAGTTAGGGATTACAATGTCCACTTTACAGAGGAGAAAATGAAGGTTCAAAAAAGTTAAGTAAATTTCCCAGGGGCATAGAGTATGTTGGGGCAACTGCCTGACATTTGTGGAACCAAGTTTTGGAGGATCTTAAGAGCCCAAAGAAGTGTTTAAACTTGAGGCTACAGGTAATAGGGAGCCATGGTAGGTGTTTGAGCAGGAGCATGGCACAATGGAAAGGATGCCATTGAGACCTGGCAGCTGAGGGGAAGACTAATAGTAAAATAGTAATACAAAATAATAACCATGATAATAAGAATGAAAGACTCAGGAGTACCTTGGCTGCCTTAGCATTCTTCTAACACAGGGCACCTGGAGGTCAGGCTGGAACAAAGGTATGCCCCGGTTGGAGAGAGGCCTGAGAGGCAAGGGTGGGTGGAATCAGAAGAGAGAGAGGGTATTAGGGAGCAGGGAGAGAGGGGACTGATGGGATCTACTGGCTCAGGGTGGAGAGAAGACAGCAAGATAGAGCTTTAAGGGGGATTTTGGGTTTTTTCTTCTGATACCCAGCCAGGGACAGAAAGGCAGCTGTGTCAGGCCTAGGGTTAGGTGTGGCTTGACCACTACCCAGCTGTGTGATCTTGGGTAAATCACTTCACTTCTCTGAGCCTCTCTCGCCTCATCTTCACATCCAGAGAATATATTCTTCCCACCATGACCCCTGCCAAAAAAAAAAGTTGGTTGTGTTCCATTTTCCCTCTTACTGGCCCAGAGCTACCACTTGGAGGGCAACTGCCAACCAGGGAAAACACTTTCATCTCTCCAACTCCTTTCTGGGGTGGGGGATGGGGAGCAGCTTTCCTTTGAAAGGGACATTTGAACCAGCCATCAGAACTGAAGGCAGGGATGCAACAGCTGGAAAAGGGTAAAGAAAGGCATTCCTGGAAGGGAGCACAGCACGGGGAGAGGCACGGAGGCAAGGATGTGCCTTGCTCCTGAGAGCTTCGCTGCTGTCTGATCAATGTGTGCCACTCCCTGTTCTGTTACCGTACAATCTCCAAGCAGCTCCTGTGCTCCAGTACTTACAGGACACTTGCAGGTGGGGCCTGTACCCATTTCTCAGTTGAGGTAAGTTGAGGCAGGAAGAACATTGCTGCTAAGGAGGGTGAAAGAACAGGGTGCGGAGGCCCTGTCAGCACTGCAGGCAGTAACAAAGCTGTCAGGGAGCAGGCTGTGAGGGGAGGGTTTGACTGCAGTCACATTATTTTTGCTCCCAAATTGAAATTAAAGATCATTTCAACTCCAGATGCTGGAAATGCCTGGGTTCATTACTTCTTGGGATTTTGTCCACGCTCTCGTTCTAGATTCAATTAAAGCAATTTAAAGTAATTAATTAAATTTGTTATTTGATTAATAAAGATAGAAATTCGGCTAAGTTGCTGTGAAGAAGGAAGTCATGTTGGAATTTGCTAGCAGCGGACTTGGAAAGATTCATTTCTGCCTCCTCCTCAGCCTCCTCCCCCTGCTATTTACCCACTGTGTCACCTCTGGACCCTCCTACCCTTTCTTTTTTTTTAAATTTTTTTTATTTTTTATTTTTTTATTATTATACTTTAAGTTTTAGGGTACATGTGCACATCGTGCAGGTTAGTTACATAGGTATACATGTGCCATGCTGGTGCGCCGCACCCACTAACTCGTCATCTAGCATTAGGTATATCTCCCAATGCTATCCCTCCCCGCTCCTGCGACCCCACAACAGTCCCCAGAGTGTGATGTTCCCCTTCCTGTGTCCATGTGATCTCATTGTTCAATTCCCACCTATGAGTAAGAATATGTGGTGTTTGGTTTTTTGTTCTTGTGATAGTTTACTGAGAATGATGATTTCCACTCCTTATTCATCTCCTGTCTCTCCAGCTGTGGATCACACCGCTGTAGTACCCCAGCCTCTCTACTGCTCCCAGAGCACATCCACACACTTTGAACCCTGACCTTGAAGCTCTGATTCCTGAGTCCTAGTTGAAAGGGTAGGAGGAAATCATCATCCTCCTCTTCATTGTATCGTTGGTCAACCTTTCTCTCTGGGTCTTAATTTCTCTGGGTCTTAATTTCCCTATCTGTAAAATCAGACCATTTGGACCAGATGGTTTCTAATGGGCCCTTTGAGCTGTAAGAAGTGGAGTTTATGGGGTTTCATCCAGGGCTGGAGGACCACTGGGTCTGGGCGAGCCAGATGGGCAATGGGGTCATGGTGTCCCTACATCATCTCCATATACACAGCATTTGTGGTTTACAAGAAGCTCTCACTGCATTTTCTCACTTAGGCCTCGCAACAACCCATGAGATCGGTGATGACTGCCCCCATTTGCCAGCTTTGCAGGGAGAGGTCAAGACCAAGACGATCTTCAGGCCCAAGGGAGGCAGGGAGGAGGCTTGCAAAGCCCACCCCTGGGAAGAGGTGAGGACCAGACCCTTTTGGAAGCCTCCTCAGGCAAGGTGTCTATGCATGCTGTCTCACTTCATCCTTGAGCAGCTCTGGGAGGAAGGTACAGTTACCCTTGCTTTACAGAGGAGGAAGCTGAGGCTTGAGCTGGAGCTCAGAAATGGGGCTGGAGTTCCTCATCATTATCTCAACTACCCTTGCCTGCTGGCCTGGAGGATGAGGCTGGGACTGAATTCTGGGCTTGGCCTGTCTCCACTGAGTCTGGCTGGCCGCCCTGCCTGTTGGCAGCTTGGAGTGTGGGTGTCGAGCTGGGCATCTGGTGGGCTGGCTGGAGCTGGAAGACCCTGGGAAAGATGAGGTGAGCAAGGAGCTTGGTTCTTAATTTGGAAAGAGTTTGGAGAGAGGGTGGCAGACACCTCAGGGAGGGTATTATTGGAAGACAGTTCCAGGGAGGGGCTTTGAGCCAGACTGTCCCCTCAACTCTCCTCAATTGGCGAGCAGAGGGCTGAGTGGGCTTAGGAAGGAGGGGGCACTATGACTAAAGTAGGGAATACGTGCAACACCCCACAAGGGGGAAACAAACTTTTCAGCACTCTGAGAGTTAAAAGGGATAACTCAGCTCTGGTAACCATTGTGAACTTTGGATTATGTCTAGGATGTGAAACAATTCAATCTTTCTCTGATGGCTGGGATGGGGTGAGGGAGTTCCCTTCAGGGCTGTGGTGAAGCCATTGGTGACCCCAGTTAGGACAAGGGCAGCTGCTGATATGATTGGCAGGATCCCCAAAGGCTTTAAAATCTCAGCTGTCTCTCACAGGGCTACACCCAGGACTTTAAATTATTTGGAGCACAGATACTGTCCAGGAGCCTCTTGGGGGAGGCCCAGCCTCTTAATGGTTCAGCAGCATGGTTTCACTCTGGTTCAGCAGCATGGCTTCACTCAAAACAGGGGATGTGTTAGCCAATAAGGGAGCAGAGAGAAGGTTCCCTGATTCAGTTCCACCCGGGGGCAGACCACAGTGGAGAGAGATGGGGCGCAGAGGGTAGGGGTAGCTTTGATAGCCTGAAGGAGTAGAAAGAGTATGAGTTAGGAGACCCGCTTCTAGGGCCAGCACGATGTTCACTGGCTGTTAGACTCTGGGCAAAGCCTCTCTCTCTGGGTCTTAATTTCCCTATCTGTAAAATCAGACCGTTTGGACCAGATGGTTTCTAATGGGCCCTTTGAGCTCTAAGGAGTGAAGTTTATGGGGTTTCATCCAGGGCTGGAGGACCACTGCGTCTGGAGGAGCCAGATGGGCAACGGGGTAATGGCGTTCCTGCATCACCTCTATGTACATGTATGTAGCATTTGTGGTTTACAAGAAGCTCTCACTGTATTTTCTCACTTAGGCCTCGCAACAACCCACGAGATCTGTGATGACTGCCCCCATTTGCCAGATGAGAAGCTGAGGCTCGGAGATATTGAGGAATCTGTCGAGCGTGGTAGGGAGGGGATGTGGGAGTCAAATCTGGGTCAGAATGGCTTTAAGACATTTTCTTTGCCTTGGGCCACAGCTGCCTCTTCCTTGTTTATGTTGTGGTTTTGGAGGAGGTAAAGGGACCCCATCACTTCAAGTCCCTCCTCTGGGAAGGAGACCTCGTTCCTAGGTCCTTACTCTGTAGCTACTCAATCAGGCCAGGGCCTCAGCTGGACCCTCAAGTGGCTGTTTTCACCTCATGGGACTCCACATGGGTATATGACATTCCCTTTCCACTGCCTTGCAATTAGATGTGGGAGGCCTGGGCGGTTGACTCACCTCCCCCTACTCTCAGCCCATCCCGGGAATCTCATCGGGACCTCTGGTCTCCTATGCTAGCATGGGCATGGCCAGGCCAGCTGCACCCTCCTCTCTCACTCCAGCCTGGGTGAAAGGGCACAAGTATGTCTGGGAAGCCATTTCTCCCTGCCCACAGCCATCCTGGTTCACGCTGTGACCTCAGCTGCCATCCTTCCCATTACCTGCTGTATCCAGGACAACCGACAGCTCCTACTATACAGGGAGGGGAGGGTGAGGGTTGGGAAGAGGCGGCTCCACTGTCCTGACTCCCCAGCGAGGGTGCCACCTGTTCTGTCTGAGAAACTCATGGCGGGAGGTAGAACCTTGGGTCCTTCATGAGACATAAGGAGGACTGTGGAGGACCTCAGAGGTTGAGGAAGAGGCTGATTTGTAAACCAGCACCCTGGGCTCTGGCTGTTCCAGCCTTCATGGAGTGGCAGGAACAGCAGGAAGGTGGAATTAAAGGAACTGGGCTGGAAGTCCTCCGCCAGCTCTTAGCAGCTGTGTGACCTAAGGTAGGTCCCTTGACATCTCTGAGTTTCCACGCAGAGATGATCGATTCATAGACTCACTAGGGACCTGCAATGAAAATAAATGGACTTTGTAAACACTACAGCTTTAGTGTTAAGAGCACATGCTCTTAACTGCACAGAAAGGTTGGGTTTGAATTCTAGCCCTGCTGTGTGACCTTGTACAAATGACTTCACCTCTGTGTCAGGTGCTTTTGCTATGCAGCAAACACCTCACAACTCTGTGGCTTAATGCAACAAACATTCATGTAGCTTGTGATTTGGGAATCAGCAATTTCCACTGGGATCAGCTGAGCTGTCCTGGTCTGGGCAAGGCTTGAATGATCTTGGCTGGGCTCACTCTTGTGTCTGCCATTAGCTGGTGGATCCCTGGAACTGGCTGATTAATTTGGCTTCCTCTGGGATGATGAACTATGGGGCTCTCTCCACAAGCCTGCGCCTGTTCACAGAGTGGTAAAAGGGCTTCAGAGGCAGTGAGAGAGAAGCCCCAGTGTGCAAGCACTTTTCGAGCCCCTGCAGGCATTATGCTTGCTCCTTTCTTTTTATTTTTTGAGACAGGCTCTCTCTCTGTCACCCAGGTTGGAGTGTAGTGGCATGATCATGGTTCACTGCAGCCTTGACTTCCCAGGCTCCAGCAGCTCTTCCACCTCAGCCTCCTGGGCAGCTGGGACCACAGGCGTGCACCACCATGCCTGGATAATTTTTGTATTTTTGGCAGAGATGGGGTTTTGCTATGTTTCCCAGGCTGGCCTCAAACTCCTGAGCTCAAGCGATCCATTTGCCTCGGCCTCCCAAAGTGCTGGGATTACAGGTGTGAGCCACTGTGCCTGGAATATGCTTGCTTCTTTCTTATTGGCCAAAGTAAGTCCCATGGTCAAGTCCTGAGCCAGGGTGGAAGGGCACTGCCCAGGGTAGTGCATGAACAAATTGGGGGCCATTACTGCAATAATCTATCATAACTCTCTGGGCCTCAGTTTCCTCATCTGTAAAATGAGCATAATATTATACTTTTCTCAAGGCCTTGTTGTGAGGGTTGAAAAGAAATGAGCAAATGTCTGTAAAATGCCCTCCATGACTCATGGCCAGAGAAGAGTAAGCAGTTCATTAAGAGTGAGCCGTTGTTAATATTGGTATTGGCAACGACTTTGAGAGAGACAATTTAAAATCCCATGCAGCAGGCTCTGGGCTGTGGGCCCTAGGAGCCAGCCCTGGGCCTGCTTTTCCACTCAGGGGAAGTGGGAGGTGCCAGGGAAAGCAGGTCCTAGGGAGGGGTCCAGTGTCTTCCCCATTACAGCCCCTGATGGAAATCAGGGCTTTGTATCTCTTCAGAACTGTTGCTAGTCTTCCCCAGGATCCAAAGGGATGACTTTGCTCCTTCCACTTCCCTTCTCTCCCTCCTTCTGGGCTCAGGGGACTTTATTATTATTATCTTGTTAAGTGACAGGGTCCCGCTCTATCACCCAGGCTGGAGTGGAGTGATCCTAGCTCACGGCAGCCTTGAACCCCTGGGCTCAAGCCATTCTCTCATCTCAGCCTCTTAAGTAGCTGGGACTACAGATGCATGCCACCATGCTAATTTTTTAAATTTTTTTTTGTAGAGATGCGGTTTTACTATTTCACCAGGCTGGTCTCGAACTCCTGGGCTCAGGCGATCTTCCCGTGTGGGCTTCCCAAAGTGATGGGATTACAGGTGTGAACCTCTGCACCAGGGTTCAGGGTATTTTTGATGACGAAGAAAGTGATCTGGGAAAGAAAGTGCCCACCTGAGGTGTTTGGTTCTGGGAGGAACTCCAAGCATCTGTTAAGTTAGGGTTCCAAAACTTCTCTCCATCAAAGCTCATTTGGATCTTTAGGGGACAATTTGCATTGTGTTCCCTGCCACATTTTTTTCTACCACAACCCACACTCACAGGGAAGCCAACGGCCGTCACATGCTCATTTAATGCCATGTAGACACTGGCAGTACTGGGCTCATAAGCTGGAATTGGGTTGGGGTGTGTGATGTCATTAATAGTTAACCAGAGTCCCTGGACAGTTGGGAAAAATCAATGAGGCTGCCATCTTGGTGAGCTTGTGTAAGCTGTCCCAGGAAGGTGAGGAGGATTGACTTTGTTAGACTTTTTAAAATCTTGAAAACAAGATTCACACAACTGCCTTCATAGAGCCCAGCTCAGCAACCACAGGTCTGGTTCAACCTCTTCATTCTGTGCTTCTAGGGGTCCTTTCTGAGCTCACCTAGGGAACCCAAGAAAGGAGGATGGCTGGCTCTTCATTCTTCTGATCTTCATTCTTCCTTGTGTGTTAGGTCCCCTGTCTTAGACACTGGAGATAGGACAGTGAGCCAATCAGATGCGGGTCCTGCCCTCATGGAATTTATGGTCTAAGGGAGATAGAGATTAACTGATCATAAGAATAAATGTAAAATTATATGGCCAGATGGTTTTCTTTTTTGAAATATTAATCTTTCTTCTTTCTCTGGCATTTCCTCTTTCTTTATAGGGCAGTTGGGCTCAGGAAATTCACTGCTGCAGGGTAGGGATGACTCAGTGGAAGTCAGTAGTCAGTTCTTGTCTTTTGAGTGTCAAAACTGAAGCTCAAATGTGTGTGTGTGGGTGGAGGGTGGAGGTGGTGGTGGGTGGTGGAGGATAGAAAGAACCAGGTGAAAACCCAAAGATTTGGAAGGCGCAGGGTGATTTCCTGGGCTGGGGGAAGACAGGGTGATGGTGAGGGGTTGGGCTGTTGCTGGGTGGGCTTTGAAGATGGGCCATGTACCTGCCCGGATCCTTCTCTGCTCCTCATCCAAGGAGGTCTGGAGGGCCTGGGAACAGAGAAGACTTGTATCACCATCCCCAGGGTAAAGCTCAGGGAGGTGGAAGGGCCCCAGCATTCCCTGAGCCAGTGGAGCACAGACTCCATGGTGTTTTGGAGCAGAGTCTTAAGGCAGCCTTGAGTCTTCTGGGGCCAGGGCAGCTCTGCAACCCACCAGCTGAGGCTCACCCAGAGTCACCAGGGAGGGCAGGTCCTCCACTTGCCTCTGTTGCTGGGTCCATGCCTGGACCTACCTACCAGGTGGGCTGCACACCTTTTCTTCTGGGGAGGAAAATGTTCCTCTGAGTTTCACTTTTTAAAAAATTTTGACAAAAGCCTATTGGCCACTCTGGCTCTTCCAGCTCAGCAGCACCTGGCATTGTTTTCTGACCATCTGATGTGCCATGTGCTGCCACCCACTCCTCTTAGCTGCCCATGCTTGCCCTGTGAAAAAGGCGCCTCAGTGCGGAGGCTGAAGGTCAAGTATGGGGAGGGGGAATGAAAGAACCACAGGCTCGACCCTCAGCCACAAGGTCTCCCACGGTCCCTGGAACCACTGCGGGGCTGGGCCACTGTTGGGGGTCTGCATTCCAGATGCAGACAGCACTGGAGTGGGAGTCAGAGCATGGATAAGCCTGGCTATGCCCCTGAACTGGCCATGTGACCTGAGACAAGTCTCACTATCTCCAAGCCTGTTACTTCATTGATAAAACAGGGACAACATCAGTGTGGTCAATGAGATAAAGGATTTGAAAGATCAAGTCTTGTTGTCATAATAAAAGTAGATTTACTGAGCACCATGTCCTGAGCCAGGCACTGTGTCAAGAGGTGGCTCAGGTGAATCTCGTTGATTCTTCCCCACACGCCTGTGATGTGGGATGCGGACATTATTGTTACCCCATTACATAGAAGGGGAAACTGAGGCACAGAGAGCTCAAGGAAGCTGCTGAAGATCATATAGTTAGTATTTCGCAAGCTGGTATTCAAAGCCAGGCTGGCAGAGCCCACACCGAGACCCCTTCTATTTCATGCAGCACTTCTGGAGATTCCCTGGTAGGATGGGGCAGAAAGGGACTCTGAGGCCATCTCATCCACTCATCATACAGAGAAGGAAACTGAGCCTCAGAGGAGGGAATGGACTTGCTTATGATCTCAAGCAGCCTAGACACCACATTGATATATGCATGAATAAAATGTGAAACACTACATGTTCCTTTTGGACAAACGCATGTGAATCCACAAAAAGGACTTTCTGAGGATGTCCAAACTTGCCCACATGGGATGCTCTACTTTTGAAAAGTGCAGGTCTTGGGCAAGGCTGTGATGAGGAGAGGGGAATGTGCGGGGGACCTTTGAGGACCACTAAGCACTGCTCAGAGCAGAAGGAACAAAACAGGACCGCTGCCTCCTTCACCAGCCTGGATTTGACTCCCAGCTTTGTCCAGAGAGGGAATTGGTCCTGAAGAAACAGTCAGAGGTGAGCACTGAGATGTATGATGCAGGGTGCTCACTGTAACACTGTTTCCAAGAATGAAACATCCGAAGGAACCTAAATGTCCAACAACAGGGGACTGGTTAAAAATGCCATTGTAGTTTTGTCGGGTTCTAGAATATAAGACAACCGTTAAGAATAGTGTTATAGAATAAGTGTCTAAAGGCATATGGAATGTGTTCCCGGTTGTATTTGCCTGTTTTCACACTGCTAATAAAGGCATGCCTGAGACTGGGTAATTTATAAAGAAAAAGAGGTGTAATGGACTCACAGTTCCACATGGCTGGGGAGGCCTCACAATCATGGCGGAAGGTAAAGGAGGACCAAAGCCACCTCTTACACTGCGGCAGGCAAGAGAGCATGTGCAGGGGAACTCCCCTTTGTAAAACCATCAGATCTCATGAGACTTATGCACTATCATGAGATAGTGAGAACAGCATGAGAACAGCATGGGAAAACCTGCCCCTGTGATTTGGTTACTTTCCACTGGGTCCCTCCCACAATACATGGGGATTATTACAATTCAAGGTGAGATTTGGGTGGGGACAGAGAGCCAAACCATAATGCCAATATAAAGTTAAGAATAAAGTTGGTTACAACATAAAGTGGGCCATTGGATTTCAGTTTTGTAAAAAGAAAAAAGAAAGTGGTATATACATGGCTTGTGGTTTATTTCTGCATTGTGTTTTCTGGAGTTTCCACGTTTCTGAAACATATGGCTCTTGTCATCAGATCACCCTCCCATTCTGTTATTAATTCTTTTCGGTAAGACAGGGAGGGGGCTTTCTGTCCCTGCAGGGCTTGGAGAGCCTGGCTGGCCACCTGCCAGGGAGGTAGGGAGATAGAGAGGCTACTCTCACAATACATGGAGGGAGGGTGTGTCCATTCCCCTTCCTGGGAACTCTGAACCCTCAGCCTGTCTCAGTGAGGAATATTTTCCCAGACTAGGGGCTGAGCCCCAGCCCGGCCCAGCTTCTATGTGTAAGGGTAGACCAGGAAACAGAAGCATTGCCCACGTTCCCTGGGGAATTTGTCTCCGCGAGGTGCCCACTGACAGGCTGGCTCATTTGTTCATTCATTCAACAAAAATCTCCTGAGCACCTACTATGTGCCTGCCACTGTTTCAGGTGCTGAGAATACAGTAGTCAATAAAGTAGCAGCATTGTTGTCCTTGTGGTGCCTGTATTCTTATGATACAGACAATGAGCAATTGAATACATATATAATATAATGTCAAGTGGTAAGAAGAGCCATAAGTAAAAAGGAAAGCCAAAAAAGATAGAGAAGGATAAGGGGGTGACAATTTGGGGTGGGCTGGTCAGGGAAGACCTCTGTGAGGAGTGGCAGTATTGAGCAGCTAGTTGAACATTGAGAGGGTGCCAGCCATGTGAATACCAGGACAGAAAGTTCCAGGTTGAAGGAGTAGAAAGTGCAAAGGTCCTGGGGCAGGAGTGTGATGGATATCTGAGGACAAGCCAGGGGAGACAGTGAAGCTGGGAAGACATGGCTCAGAATGTGATTATGGGAGGGTGGAGGGAGAGGCCAGACACTGGACTTGTGGGAGAAGATCAAAGACACTGGTTTTTGTTCTGAGTGAGATGGGAGCCTCCAGAGGTCTTTCAGCAGAGGAGTGATGAGGCCTGATGTCTGTTTAGCAGGATGGCCCTGGCTGGGCGGAGCAGGGAAAAAGCTGCTGCACCCACCCTGGGGATCAGTGATGGCAGCTGGACACTGACCTGCCTTCTGGGCCTGCAGCCATCAGGTCATCTCCCAGCTGTCCATCTCCTGAAGGCTGGGAGGCCTGTGAGGCTTGGGTTCACCCTCTGATATAGTTTGGCTCTGTGTCCCCACCCAAATCGCATGTTGAATTGTAATGCCTAATGTTGGGGGAGGGACCTGGTGGGAGGTGATTGGATCATGGCGAGGAATTCCCCTTTACTCTTCTTGTGATAGTGAGTGAGTTTTCATGAGATCTGGTTGTTTGAACATGTGTAGCACATCCTCCTTCACTCTTTCTCTCTCTCCTGCCCTGCCATGGTAAGATGTGCTTGCTTCCTCTTTGCCCTCCACCATGATTGTAAGTTTCCTGAGGCCTCCTAGCCATACTTCCTGTACAGCCTGCAGAAAAGCAAGTCAATTAAACCTCTTTTCTTCATAAATTACCCAGTCTCAGGTAGTTCTTTATAGTATTGTGAGAATAGACTAATACACTCTCCCTGGGGGAAGAGGCTGAGTGAGATCCGGGGTGATGGGGGGAGGTTGGGCCACAAGGTAAAGTCTGCAGCCAGAACCTCCACTGGTCAAGGCTGCAGCCAGGGTGCTCCACCGCTCTTTCCCATCAGCTGCTGAGATAAACTCTCTCCCTGGAGAGGGAAGGGGATGTCAGGAAGGATGCCAGACACACAGACTGCTTCGTTCGTCCAACAAATACTTATTGAGGATTTACTACATGGGAACAGCTGTGAACAAGAGAGATCGAACTTCCTGGCCCTACAGAGCTCCCATTGGAGTGGAAGGAGAAACACTAAACAAATGAATGAGTGAAAGATATAGTTGGCCAGATGATGGTAAGTGCTATGGAGAAAACTAAGGCAAAAAGTTAGGACTGTAGACACCCCTGCCCCAGATACTCATCTTCTTTTCCTGTTTCATTTTTCTTGTTTTTCTTGTCATTCTATTATTCTATACCAATTTGCTCATTATGTTTAGACTTTACTTTCTGTCCCGGCCCCCACTGCTAGTTCACTGCTGTCTCCTCAGATTCCATAACAGCACATGGTAATGGTAATTGCTCAAGATGTAGCTTTTGAATGAGTCATGCATAGGAAGGGTGGGAGTTGGGGAGCATCTCCCTTCATGGACCCCTCCTACTCTAAGATCAGCAGCTTCAGTCCAGCAAGGGGGCAAGAGAGGATCCTTTTCATGCTCTATACAGTAACTGAGATTGGATGTTGGCAGCTGGGTGGAATGGCACAGCCTGGATAATACTGTACAGGTTGGCCGTGGAGCCTACCAGGTGAGTCCTCCTGCAGTGCTCAAGCTAAAGGGACAGAGCCTGCCCCCGGGATCAAGGACAAAGACTTTTAATGAAACACAGAGTCTGAGCCAGCATTACAGGCCATAGACCTTCTAGGCCAACAATTCTTATACTGTTTCAGAGAGTGAAGGGCTGTCTTAGTCCATTTTATGTTGCCATAATGGAATATCTGAGACTGGGTGATTTATAATAAATATAAATTTAATTGGCTCGTGGTTCTAGAGGCTGGGAAGTCCAAGTTCCAGGTGACTGTGCCTGGTGAGGACCTTCTCTTGCTGCATCATCCCAAGGCAGAAGGTGGAAGAGCAAGAGAGCATGCTTGTATGAGAGAGGAAGGGGACCAAAGCCATCCTTTATATCAGAAGCCCACTCCCGTGATAACTAACCCACACCTGTGACAATAATATGTGATATGGTTTGTATCTGTGTCCCTGTCAAAATCTCATGTCAAATTATAATCCCCAGTGTTGAAGGTGGGGCCTGGTGGGAGGTGACTGGATCATGGGGGTGGCTTTTCATGAATGGTTTAGCATCATTCCTTTGGTACTGTCCTTGTGATAATGAGTGAGTTCTTGTGAGATCTGGTTGTTTGAAAGTGTGTAGCACCCTCCACCTGCTCCTACTCCTACCAGGTGAGACATCTTGCTCCCCTTTTGCCTTCTGCCATGATTGTAAGTTTCCTGAGGCCTCACCAGAAGTTGAGGAGATGCCAGGATCATGCTTGCTGTACAGGCTGCAGAACTGTGAGCCAATTAGGCCGATTTTCTTTATAAATGACACAGTCTGAGGTATTTTTTATAGCAATGCGAGGACGGGCTAGTATAGCATTAATCTATTCACCTGTTAAAGGTCCCACCTATCAACACTGTTGCATTGGGGATTAAGTTTCCAACACGTTAACTTTGGGGGAAACATTGAAACCACAGCAGAGGGGAAGGTGTCTTGGTACTCACTCCCCCATATTTCTCCCCATGTAATATGACTACTTCATTCATATTTAAAATCCATGCTTGGGAACTCATGGTGACAGGCTGGGTGAGACCCTAAGTCTTTTCTGGGTCTTGCTCTGGAGCATCCTCAGTGCACTGCACAGATTCTGGTCCCAGCTGTGGGACTGAAAGTCAGGTGGGGGTGTGGGCTGGGGGCCTCAGGGGTAAGTATGGAATTAGGGTCACAGATCAACAAATAGGTCTAGAACCAGAAGGTATGGAGGCTTTGTACAACTGTGTCTTATGATCTAAGGCAGGGTTTCCCCAAAACAGAGAAATAGAGGTGTTTTGTGGTTAAACTCTAAGTAAAACACAATCAAAATGTTTTATTTCCTATAGGACTTCTCAGGACCTTTACATGTTAATGAAAATTGTGACTCTAAGAGGAACCAATGCAGTATTTCCCAAACTCTTGTCCATGGAGTTTGGGATCCTCCTTTTTCATGTAGGATCTTGAAGGATTGGGATTTTTCTGAATACTCTGAGAGATTCTGGTCTGTGTTGGTACCTGTGTAAGAGGCTCCCCTTTCTTCCTGATCCCTTCTTTGCTTCATCTTCTTTCCCTGCTAATTCAGCTTGTGTAATGCCAACACCTTATTAAATCACAGAAACACACTTGGTTTTCTTTTATGAGCATTCAGAGCTATTGAGCTGTGCAGTGTCACAAGGAAACCAGACCTCATCAGACACTCAGGGCTCCAGTACTGAGTGAATCTTCAGTACCCAAGGTTGCCCCAGCACCAAACCTTCCTTGCTTCAGCCAGGCCCCTCTCCTCACTAGTCTGTAAAAGCTGTGAGCTTGCCTGCCTCTGAGCTTTTGCTTTGGCTGGAATATCTTTTTCTCCTCTTTGGCCACCTCCTTCAGGTAGTCTTCCCTGACTATCTCAGCATTGCTTCAGAAGCCCCAGAGGATGGTTTCAGAAAAAGACAGAAGGTGAGTGATAGGGTTTGGCTGTGTCCCCATCCAAATCTCATCTTGAACTGTAGCTCCCAGAATCTCCACGTGTCTTGGGAATCTCCGCGTGTCTTTGGAGTTGCCTTCCACGATGGAAGGCAACTAAATCATGGGGCAGGTTTTTCCCGTGCTGTTCTCGTCACAGTGAATAAGTCTCATGAGGTCTGATGGTTTTATAAAGGGCAGTTCCCCTGCACACACTCTCCTGCCTGCTGCCATGTAAGACTTGCCTTTACTCCTCCTTTGCCTTCCACCATGATTGTGAGGCCTCCCCAGCCATGTGGAACTGGGAGTCCATTAAACCTCTTTTTCTTTATAAATTACCCAGTCTTGGGTATTTCTTCATAGCAGTGTGAATATGGACTAATACAGTGAGAAACTCCAAGTGTTATTTAAAAATGACTGTAAAGCCAACCTGTATGCTATCCTGGAGACTGTAACTATGGGCATGCAAAAAGAACAAATTTGTCAAGAACTGAAAGGGAGAGCCACCCATCTCAGAAAGACTGACACTGGGGCCTTTTGTCCTTATGAAAATAACCCCTGTAGCGCTTGAATTACATGCAATCTCAGGATGCCTGATGAAGGCTTGTCCCTGACTAATTCAGTTGTTCTTTTTAACATTTTATTGTTGAAAATTTCAAACATGTACAAAATAGAGAGTATTATAATGATACCCCCTACAGCTTTTACCCAGCTTCAAAAAGTATCAATCTTGTTTCATTTCTATACTCACCCACCACACCATATTGTTTTTGAAGCAAACCCTGTATACCATATATTCTATCCATGTTTATCTCAGTACACTTTTATACTGTTTTTACATAACCATAATACAATTATCTCTCTAAAAATTAACAATAAATCCTTAATAAGATCAAATGTCCAGTGACTGTTCACATTTCCAGTTGCTTTATACATGTCTTACTTTTATTTATTTTTTTTAGTTTGTTTGAACTGGCATCCAAATGAGGTTGGTTGATATGTCTAAGTCTTTTTCAATCTGTAATCCCTATTTCTCTCTTTTAAAAATTTTATTTATTGAAGAAACCAGATGCTTGACCTGTGTGTTTCCACAATGTGGGCTTTCCTGATTGCATCCCCATGGTGGCTTCACTCCTCTGTCTTCTGTATTTCCTGTAAGTCGACAATTCATTTTTGAGGCTTGATCAGGTTCAGGGTTGGCTTTTTCAGTCATACAACCTCACAGTGCTGTGCGTTTCCATCAGGAGGCACATCATGCTTGTTGTCTCCAGCTTGGGGATGTCAGGAGGTATGGATGCTCACAGCTTGGATCCATTAATCCATTAGGGGTTGCAAAATGGTGAGATTCCAATCCTATCATCCCTTCCTCATTTACGAGCTGGAATACTTCTAAAAGGAGAAACATCCCCTCATCTGCAATTTCGGTACCCAGTAGTACAGTTTGTATAGGAAAGATGGGAAAAATGCTTGACTCTTTGTCTTTATTTACCAACTAATTACCTTTTGATGGCATGATGCTAACAGTTAATACTTGTAGAGCACTTACAGATCGCCAATGTTCTCATCAACACTATCTCATCTGATTAATTAATACCACACAACAACCCTGTGTGGTAGACACGACAGATGGTGTTATTTTTAAATCTTTTTTTTTTTTTTTCAGAAGAGAGAACTGAGATTCAGAGAAGGTAAGCAACTCGTTCAAGCTCAGAAAGCTACCAGAACAATCATTGCTAACTTACAGGGAGCCTTAACTCTGAGCCAGATGCTGTTCTCTAAATGTGAATTAACCCATTTACTCCTTAAACAACTGTAAGAGAAAGGCAGGGACAGTCTCTGTCCCCACTTTACAGGTAAAAAGTCTGAGGCCAAGAAAGCCTCAAATTGCGTGAGGTCACATAATAATACTAGAGATTACCCTTTATTGAGCACTTACTGCGTGCCAAATGCCTTGCTAGGGGCCTAAACATAATACAGCACTCTGCTATCTGTTGTGTGTTGGGTTCTTGCCACATGTCAGGCATATGTCTCTTCATAGCAACCTTAGGTTAACCCTGTGTTACAGAAGAGGAAGCTGATGGTCAGAGTGGTTGGGTCACAGTCCCAAGGTCACAGGGTTTGTATGGAACTGTGTTGGATTCCAAGCCAGTTCTCTTCTGCATTACACATCTCCAGCCCATGGGCCAGGACTTGAGCCTAGACTTTCTGACCAGAGTCTGTGTCCCTTCCCCAGAACCCTCAGAGTGTCTGATCTAGAGGAGGAAATTTTCCTGTGGGCTATCAGCTGCCTCCAGGCTCGTTCACCCTCCTGTAACCAATCTCTTCTGTGCTTGGCCTTAATTGACAAGGGGAGACCAGGGTGACAAAAAAAGGGAAGAAACCTCATTATGTGGCAACAGAATTAGTGGTTTTAGTGACTCCACACATCCCCAGATGTAGTTGGGTCGGCCTTTAATTGCTGTTCTCCACCACTTTTCTCCCAGAATTGGATTATCAAGCCCATTCAGGAGCACAACGTATTGAAAGGACTGGGGACCTCTTGGCCTAGCAGGGAGGGGCAGGAAGGGCCCTGCCAGCCTAGGAGGGAGGGCCCTGCCTGGGCCAAGAGGCCTACCTTTGTCTGGGGCCATGCTTGGTGCCCATCAGACATCATGACAAGGTCCTAAATCACGATGGCCTCAATAATCCTAGCGACCTGGGGCCAAGGATGCGGCTGCAGGCTGGTATGAACAGTCATAAATGCGAGTCTGCCAAGGGATGCTCTCCCTCCTAATGAGATGCTGTGGCCTACTTCCTGCACGGAGAGAGGCCTACGGAGATGGGGGAGAGGGCAGGAGGAGGAAAAACAAGAATCCAATTAAACCCTCAATTCGAGCAGAGTAAATGAATTTGACTTTAGGTGATCAAGAGGGAGAAAACTTCTAATTAGACACAGGGCAATCCTGGGGCTGAGCATGTTCGTGACCCGCCCTCATGCCCGCCCCCGTCACTTTTTAGATAAATGTTAAGGATTAGAATGACATGTAATTAAAATCCGTCAATCCCATACACGGGCTGCTGATGGGGTTGGATGACTGCTCGCTCACCTGCCCTCTGCTTTGTCATGAGGTCCCGCCCCCTCCTAGCTCCTGTGTTCTGATTTGCCCTCGCCGCCAGCCAATCCCGTTTGAGCAGGAGGAAGATTCGGGCCGGAGGGGCAGCCTTGGGACGCGCCCTTTTTCAAAGGCCAAGAGAGGGTTTGGAGAGCAGGGCTTTAATCTGGCCGAGGCACATAGGCCTCAGGTTGCACACTGGAGGCCCTTGGACAAAGGCTGACCCACAGATGAGTTAAAAACAATTGAAATGCATTTATGGCACTGCAAGATCTGGATATTTCACATAAATATTTGGATTTTCTAGTTTCTTTTGAAAAATCAAAAATTATATATTGGGCCTGCATTCCCACAGAGTAACAACTGGCTCTGGTGGAATAGTGGCCGACCATTTAGACAAGATGCGGGTGCCCCAGGTCATTACATCTCCTATCTGGCCTGGTTCACTCATCTGTTGGCCTTTCAGAGGGCAGGTCACTCGTGTGCTCAAGCCACAGGATTGCCTTGTGAATAATTAGAAGTGTTTTCCCTGTTGGCATTTCAATTTTGCAAGCTCTGATCTAGGTCTTCAATCTCTAGGCGAAGGGAAGTGCCCAAAGGTCCACTTCGAACTCCTCTTCCCACCCCAACTCACACACCTTTGCTCATGCAGAACCCTCTTCCTGGAAAGCCCTTCCTCCTGTAGAATCTTAAGTATCCTCCAAGGCTTCATTCAGTGCCACCTCATCCGGGAAGAATTTCCCATCTCCCTAGCAGGAATTTTGCCCTCCCTGCTCTGGCTTCTGGGATACTCAGTGTCCCTGCTATATAGCACCTCTCTGGTGTGTGATGGTGAAGCCACCTGCCCCAGTGGGCTATCAGCTAAGAGCAGGGACCAGGTCTGATTTGCCCTGCCTCCCTTCACGTGCTCAGCACAGGGACTGGCCCAGGGCGGACACCCCGTGAATGTGAATTGAAGAGCATTGAACACACGCCAGCATAGGACTGGCCTGGGCGCACGTGGCAGCGACCAGGACCATCTTTGCCTCTTTCCCAGGCCCTCTTCCCACCTCTTTTGTCTCCCATTTGCCGTCCCTTCTCAGGCTCCAGGCTTGCTGGCTGGAGATTATTTTCAGAAAGGTCTTTGGGAATGAACATGTCAGGATTCATCCTGCAGTGGACAAAGAGAAGCAATACTTAACTCAATGGAAAGATGTGCTCATGCTGGAATATCAAGCATGTAACAGCAGATAGGTCCACAGGAAGATGCCTTTTGAAAGCAGGGCCTACCAAGGGACTCATGGGCTATTCAGTGATTTATACAGACCATGATTTGTGTTATGGTTCATTGACGTCCCGCATTTGGCTGTGACCCAGTGTCACAGGACAAGTCACCTGACCTATTTGAGCTTCAGTGTCCTTGTATGAAAAATGGTGATAATAATACCTTCAGCACATTTCTTAAAAAGTTAAACATAAACTTTCCTCATGATCTAGCATTCTCCTCCTAGACATCTATCAAAAAGAAATGAAAACATGCACCCACACAAAAATTTGCACCCACAAGTCTTTGTGGCAGCTTTATTCATTGTATTAGGCCGTTCTTGTATTGCTATAAAGAAATACCTGAGACTGGGTAATTTATAAAGAAAAGAGGTTTCATTGGCTGATGGTTCTGTAAGCCATAGAGGAAGCATGGCAGCATCTGTTTCTGGGGAAGCCTCAGGGAGCTTTTACTCATGGAGGAAGGTGAAACAGGAGCAGGCACTTTACCTGGTGAAATCAGGCATAAGAGAGTGGTGGGGGATGCCACACACTTTTGAATGACCAGCACCACAAAGAGCACCAAATCATGAGGGATCCACCACCATGACCCAAAACTTCCCACCAGGCTCACCTCCAGCACTGGGGATTACAATTCAACATGAGATTTGGGTGGGGACAAATATCCAAACTATATAATTCATAACAGCCCCAAATTGAAAGCAGCATAAATGTACATCTACTTGTGAATAGATAAACAGAATGTGATATAACCATACAATGGGATACTATTCAGCCATAAAAAGAAATGAATGACTGATATATACTAGAACGCAGGTGAGCCTCAAAAGCATTAAGAAGCCAGACACAAAAGACCACATATTATAGACTCAATTTCTATATGACAGGGCAGAAATTAAATTAGTGGCTTCCTGGAGGCAGGCATGGGGTGGGAACAGGAATTGATATAAATGGGCAAGAAGGAATCTTATTGGGGTGATGAAATGTTCTAAAACTTGGGGTGATAGATGATGATAGCTGCACAACTTGGTAAATTTACTAAAAATAATTGCATTGTAAACTGGAAGTGGGTAGATTTTTATGAAATTGAAACATTGCCCTATAAAGTTGAAAAAAGTACCTTCTTGGCCAGGCACAGTGGCACATGCTTGTAATCCCAGCACTTTGGGAGGCTGAGGCAGTTGGATCACTTGAGGCCAGGAGTTCGAGACCAGCCTGGCCAACATGGTGAAACCCCCGTCTCTACTAAAATACAAAAATTAGCAGCATGTGGTGGCACGTGCCTGTAATCCCAGCTACTCAGGGGGTTGAGGCGGGAGAATTGCTTGAACCCAGGAGGCAGAGGTTGCAGTGAGCCAAGATCATGCCACTGCACTCCAGCCTGGGTGACAGAGTGAGACCCTGTCTCAAATAAATAAATAAATAAATAAATAAATAAATAAATAAGGCACCTTCTGCACAGGGCAGTGGCCATACTCAAAGGAGATGACACCCAGGCCACCTGGTTCAGTCTTTAGCGGATCCCGGGTGCTTCACAAATGTCAGTCTCAATCCCACTGTCCTTGGCCCAGGACAGTTTCAATGACTGGGGAAAAACAATTTGTGATTTCTGCTTTTTTCTGAGGCATTACCTTAAGGACACCATTTGAAGCCATAGGCCTCACCCTTCCAGGCTCCATTTGCCACCCATCCCCTCACTCTTTCCTCTCCAAGGCCTCTGCACCTGCCTCTTCTTGTAGCCTTCTCCACCCCACACTTACTACCTGTTTTCCCAAAGCCAAACTGTATCCAGGTTGATTAAAGATACTTTCGATAAACAATTGTCGTATTTCAGGCAAGACATGGGCAGACAAGCATTAATGGTATACGACAACGTTCAAACTCCCTTCTTCAATGGGCTGCCCAAATCGGAAAGCCACTATAAGACTAGACGAGGTCTTCATTTGATGCTGTGAACAGGGAAAATTTAGAGTGAGGGTTGACATTTCACATTTAACATGTTGTTTAACAATGTTTCACGAGCCCACTCTGACTTTCAGGAAGTAAAAGAAAATGGCAGACTTTATCTGAAGATCCTCAATGTAGAAATGAAACCACTGCTTCTTTAAGGGGCGCCGTCTCAGTGGCATCCCTGGAAAGTCCAGGCTGCCTGAGCCACTGGTAACCAGTGACTGGGGGTTGGATCCCAACAGGGGTCTGGGTTTATGGAAGTTAAGTCTATGCTAAAGGTGGGAATGGAGAAGATGACATAAAAACAAATTTTAGTTTTTCCACACAACAAGGCTTTTGTGCCAAGGTGGCTATGTGTGTCAAAGTCAGGGAATCCCTACTCCTGGGAGCCGAGAGGAAGTCTCCTAAAACTAGAAGGGAAAGATGTTTTCCCTACATCGATCCAGCTTCGGAGGCATTCTATTAGTGACATATGCTCCATTCCCCCCAAAACAACAAGGAAGTGTTCTGAGTGCTAACAACATAGCTTAAAAAAAGGTACAA